>NC_000005.10:48613289-48939316 GCF_000001405.40 Homo sapiens
TTGTGTTCTGTGTTTTCAACTCACAGAGTTGAACGATGCTTTACACAGAGTAGACTTGAAACACTCTTGTGGAATTTGCAAGTGGAGATTTCATCCGCTTTGAGGTCAATGGTAGAATAGGAAATATCTTCCTATAGAAACTAGACAGAATGATTCTCAGAAACTCCTTTGAGATGTGTGCGTTCAACTCACAGAGTTTAACCTTTCTTTTCATAGAGCAGTTAGGAAACACTCTGTTTGTAAAGTCTGCAAGTGGATATTCAGACCTCTTTGAGGCCTTCGTTGGAAACGGGATTTCTTCATATTCTTCTAGAGAGAAGAATTCCCAGTAACTTCCTTGTGTTGTGTGTGTTCAACTCACAGAGTTGAACTTTCATTTACACAGAGCAGATTTGAAACACTCTTTTTGTGGAATTTGCAAGTGGAGATTTCAAGCGCTTTGAGGCCAAAAGCAGAAAAGGAAATATCTTCGTATAAAAACTAGACAGAAATCATTCTCAGAAACTGCTCTGCGATGTGTGCGTTCAACTCTCAGAGTTTAACTTTTCTTTTCATTCAGCAGTTTGGAAACACTCTGTTTGTAAAGTCTGCACGTGGATATTTTGACCACTTAGAGGCCTTCGTTGGAAACGGGTTTTTTTCCTGTAAGGCTAGACAGAAGAATTCCCAGTACCTTCCTTGTGTTGTGTACATTCCACTCACAGAGTTGAACGTTCCCTTAGACAGAGCAGATTTGAAACACTCTTTTTGTGCAATTGGCAAGTGGAGATTTCAAGCGCTTTAAGGTCAATGGCAGAAAAGGAAATATCTTCGTTTCAAAACTAGACAGAATCATTCCCACAAACTGCGTTCTGATGTGTTCGTTCAACTCACAGAGTTTAACCTTTCTGTTCATAGAGCAGTTAGGAAACACTCTGTTTGTAAAGTCTGTAAGTGGATATTCTGACATCTTGTGGCCTTCGTTGGAAACGGGATTTCTTCATATTCTGCTAGACAGAAGAATTCTCAGTAACTTCCCTTGTGTTGTGTGTATTCAACTCACAGAGTTGTACGATCCTTTACACAGAGCAGACTTGAAACACTCTTTTTGTGGAATTTGCAAGTGGAGATTTCAGCCGCTTTGAGGTCAATGGTAGAATAGGAAATATCTTCCTATAGAAACGAGACAGAATGATTCTCAGAAACTCCTTTGTGATGTGTGCGTTCAACTCACAGAGTTTAACCTTTCTTTTCATAGAGCAGTTAGGAAACACTCTGTTTGTAAAGTCTGCAAGTGGATATTCAGACATCCTTGAGGCTTTCGTTGGAAACGGGATTTCTTCATATTCTGCAAGAAAGAAGAATTCTCAGTAACTTCCGCGTGTTGTGTGTATTCAACTCAGAGAGTTGAACGATCCTTTACACAGAGCAGACTTGAAACACCCTTTTTGTGGAATTTGCAAGTGGAGATTTCAGCCGCTTTGTGGTCAATGGTACAAAAGGAAATATCTTCCTATAAAAACTAGACAGAATCATTCTCAGAAACTGCTGCGTGATGTGTGCGATCAACTCTCAGAGTTTAACTTTTCTTTTCATTCAGCGGTTTGGAAACACTCTGTTTGTAAAGTCTGCACGTGGAAATTTTGACAACTTAGAGACCTTCGTTGGAAACGGGATTTTTTCATGTAAGGCTAGACAGAAGAATTCCCAGTAACTTCCTTGTGTTGTGTGCATTCAACTCACAGAGTTGAACGTTCCCTTAGACAGAGCAGATTTGAAACACTCTATTTGTGCAATATGCAAGTGTAGTTTTCAAGCTCTTTAAGGTCAACGGCAGAAAAGGAAATATCTTGGTTTCAAAACTAGACAGAATGATTCTCAGAAACTCCTTTGTGATGTGTGCGTTCAACTCACAGAGTTTACCCTTTCTTTTCATAGAGCAGTTAGGAAACACTCTGTTTGTAAAGTCTGCAAGTGGATATTCAGACATCCTTGAGGCGTTCGTTGGAAACGGGATTTCTTCATATTCTGCCAGAAAGAAGAATTCTCAGTAACTTCCTTGTGTTGTGTGTATTCAACTCACAGAGTTGAACGATCCATTACACAGAGCAGACTTGAGACACTCTTTTTGTGGAATTTGCAAGTGGAGATTTCAGCCGCTTTGAGGTCAATGGTAGAAAAGGAAATATCTTCGTATAAAGACTAGACAGAATGATTCTCAGAAAATCTTTTGTGATGTGTGCGTTCAACTCACAGAGTTTAACTTTTCTTCTCATAGAGCAGTTAGGAAACACTCTGTTTGTAAAGTCTGCAAGTGGATATTAGACCTCTTTGAGGCCTTCGTTGGAAACGGGATTTCTTCATATTATGCTAGACAGAAGAAATCCCAGTAACTTCCTTGTGTTGTGTGTTTTTTAAGTCACAGAGTTGAACTTTCATTTACACAGAGCAGATTTGAAACACTCTTTTTGTGGAATTTGCAAGTGGAGATTTCAAGTGCTTTGAGGCCAATGGCAGAAAAGGAAATATCTTCGTATAAAAACTAGACAGAATCATTCTCAGAAACTGCTCTGTGATGTGTTCGTTCAACTCTCAGAGTTTAACTTTTCTTTTCATTCAGCAGTTTGGAAACACTCTGTTTGTAAAGTCTGCACGTGGATAATTTGACCACTTAGAGGCCTTCATTGGAAACGGGTTTTTTTCATGTAAGGCTAGACAGAAGAATTCCCAGTAACTTCTTTGTGTTGTGTACATTCAACTCACAGAGTTGAACGTTCCCTTAGACAGAGCAGACTTGTAACAGTCTTTTTGTGGAATTTGCAAGTGGAGATTTCAGCCGCTTTGAAGTCAAAGGTAGAAAAGGAAATATCTTCCTATAAAAACTAGACAGAATCATTCCCACAAACTGCGTTGTGATGTGTTCGTTCAACTCACAGAGTTTAACCTTTCTTTTCGTAGAGCAGTTAGGAAACACTCTGTTTGTAAAGTCTGCAAGTGGATATTCAGACCTCTTTGAGGCCTTCGTTGGAAACGGGATTTCTTCATATTCTGCTAGACAGAATAATTCTCAGTAACTTCCTTGTGTTGTGTGTATTCAACTCACAGAGTTGAACGATCCTTTACAGAGAGCAGACTTGAAACACTCTTTTTGTGGAATTTGCAAGTGGAGATTTCAGCCGCTTTGAGGTCAATAGTAGAATAGGAAATATCTTCGTAGAAAAACTAGACAGAATGTTTCTCAGAAACTCCTTTGAGATGTGTGTGTTCAACTCACAGAGTTTAACCTTTCTTTTCATAGAGCAGTTAGGAATCACTCTGTTTGTAAAGTCTGCAAGTGGATATTCAGACCTCTTTGAGGCCTTCGTTGGAAACGGGTTTTTTTCATATAAGGCTAGACAGAAGAATTCCCAGTAACTTCCTTGTGTTGTGTGTGTTCAACTCACAGAGCTGAACTTTCATTTAAACAGAGCAGATTTGAAACACTCTTTTTGTGGAATTTGCAAGTGGAGATTTCAAGCGCTTTAAGGCCAAAGGCAGAAAAGGAAATATCTTCGTATAAAAACTAGACAGAGTGATTCTCAGAAACTCCTTTGTGATGTGTGCGTTCAACTCACAGAGTTTAACCTTTCTTTTCATTCAGCGGTTTGGAAACACTCTGTTTGTAAAGTCTGCACGTGGATATTCAGACCTCTTTGAGGCCTTCGTTGGAAACGGGTTTTTTTCATGTAAGGCTAGACAGAAGAATTCCCAGTAACTTCCTTGTGTTGTGTGCATTCAACTCACAGAGTTGAACGTTCCTTAGAGAGAGCAGATTTGAAACACTCTATTTGTGCAATTTGCAAGTGTAGATTTCAAGCGCTTTAAGGTCAATGGCAGAAAAGGAAATATCTTCGTTTCAAAACTAGACAGAATGATTCTCAGAAACTCCTTTGTGATGTGTGCGTTTAACTCACAGAGTTTAACCTTTCTTTTCATAGAGCAGTTAGGAAACACTCTGTTTGTAAAGTCTGCAAGTGGATATTCAGACCTCCTTGAGGCCTTCGTTGGAAACGGGATTTCTTCATATTATGCTAGACAGAAGAATTCTCAGTAACTTCCTTGTGTTGTGTGTATTCAACTCACAGCAGTTGAACGATCCTTTACACAGAGCAGACTTGAAACACTCTTTTTGT
Source organism: Homo sapiens (assembly GCF_000001405.40). Lineage (NCBI taxonomy): Eukaryota > Metazoa > Chordata > Mammalia > Primates > Hominidae > Homo > Homo sapiens. Next base: position 48,617,441 of record NC_000005.10, read on the forward strand.
GGAATTTGCAAGTGGAGATTTCAGCCGCTTTGAGTTCAATGGTAGAATAGGAAATATCTTCCTATAGAAACTAGACAGAATGATTCTCAGAAACTCCTTTGTGATGTGTGCGTTCAACTCACAGAGTTTAACCTTTCTTTTCATAGAGCAGTTAGGAAAAACTGTGTTTGTAATGTCTGCAAGTGGATATTCAGACATCTTTGAGGCTTTCGTTGGAAACGGGATTTCTTCATATTATGCTAGACAGAAGAATTCCCAGTAACTTCCTTGTATTGTGTGTGTTCAACTCACAGAGTTGAACTTTCATTTACCCAGAGCAGATTTGAAACACTCTTTTTGTGGAATTTGCAAGTGGAGATTTCAAGCGCTTTGAGGCCAAAGGCAGAAAAGGAAATATCTTCGTTTCAAAACTAGACAGAATCATTCTCAGAAACTGCTCTGCGATGTGTGCGTTCAACTCACAGAGTTTAACCTTTCTTTTCATAGAGCAGTTAGGAAACACTCTGTTTGTAAAGTCTGCAAGTGGATATTCAGACCTCTTTGAGGCCTTCGTTGGAAACGGGATTTCTTCATATAAGGCTAGACAGAAGAATTCTCAGTAACTTCCTTGTGTTGTGTACATTCAACTCACAGAGTTGAACGTTCCCTTAGACAGAGCAGACTTGTAACACTCTTTTTGTGGAATTTGCAAGTGGAGATTTCAGCCGCTTTCAAGTCAAAGGTAGAAAAGGAAATATCTTCCTATAAAAACTAGACAGAATCATTCCCACAAACTGCGTTGTGATGTGTTCGTTCAACTCACAGAGTTTAACCTTTCTTTTCATAGAGCAGTTAGGAAACACTCTGTTGGTAAATTCTGTAAGTGGATATTCTGACATCTTGTGGCCTTCGTTGGAAACGGGATTTCTTCATATTCTGCTAGACAGAAGAATTCTCAGTAACTTCCTTGTGTTGTGTGTATTCAACTCACAGAGTTGAACGATCCTTTACACAGAGCAGACTTGAAACACTCTTTTTGTAGAATTTGCAAGTGGAGATTTCAGCCGCTTTGAGGTCAATGGTAGAAAAGGAAACTATCTTCATATAAAGACTAGACAGAATGATTCTCAGAAACTCATTTGTGATGTGTGCGTTCAACTCACAGAGTTTAACCTTTCTTTTCATAGAGCAGTTAGGAAACACTCTGTTTTTAAAGTCTGCAAGTGGATATTCAGACCTTTTTGAGGCCTTCGTTGGAAACGGGATTTCTTCATATGATGCTAGACAGAAGAATTCCCAGTAACTTCCTTGTGTTGTGTGTATTCAACTCACAGAGTTGAACTTTCATTTACACAGAGCAGATTTGAAACACTCTTTTTGTGGAATTTTCAAATGGAGATTTCAAGCGCTTTGAGGCCAAAGGCAGAAAAGGAAATATCTTCGTATAAAAACTAGACAGAATCATTCTCAGAAACTGCTCTGCGATGTGTGCGTTCAACTCTCAGAGTTTAACTTTTCTTTTCATTCAGCAGTTTGGAAACACTCTGTTTGTAAAGTCTGCACGTGGATATTTTGACCACTTAGAGGCCTTCGTTGGAAACGGGTTTTTTTCATGGAAGGCTAGACAGAAGAATTCTCAGTAACTTCCTTGTGTTGTGTGTATTCAACTCACAGAGTTGAACGATCCTTTACACAGAGCAGACTTGTAACACTCTTTTTGTGGAATTTGCAAGTGGAGATTTCAGCCGCTTTGAAGTCAAATGTAGAAAAGGAAATATCTTCCTTTAAAAACTAGACAGAATCATTCCCACAAAGTGCGTTGTGATGTGTTCGTTCAACTCACAGAGTTTAACCTTTCTGTTCATAGAGCAGTTAGGAAACACTCTGTGTGTAAAGTCTGCAAGTGGATATTCAGACCTCTTTGAGGCCTTCGTTGGAAACGGGATTTCTTCATATTCTGCTAGACAGAAGAATTCTCAGAAACTTCCTTGTGTTGTGTGTTTTCAACTCACAGAGTTCAACGATCCTTTACACAGAGCAGACTTGAAACACTCTTTTTGTGGAATTTGCAAGTGGAGATTTCAGCCGCTTTGAGGTCAATGGTAGAATAGGAAATATCTTCCTATAGAACCTAGACAGAATGATTCTCAGAAAATCTTTTGTGATGTGTGCGTTCAACTCACAGAGTTTAACTTTTCTTCTCATAGAGCAGTTAGGAAACACTCTGTTTGTAAAGTCTGCAAGTGGATATTCAGACCTCTTTGAGGCCTTCGTTGGAAACGGGATTTCTTCATATTTTGCTAGACAGAAGAATTCCCAGTAACTTCCTTGTGTTGTGTGTGTTCAACTCACAGAGTTGAACTTTCATTTACACAGAGCAGATTTGAAACACTCTTTTTGTGGAATTTGCAAGTGGAGATTTCAAGCGCTGTGAAGCCAAAGGCAGAAAAGGAAATATCTTCGTATAAAAACTAGACAGAAATCATTCTCAGAAACTGCTCTGCGATGTGTGCGTTCAACTCTCAGAGTTTAACTTTTCTTTTCATTCAGCAGTTTGGAAACACTCTGTTTGTAAAGTCTGCACGTGGATATTTTGACCACTTAGAGTCCTTCGTTGGAAACGGGTTTTTTTCATGTAAGGCTAGACAGAAGAATTCCCAGTAACTTCCCTTGTGTTGTGTACATTCAACTCACAGAGTTGAACGTTCCCTTAGACAGAGCAGATTTGAAACACTCTTTTTGTGCAATTGGCAAGTGGAGATTTCAAGCGCTTTAAGGTCAATGGCAGAAAAGGAAATATCTTCGTTTCAAAACTAGAGAGAATGATTCTCAGAAACTCCTTTGTGATGTGTGCGTTCAACACACAGAGTTTAACTTTTCTTTTCATAGAGCAGTTAGGAAACACTCTGTTTGTAAAGTCTGCAAGTGGATATTCAGACCTCCTTGACGCCTTCGTTGGAAACGGGATTTCTTCATATTCTGCTAGACAGAAGAATTCTCAGTAACTTCCTTGTGTTGTGTGTATTCAACTCACAGACTTGAACGATCCTTTACACAGAGCAGACTTGAAACACTCTTTTTGTGGAATTTGCAAGTGGAGATTTCAGCCGCTTTGAGGTCAATAGTAGAAAAGGAAATATCTTCGTAGAAAAACTAGACAGAATGATTCTCAGAAACTCCTTTGTGATGTGTGCGTTCAACTCACAGAGTTTAAACTTTCTTTTCATAGAGCAGTTAGGAAACACTCTGTTTGTAAAGTCTGCAAGTGGATATTCAGACCTCCTTGAGGCCTTCGTTGGAAACGGGATTTCTTCATATTATGCTAGACAGAAGAATTCTCAGTAACTTCCTTGTGTTCTGTGTATTCAACTGACAGAGTTGAACTTTCATTTAGAGAGAGCAGATTTGAAACACTGTTTTTGTGGAATTTGCAAGTGGAGATTTCAAGCGCTTTGGGGCCAAAGGCAGAAAAGGAAATATCTTCGTATAAAAACTAGACAGAATCATTCTCAGAAACTGCTCTGCGATGTGTGCGTTCAACTCTCAGAGTTTAACTTTTCTTTTCATTCAGCAGTTTGGAAACACTCTGTTTGTAAAGTCTGCACGTGGATATTTTGATCACTTAGAGGCCTTCGTTGGAAACGGGTTTTTTTCCTGTAAGGCTAGACAGAAGAATTACCAGTAACTTCCTTGTGTTGTGTACATTCAACTCACAGAGTTGAACGTTCCCTTAGACAGAGCAGATTTGAAACACTCTTTTTGTGCAATTGGCAAGTGGTGATTTCAGCCGCTTTGAGGTCAATGGTAGAAAAGGAAATATCTTCGTATAAAAACTAGACAGAATCATTCCCACAAACTGCGTTGTGATGTGTTCGTTCAACTCACAGAGTTTAACCTTTCTGTTCATAGAGCAGTTAGGAAACACTGTGTAAAGTCTGTTAGTGGATATTCTGACATCTTGTGGCCTTCGTTGGAAACGGGATTTCTTCATATTCTGCTAGACAGAAGAATTCTCAGTAACTTCCTTGTGTTGTGTGTATTCAACTCACAGAGTTGAACGATCCTTTACACAGAGCAGACTTGAAACACTCTTTTTGTGGAATTTGCAAGTGGAGATTTCAGCCACTTTGAGGTCAATGGTAGAAAAGGAAATATCTTCGTATAAAGACTAGACAGAATGATTCTCAGAAACTCCTTTGTGATGTGTACGTTCAACTCACAGAGTTTAACCTTTCTTTTCATAGAGCAGTGAGGAAACACTCTGTTTGTAAAGTCTGCAAGTGGATATTGAGACCTCTTTGAGGCCTTCGTTGGAAACGGGTTTTTTTCATATAAGGCTAGACAGAAGAATTCCCAGTAACTTCCTTGTGTTGTGTGTGTTCAACTCACAGGAGTTGAACTTTCATTTACCCAGAGCAGATTTGAAACACTCTTTTTGTGGAATTTGCAAGTGGAGATTTCAAGCGCTTTGAGGCCAAAGGCAGAAAAGGAAATATCTTCGTTTCAAAACTAGACAGAATCATTCTCAGAAACTGCTGCGTGATGTGTGCGTTCAACTCTCAGACTTTAACTTTTCTTTTCATTCAGCGGTTTGGAAACACTCTGTTTGTAAAGTCTGCATGTGGATATTTTGACCACTTAGAGGCCTTCGTTGGAAACGGGTTTTTTTCATGTAAGGCAAGACAGAAGAATTCCCAGTAACTTCCTTGTGTTGTGTACATTCAACTCACAGAGTTGAACGTTTCCTTAGACACAGCAGATTTGAAACACTGTTTTTGTGCAATTGGCAAGTGGTGATTTCAGCCGCTTTGAGGTCAATGGTATAAAAGGAAATATCTTCATATAAAAACTAGACAGAATGATTCTCAGAAACTCCTTTGTGATGTGTGCGTTCAACTCACAGAGTTTAACCTTTCTTTTCATAGAGCAGTTAGGAAACACTCTGTTTATAAAGTCTGCAAGTGGATATTCAGACCCCTTTGAGGCCTTCGTTGGAAACGGGATTTCTTCATATTATGCTAGACAGAAGAATTCTCAATAACTTCCTTGTGTTGTGTGTATTCAACTCACAGAGTTCAACGATCCTTTACACAGAGCAGACTTGAAACACTCTTGTTGTGGAATTTGCAAGTGGAGATTTCAGCCGCTTTGAGGTCAATGGTAGAATAGGAAATATCTTCCTATAAAAACTAGACAGAATGATTCTCAGAAACTGCTTTGTGATGTGTGTGTTCAACTCACAGAGTTTAACGTTTCTTTTCATAGAGCAGTTAGTAAACACTCTGTTTATAAAGTCTGCAAGTGGATATTCAGACCCCTTTGAGGCCTTCGTTGGAAACGGGATTTCTTCATATTATGCTAGACAGAAGAATTCTCAGTAACTTCCTTGTGTTGTGTGTATTCAACTGACAGAGTTAAACTTTCATTTAGAGAGAGCAGATTTGAAACACTGTTTTTGTGGAATTTGCAAGTGGAGATTTCAAGCGCTTTGGGGCCAAAGGCAGAAAAGGAAATATCTTCGTATAAAAACTAGACAGAATCATTCTCAGAAACTGCTCTGCGATGTGTGCGTTCAACTCTCAGAGTTTAACTTTTCTTTTCATTCAGCAGTTTGGAAACAGTCTGTTTGTAAAGTCTGCACGTGGATATTTTGACCACTTAGAGGCCTTCGTTGGAAACGGGTTTCTTTCATGTAAGGCTAGACAGAAGAATTCCCAGTAACTTCCTTGTGTTGTGTGCATTCAACTCACAGAGATGAACGTTCCCTTAGACAGAGCAGATTTGAAACACTCTATTTGTGCAATTTGCAAGTGTAGATTTCAAGCGCTTTAAGGTCAATGGCTGAAAAGGAAATATCTTCGTTTCAAAACTAGACAGAATCATTCCCACAGACTGCGTTGTGATGTGTTCGTTCAACTCACAGAGTTTAACCTTTCTTTTCATAGAGCAGTTAGGAAACACTCTGTTGGTAAATTCTGTAAGTGGATATTCTGACATCTTGTGGCCTCCGTTGGAAACGGGATCTCTTCATATTCTGCTAGACAGAAGAATTCTCAGTAACTTCCTTGTGTTGTGTGTATTCAACTCACAGAGTTGAACGATCCTTTACACAGAGCGGACTTGAAACACTCGTTTTGTGGAATTTGCAAGTGGAGATTCCAGCCGCGTTGAGGTCAATGGTAGAAAAGGAAATATCTTCGTATAAAAACTAGACAGAATGATTCTCAGAAACTCCTTTGTGATGTGTGGGTTCAACTCACAGAGTTTAACCTTTCTTTTCATAGAGCAGTTAGGAAACACTCTGTTTGTAAAGTCTGCATGTGGATATTTGGACTTCTTTGAGGCCTTCGTTGGAAACGGGTTTTTTTCATGTAAGGCTAGACAGAAGAATTCTCAGTAACTTCCTTGTGTTGTGTGTATTCAACTGACAGAGTTCAACTTTCATTTAGAGAGAGCAGATTTGAAACACTGTTTTTGTGGAATTTGCAAGTGGAGATTTCAAGCGCTTTGGGGCCAAAGGCAGAAAAGGAAATATCTTCGTATAAAAACTAGACAGAATCATTCTCAGAAACTGCTCTGCGATGTGTGCGTTCAACTCTCAGAGTTTAACTTTTCTTTTCATTCAGCAGTTTGGAAACACTCTGTTTGTAAAGTCTGCACGTGGATAACTTGACCACTTAGAGGCCTTCGTTGGAAACGGGTTTTTTTCCTGTAAGGCTAGACAGAAGAATTCCCAGTAACTTCCTTGTGTTGTGTACATTGAACTCACAGAGTTGAACGTTCCCTTAGACAGAGCAGATTTGAAACACTCTTTTTGTGCAATTGGCAAGTGGAGATTTCAAGCGCTTTAAGGTCAATGGCAGAAAACGAAATATCTTCGTTTCAAAACTAGACAGAATCATTCCCACAAACTGCGTTGTGATGTGTTCGTTCCACTCACAGAGTTTAACCTTTCTGTTCATAGAGCAGTTAGGAAACACTCTGTTTGTAAAGTCTGTAAGTGGATATTCTGACATCTTGTGGCCTTCGTTGGAAACGGGATTTCTTCATATTCTGCTAGACAGAAGAATTCTCAGTAACTTCCTTGTGTTGTGTTTATTCAACTCACAGAGTTGAACGATCCTTTACACAGAGCAGACTTGAAACACTCTTTTTGTGGAATTTGCAAGTGGAGATTTCAGCCGCTTTGAGGTCAATGGTAGAAAAGGAAATATCTTCGTAGAAAAACTAGACAGAATGATTCTCAGAAACTCCTTTGTGATGTGTGCGTTCAACTCACAGAGTTTAACCTTTCTTTTCATAGAGAAGTTAGGAAACACTCTGTTTGTAAAGTCTGCAAGTGGATATTCAGACCTCTTTGAGGCCTTCGTTGGAAACGGGATTTCTTCATATTCTGCTAGAGAGAAGAATTCTCAGTAACTTCCTTGTGTTGTGTGTATTCAACTGACAGAGTTGAACTTTCATTTAGAGAGAGCAGATTTGAAACACTGTTTTTGTGGAATTTGCAAGTGGAAATTTCAAGCGCTTTGGGGTCAAAGGCAGAAAAGGAAATATCTTCGTATAAAAACTAGACAGAATCATTCTCAGAAACTGGTGCGTGATGTGTGCGTTCAACTCTCAGAGTTTAACTTTTCTTTTCATTCAGCGGTTTGGAAACACTCTGTTTGTAAAGTCTGCACGTGGAAATTTTGACCACTTAGAGGCCTTCGTTGGAAACGGGTTTTTTTCATGTAAGGCTAGACAGAAGAATTCTCAGTAACTTCCTTGTGTTGTGTGTATTCAACTCACAGAGTTGAACGATCCTTTACACAGAGCAGACTTGGAACACTCTTTTTGTGGAATTTGCAAGTGGAGATTTCAGCCGCTTTGAAGTCAAATGTAGAAAAGGAAATATCTTCCTATAAAAACTAGACAGAATCATTCCCACAAACTGCGTTGTGATGTGTGCGTTCAACTCAAAGAGTTTAACCTTTCTTTTCATAGAGCAGTTAGGAAACACTCTGTTTGTAAATTCTGCAAGTGGATATTCAGACCTCCTTGAGGCCTTCGTTGGAAACGGGATTTCTTCATATTCTGCTAGACAGAGAATTCTCAGTAACTTCCTTGTGTTGTGTGTATTCAACTCACAGAGTTGAACGATCCTTTACACAGAGCAGACTTGAAACACTCTTTTTGTGGAATTTGCAAGTGGAGATTTCAGCCGCTTTGAGGTCAATGGTAGAAAAGGAAATATCTTCGTATAAAGACTAGACAGAATGATTCTCAGAAACTCCTTTGTGATGTTTGCGTTCAACTCACAGAGTTTAACTTTTCTTTTCATAGAGCAGTTAGGAAACACTCTGTTTGTAAAGTCTGCAAGTGGATATTCAGACCTCTTTGAGGCCTTCGTTGGAAACGGGATTTCTTCATATTATGCTAGACAGAAGAATTCTCAGTCACTTCCTTGTGTTGTGTGTATTCAACTGACAGAGTTGAACTTTCATTTAGAGAGAGCAGATTTGAAACACTGTTTTTGTGGAATTTGCAAGTGGAGATTTCAAGCGCTTTGGGGCCAAAGGCAGAAAAGGATATATCTTCGTATAAAAACTAGACAGAATGATTCTCAGAAACTCCTTTGTGATGTGTGCGTTCAACTCACAGAGTTTAACCTTTCTTTTCATAGAGCAGTTAGGAAACACTCTGTAAAGTCTGCAAGTGGATATTCAGACCTCCTTGAGGCCTTCTTTGGAAACCGGATTTCTTCATATTCTGCTATACAGAAGAATTCTCAGAAACTTCCTTGTGTTGTGTGTTTTCAACTCACAGAGTTCAACGATCCTTTACACAGAGCAGACTTGAAACACTCTTTTTGTGGAATTTGCAAGTGGAGAATTCAGCCGCTTTGAGGTCAATGGTAGAATAGGAAATATCTTCCTATAGAAACTAGACAGAATGATTCTCAGAAACTCCTTTGTGATGTGTGCGTTCAACTCACAGAGTTTAACCTTTCTTTTCATAGAGCAGTTAGGAAACACTCTGTTTGTTAAGTCTGCAAGTGGATATTCAGACCTCCTTGAGGCCTTCGTTGGAAACGGGATTTCTTCATATTATGCTAGACAGAAGAATTCTCAGTAAGTTCCTTGTGTTGTGTGTATTCAACTCACAGAGTTGAATGATCCTTTACACAGAGCAGACTTGAAACACTCTTTTTGTGGAATTTGCAAGTGGAGATTTCATCCGATTTGAGGTCAATGGTAGAATAGGAAATATCTTCCTATAGAAACTAGACAGAATGATTCTCAGAAACTCCTTTGTGATGTGTGTGTTCAACTCACAGAGTTTAACCTTTCTTTTCATAGAGGAGTTAGGAAACACTCTGTTTGTAAAGTCTGCAAGTGGATATTCAGACCTCTTTGAGGCCTTCGTTGGAAACGGGTTTTTTTCATGTAAGGCTAGACAGAAGAATTCCCAGTAACTTCCTTGTGTTGTGTGTATTCAACTCACAGAGTTGAACTTTCATTTACACAGAGCAGATTTGAAACACTCTTTTTGTGGAATTTGCAAATGGAGATTTCAAGCCCTTTCAGGCCAAAGGTAGAAAAGGAAATATCTTCGTATAAAAACTAGACAGAATCATTCTCAGAAACTGCTGCGTGATGTGTGCGTTCAACTCTCAGACTTTAACTTTTCTTTTCATTCAGCCGTTTGGAAACACTCTGTTTGTAAAGTCTGCACGTGGATATTTTGACCACTTAGAGGCCTTCGTTGGAAACGGGTTTTTTTCATGTAAGGCTAGACAGAAGAATTCCCAGTAACTTCCTTGTGTTGTGTGCATTCAACTCACAGAGTTGAACGTTCCCTTAGACAGAGCAGATTTGAAACACTCTATTTGTGCAATTTGCAAGTGTAGATTTCAAGCGCTTTAAGGTCAATGGCAGAAAAGGAAATATCTTCGTTTCAAAACTAGACAGAAATCATTCCCACAAACTGCGTTGTGATGTGTTCGTTCAACTCACAGAGTTTAACCTTTCTGTTCATAGAGCAGTTAGGAAACACTCTGTTTGTAAAGTCTGTAAGTGGATATTCTGACATCTTGTGGCCTTCGTTGGAAACGGGATTTCTTCATATTCTGCTAGACAGAAGAATTCTCAGTAACTTCCTTGTGTTGTGTTTATTCAACTCACAGAGTTGAATGATCCTTTACACAGAGCAGACTTGAAACACTCTTTTTGTGGAATTTGCAAGTGGAGATTTCAGCCGCTTTGAGGTCAATGGTAGAAAAGTAAATATCTTCCTATAAAGACTAGACAGAATGATTCTCAGAAACTCCTTTGTGATGTGTGCGTTGAACTCACAGAGTTTAACCTTTCTTTTCATAGAGCAGTTAGGAAACACTCTGTTTGTAAAGTCTGCAAGTGGATATTCAGACATCTTTGAGGCTTTCGTTGGAAACGGGAGTTCATCATATTCTGCTAGACAGAAGAATTCTCAGTAACTGCCTTGTGTTGTGTGTATTCAACTCACAGAGTTGAACGATCCTTTACACAGAGCAGACTTGAAACACTCTTTTTGTGGAATATGCAAGTGGAGATTTCAGCCGCTTTGAGGTCAATGGTAGAATAGGAAATATCTTCCTATAGAAACTAGACAGAATCATTCTCAGAAACTGCTGCGTGATGTGTGCGTTCAACTCTCAGAGTTTAACTTTTCTTTTCATTCAGCGGTTTGGAAACACTCTGTTTGTAAAGTCTGCACGTGGAAATTTTGACCACTTAGAGGCCTTCGTTGGAAACGGGATTTTTTCATGTAAGGCTATACAGAAGAATTCCCAGTAACTTCCTTGTGTTGTGTGCATTCAACTCACAGAGTTGAACGTTCCCTTAGACAGAGCAGATTTGAAACACTATATTTGTGTAATTTGCAAGTGTAGATTTCAAGCGCTTTAAGGTCAACGGCAGAAAAGGAAATATCTTCGTTTCAAAACTAGACAGAATCATTCCCACAAACTGCGTTGTGATGTGTTCGTTCAACTCACAGAGTTTAACCTTTCTTTTCATAGAGCAGTTAGGAAACAGTCTGTTTGTCAATTCTGTAACTGGATATTCTGACATCTTGTGGCCTTCGTTGGAAACGGGATTTCTTCATATTCTGCTAGACAGAAGAATTCTCAGAAACTTCCTTGTGTTGTGTGTATTCAACTCACAGAGTTGAACGATCCTTTACTCTGAGCAGGCTTGAAACACTCCTTTTGTGGAACTTGCAATTGGAGATTTCAGCCGCTTTGAGGTCAATGGTAGAATAGGAAATATCTTCCTATAGAAACTAGATAGAATGATTCTCAGAAACTCCTTTGTGATGTGTGTGTTCAACTCACAGAGTTTAACCTTTCTTTTCATAGAGCAGTTAGGAAACACTCTGTTTGTAAAGTCTGCAAGTGGATATTCAGACCCCTTTGAGGCCTTCGTTGGAAACGGGATTTCTTCATATTCTGCTAGACAGAAGAATTCTCAGTAACTTCCTTGTGTTGTGTGTATTCAACTGACAGAGTTGAACTTTCATTTAGAGAGAGCAGATTTGTAACACTGTTTTTGTGGAATTTGCAAGTGGAGATTTCAAGCGCTTTGGGGCCAAAGGCAGAAAAGGAAATATCTTCGTATAAAAACTAGACAGAATCATTCTCAGAAACTGCTGCGTGATGTGTGCGTTCAACTCTCAGAGTTTAACTTTTCTTTTCATTCAGCGGTTTCGAAACACTCTGTTTGTAAAGTCTGCACGTGGATATTTTGACCACTTAGAGGCCTTCGTTGGAAACGAGTTTTTTTCATGTAAGGCTAGACAGAAGAATTCCCAGTAACTTCCTTGTGTTGTGTGCATTCAACTCACAGGAGTTGAACGTTCCCTTAGACAGAGCAGATTTGAAACACTCTATTTGTGCAATTTGCAAGTGTAGATTTCAAGCGCTTTAAGGTCAATGGCAGAAAAGGAAATACCTTCGTTTCAAAACTAGACAGAATCATTCCCACAAACTGCGTTGTGATGTGTTCGTTCAACTCACAGAGTTTAACTTTTCTTTTCATAGAGCAGTTAGGAAACACTCTGTTTGTAAAGTCTGCAAGTGGATATTCAGACCTCCTTGAGGCCTTCGTTGGAAACGGGATTTCTTCATATTCTGCTAGACAGAAGAATTCTCAGTAACTTCCTTGTGTTGTGTGCATTCAACTCACAGATTTGAACGATCCTTTACACAGAGCAGACTTAAAACACACTTTTTGTGGAATTTGCAAGTGGAGATTTCAGCCGCTTTGAGGTCAATAGTAGAAAAGGAAATATCTTCGTAGAAAAACTAGACAGAATGATTCTCAGAAACTCCTTTGTGATGTGTGTGTTCAACCTCACAGAGTTTAACCTTTCTTTTCATAGAGCAGTTAGTAAACACTCTGTTTATAAAGTCTGCAAGTGGATATTCAGACCCCTTTGAGGCCTTCGTTGGAAACGGGATTTCTTCATATTATGCTAGACAGAAGAATTCTCAGTAACTTCCTTGTGTTGTGTGTATTCAACGGACAGAGTTGAACTTTCATTTAGAGAGAGCAGATTTGAAACACTGTTTTTGTGGAATTTGCAAGTGGAGATTTCAAGCACTTTGGGGCCAAAGGCAGAAAAGGAAATATCTTCGTATAAAAACTAGACAGAATCATTCTCAGAAACTGCTGCGTGGTGTGTGCGTTCAAATCTCAGAGTTTAACTTTTCTTTTCATTCAGCGGTTTGGAAACACTCTGTTTGTAAAGTCTACACGTGGATATTTTGACCACTTAGAGGCCTTCGTTGGAAACTGGTTTTCTTCATGTAAGGCTAGACAGAAGAATTCCCAGTAACTTCCTTGTGTTGTGTACATTCAACTCACAGAGTTGAACGTTCCCTTAGACAGAGCAGATTTGAAACACACTTTTTGTGCAATTGGCAAGTGGTGATTTCAGCCGCTTTGAGGTCAATGGTAGAAAAGGAAATATCTTCGTATAAAAACTAGACAGAATCATTCCCACAAACTGCGTTGTGATGTGCTCGTTCAACTCACAGAGTTTAACCTTTCTGTTCATAGAGCAGTTAGGAAACACTCTGTTTGTAAAGTCTGAAAGTGGATAATCTGACATCTTGTGGCCTTCGTTGGAAACGGGATTTCTTCATATTCTGCTAGACAGAAGAATTCTCAGTAACTTCCTTGTGTTGTGTGTATTCAACTCACAGAGTTGAAGGATCCTTTACAGAGAGCAGGCTTGAAACACTCTTTTTGTCGAATTTGAAAGTGGAGATTTCAGCCGCTTTGAGGTCAATGGTAGAATAGGAAATATCTTCTAATAGAAACTAGACAGAATGATTCTCAGAAACTCCTTTGTGATGTGTGCGTTCAACTCACAGAGTTTAACCTTTCTTTTCATGGAGCAGTTAGGAAACACTCTGTTTGTAAAGTCTGCAAGTGGATATTCAGACCTCCTAGAGGCCTTCTTTGGAAACAGGCTTTCTTCATATTATGCTAGACAGAAGAATTCCCAGTAACTTCCTTGTGTTGTGTGTGTTCAACTCACAGAGTTGAACTTTCTTTTACACAGAGCAGATTTGAAACACTCTTTTTGTGGAATTTGCAAATGGAGATTTCAAGCGCTTTGAGGCCAAAGGCAGAAAAGGAAATATCTTCGTATAAAAACTAGACAGAATCATTCTCAGAAACTGCTCTGCGATGTGTGCGTTCAACTCTCAGAGTTTAACTTTTCTTTTCATTCAGCAGTTTGGAAACACTCTGTTTGTAAAGTCTGCACGTGGATACTTTGACCACTTAGAGACCTTCGTTGGAAACGGGTTTTTTTCCTGTAAGGCTAGACAGAAGAATTCCCAGTAACTTCCTTGTGTTGTGTACATTCAACTCACAGAGTTGAACGTTCCCTTAGACAGAGCAGATTTGAAACACTCTTTTTGTGCAATTGGCAAATGGAGATTTCAAGCGCTTTAAGTTCAATGGCAGAAAAGGAAATATCTTCGTTTCAAAACTAGACAGAATCATTTCCACATACTGCGATGTGATGTGTTCGTTCAACTCACAGAATTTAACCTTTCTGTTCCTAGAGCAGTTAGGAAACACTCTGTTTGTAAAGACTGTAAGTGGATATTATGACATCATGTGGCCTTCGTTGGAAACGGGATTTCTTCATATTCTGCTGGACAGAAGAATTCTCAGTAACTTCCTTGTGTTGTGTGTATTTAACTCACAGAGTTGAATGATCCTTTACACAGAGCAGACTTGAAACACTCTTTTTGTGGAAATTGCAAGTGGAGATTTCAGCCGCTTTGAGGTCAATGGTAGAAAAGTAAATATCTTCGTATAAAGACTAGACAGAATGATTCTCAGAAACTCCTTTGTGATGTGTGCGTTCAACTCACAGAGTTTAACCTTTCTTTTCATAGAGCAGTTAGGAAACACTCTGTTTGTAAAGTCTGCAAGTGGATATTCAGACCTCTTTGAGGCCTTCGTTGGAAACGGGTTTTTTTCATATAAGGCTACACAGAAGAATTCTCAGTAACTTCCTTGTGTTGTGTGTATTCAACTGACAGAGTTGAACTATCATTTAGAGAGAGCAGATTTGAAACACTGTTTTTGTGGAATTTGCAAGTGGAGATTTCAAGCGCTTTGGGGCCAAAGGCAGAAAAGGAAATATCTTCGTATAAAAACTACACAGAATCATTCTCAGAAACTGCTGCGTGATGTGTGCGTTCAACTCTCAGAGTTTAACTTTTCTTTTCATTCAGCGGTTTGGAAACACTCTGTTTGTAAAGTCTGCACGTGGATATTTTGACCACTTAGAGGCCTTCGTTGGAAACGGCTTTTTTTCATGTAAGGCTAGACAGAAGAATTCCCAGTAACTTCCTTGTGTTGTGTGCATTCAACTCACAGAGTTGAACGTTCCCTTAGACAGAGCAGATTTGAAACACTCTATTTGTGCAATTTGCAAGTGTAGTTTTCAAGCTCTTTAAGGTCAACGGCAGAAAAGGAAATATCTTCGTTTCAAAACTAGACAGAATGATTCTCAGAAACTCCTTTGTGATGTGTGCGTTCAACTCACAGAGTTTAACCTTTCTTTTCATAGAGCAGTTAGGAAACACTCTGTTTGTAAAGTCTGCATGTGGATATTCAGACCTCTTTGAGGCCTTCGTTGGAAACGGGGTTTCTTCATATTATGCTAGACAGAAGAATTCTCAGTAACTTCCTTGTGTTGTGTGTATTCAACTCACAGAGTTGAACGATCCTTTACACAGAGCAGACTGGAAACACTCTTTTTGTGGAAATTGCAAGTGGAGATTTCAGCCGCTTTGAGGTCAATGGTAGAAAAGGAAATATCTTCGTATAAAAACTAGACAGAATGATTCTCAGAAACTCCTTTGTGATGTGTGCGTTCAAATCACAGAGTTTAACTTTTCTTTTCATATAGCAGTTAGGAAACACTCTGTTTGTAAAGTCTGCAAGTGGATATTCAGACCTCTTTGAGGCCTTCGTTGGAAACGGGATTTCTTCATATTATGCTAGACAGAAGAATTGTCAGTAACTTCCTTGTGTTGTGTGTATTCAACTGACAGAGTTGAACTTTCATTTCGAGAGAGCAGATTTGAAACACTGTTTTTGTGGAATTTGCAAGTGGAGATTTCAAGCGCTTTGGGGCCAAAGGCAGAAAAGGAAATATCTTCGTATAAAAACTAGACAGAATCATTCTCAGAAACTGCTGTGTGATGTGTGCGTTCAACTCTCAGAGTTTAACTTTTCTTTTCATTCAGCGGTTTGGAAACACTCTGTTTGTAAAGTCTGCACGTGGATATTTTGACCACTTAGAGGCCTTCGTTGGAAACGGGTTTTTTTCATGTAAGGCTAGACAGAAGAATTCCCAGTAACTTCCTTGTGTTGTGTGCATTCAACTCACAGAGTTGAACGTTCCCTTAGACAGAGCAGATTTGAAACACTCTATTTGTGCAATTTGCAAGTGTAGATTTCAAGCGCTTTAAGGTCAATGGCAGAAAAGGAAATATCTTCGTTTTAAAACTAGACAGAATCATTCCCACAAACTGCGTTGTGATGTGTTCGTTCAACTCACAGAGTTTAACCTTTCTTTTCATAGAGCAGTTAGGAAACAGTCTGTTTGTAAATTCTGTAAGTGGATATTCTGACATCTTGTGACCTTCGTTGGAAACGGGATTTCTTCATATTCTGCTAGACAGAAGAGTTCTCAGTAACTTCCTTCTGTTGTGTGTATTCAACTCACAGAGTTGAACGATCCTTTACACAGAGCAGACTTGAAACACTCTTTTTGTGGAATTTGCAAGTGGAGATTTCAGCCGCTTTTAGGTCAATAGTAGAAAAGGAAATATCTTCGTAGAAAAACTAGACAGAATGATTCTCAGAAACTCCTTTGTGATGTGTGCGTTCAACTCACAGAGTTCAACCTTTCTTTTCATAGAGCAGTTGGGAAACACTCTGTTTGTAAAGTCTGCAAGTGGATATTCAGACTTCTTTGAGGCCTTCTTTGGAAGCGGGATTTCTTCATATTCTGCTAGACAGAAGAATTCTCAGTAACTTCCTTGTGTTGTGTGTATTCAACTCACAGAGTTGAACTTTCATTTAGAGAGAGCAGATTTGAAGCACTGTTTTTGTGGAATTTGCAAGTGGAGACTTCAAGCGCTTTGGGGCCAAAGGCAGAAAAGGAAATACCTTCGTATAAAAACTAGACAGAATCATTCTCAGAAACTGCTGCGTGATGTGTGCGTTCAACTCTCAGAGTTTAAGTTTTCTTTTCATTCAGCGGTTTGGAAACACTCTGTTTGTAAAGTCTGCACGTGGATATTTTGACCACTTAGAGGCCTTCGTTGGAAACGGGTTTTTTCATGTAAGGCTAGACAGAAGAATTCCCAGTAACTTCCTTGTGTTGTGTGCATTCAACTCACAGAGTGGAACGTTCCCTTAGACAGAGCAGATTTGAAACACTCTATTTGTGCAATTTGCAAGTGTAGATTTCAAGCGCTTTAAGGTCAACGGCAGAAAAGGAAATATCTTCTTTTCAAAACTAGACAGAATCATTCCCACAAACTGCGTTGTGACGTGTTCGTTCAACTCACAGAGTTTAACCTTTCTGTTCATAGAGGAGTTAGGAAACACTCTGTTTGTAAAGTCTGTAAGTGGATATTCTGACATCTTGTGGCCTTCGTTGGAAACGGGATTTCTTTATATTCTGCTAGACAGAAGAATTCTCAGTAACTTCCTTGTGTTGTGTGTATTCAACTCACAGAGTTGAACGATCCTTTACACAGAGCAGACTTGTAACACTCTTTTTGTGGAATTTGCATGTGGAGATTTCAGCCACTTTGAAGTCAAAGGTAGAAAAGGAAATAACTTCCTATAAAAACTAGACAGAATGATTCTCAGAAACTCCTTTGTGATGTGTGCATTCAACTCACAGAGTTTAACTTTTCTTTTCATAGAGCAGTTGGGAAACACTCTGTTTGTAAAGTCTGCAACTGGATATTCAGACCTCTTTGAGGCCTTCGTTGGAAACGGGATTTCTTCATATTCTGCTAGACAGAAGAATTCCCAGTAACTTCATTGTGTTGTGTGTGTTCAACTCACAGAGTTGAACTTCCATTTACACAGAGCAGATTTGAAACACTCTTTTTGTGGAATTTGCAAGTGGAGATTTCAAGCGATTTGAGGCCAAAGGCAGAAAAGGAAATATACTTCGTTTCAAAACTAGACAGAATCATTCTCAGAAACTGCTCTGCGATGTGTGCACGTTCAACTCTCAGAGTTTAACTTTTCTTTTCATTCAGCAGTTTGGAAACACTCTGTTTGTAAAGTCTGCACGTGGATATTTTGACCACTTAGAGGCCTTCGTTGGAAATGGGTTTTTTTTCCTGTAAGGCTAGACAGAAGAATTCCCAGTAACTTCCTTGTGTTGTGTGCATTCAACTCACAGCAGTTGAACGTTCCCTTAGACAGAGCAGATTTGAAACACTCTATTTGTGCAATTTGCAAGTGTAGATTTCAAGCGCTTTAAGGTCAACGGCAGAAAAGGAAATATCTTCGTTTCAAAACTAGACAGAATCATTCCCACAAACTGCGTTGTGATGTGTGCGTTCAACTCAAAGAGTTTAACCTTTCTTTTCATAGAGCAGTTAGGAAACACTCTGTTTGTAAAGTCTGCAAGTGGATATTCAGACCTCCTTGAGGCCTTCGTTGGAAACGGGATTTCTTCATATTCTGCTAGACAGGAATAATTCTCAGTAACTTCCTTGTGTTGTGTGTATTCAACTCACAGAGTTGAAAGATCCTTTACAGAGAGCAGGCTTGAAACACTCTTTTTGTCGAATTTGCAAGTGGAGATTTCAGCCGCTTTGAGGTCAATGGTAGAATAGGAAATATCTTCTTATAGAAACTAGACAGAATGATTCTCAGAAAATCCTTTGTGATGTGTGCGTTCAACTCACAGAGTTTAACCTTTCTTTTCATAGAGCAGTTAGGAAACACTCTGTTTGTAAAGTCTGCAAGTAGATATTCAGACATTCTTTGAGGCCTTCGTTGGAAACGGGATTTCTTCATGTTCTGCTAGAAAGAAGAATTCTCAGTAACTTCCTTGTGTTGTGTGTATTCAACTCACAGAGTTGAACGATCCTTTACACAGAGCAGACTTGAAACACTCTTTTTGTGGAATTTGCAAGTGGAGATTTCAACCGCTTTGAGGTCAATGGTAGAAAAGTAAATATCTTCGTATAAAAACTAGACAGAGAATCATTCTCAGTAAACTGCTGCGTGATGTGTGCGTTCAACTCTCAGAGTTTAACTTTTCTTTTCATTCAGCGGTTTGGAAACACTCTGTTTGTAAAGTCTGCACGTGGATATTTTGACCACTTAGAGGCCTTCGTTGGAAACGGGTTTTTTTCATGTAAGGCTAGACAGAAGAATTCCCAGTAACTTCCTTGTGTTGTGTGCTTTCAACTCACAGAGTTGAACGTTCCCTTAGACAGAGCAGATTTGAAACACTCTATTTGTGCAATTTGCAAGTGTAGATTTCAAGCGCTTTAAGGTCAATGGCAGAAAAGGAAATATCTTCGTTTCAAAACTAGAAAGAATCATTCCCACAAACTGCGTTGTGATGTGTTCGTTCAACTCACAGAGTTTAACCTTTCTGTTCATAGAGCAGTTAGGAAACACTCTGTAAAGTCTGTAAGTGGATATTCTGACATCTTGTGGCCTTCGTTGGAAACGGGATTTCTTCATATTCTGCTAGACAGAATAATTCTCAATAACTTCCTTGTGTTGTGTGTATTCAACTCACAGAGTTGAAGGATCCTTTACAGAGAGCAGGCTTGAAACACTCTTTTTGTCGAATTTGCAAGTGGAGATTTCAGCCGCTTTGAGGTCAATGGTAGAATAGGAAATGTCTTCTTATAGAAACTAGACAAAATGATTCTCAGAAACTCCTTTGTGATGTGGGCGTTCAACTCACAGAGTTTAACCTTTCTTTTCATAGAGCAGTTAGGAAACACTCTGTTTGTAAGTCTGCACGTGGATATTTGGACTTCTTTGAGGCCTTCGTTGGAAACGGGTTTTTTTCATGTAAGGCTAGACAGAAGAATTCCCAGTAACTTCCTTGTGTTGTGTGTGTTCTACTCACAGAGTTGAACTTTGATTTACACAGAGCAGATTTGAAACACTCTTTTTGTGGAATTTGCAAGTGGAGATTTCAAGCGCTTTGAGGCCAAAGGCAGAAAAAGAAATATCTTCGTATAAAAACTAGACAGAATCATTCTCAGAAACTGCTCTGCGATGTGTGCGTTCAACTCTCAGAGTTTAACTTTTCTTTTCATTCAGCAGTTTGGAAAAACTCTGTTTGTAAAGTCTGCACGTGGATATTTTGACCACTTAGAGGCCTTCGTTGGAAACGGGTTTCTTTCCTGTAAGGCTACACAGAAGAATTCCCAGTAACTTCTTGTGTTGTGTGCATTCAACTCACAGAGTTGAACGTTCCCTTAGACAGAGCAGATTTGAAACACTCTATTTGTGCAATTTGCAAGTGTAGATTTCAAGCGCTTTAAGGTCAACGGCAGAAAAGGAAATATCTTCGTTTCAAAACTAGACAGAATCATTCCCACAAACTGCGTTGTGATGGGTTCGTTCAACTCACAGAGTTTAACCTTTCTGTTCATAGAGCAGTTAGGAAACACTCTGTTTGTAAAGTCTGTAAGTGGATATTCTGACATCTTGTGGCCTTCGTTGGAAACGGGATTTCTTCATATTCTGCTAGACAGAACAATTCTCAGTAACTTCCTTGTGTTGTGTGTATTCAACTCACAGAGTTGAACGATCCTTTACACAGAGCAGACTTGAAACACTCTTTTTGTGGAATTTGCAAGTGGAGATTTCAGCCGCTTTGAGTTCAATGGTAGAATAGGAAATATCTTCCTATAGAAACTAGACAGAATGATTCTCAGAAACTCCTTTGTGATGTGTGCCTTCAACTCACAGAGTTTAACCTTTCTTTTCATAGAGCAGTTAGGAAACACTCTGTTTGTAAAGTCTGCAAGTGGATATTCAGACCTCTTTGAGACCTTCGTTGGAAACGGGATTTCTTCATATTCTGCTAGACAGAATCATTCTCAGAAACTGCTCTGCGATGTGTGCGTTCAACTCTCAGAGTTTAACTTTTCTTTTCATTCAGCAGTTTGGAAACACTCTGTTTGTAAAGTCTGCACGTGGATATTTTGACCACTTAGAGGCCTTCGTTGGAAACGGGTTTTTTTCCTTTAAGGCTAGAGAGAAAAATTCCCAGTAACTTCCTTGTGTTGTGTGTATTCAACTCACAGAGTTGAACGTTCCCTTTGACAGAGCAGATTTGAAACACTCTTTTTCTGCAATTTGGAAGTGTAGATTTGAAGCGCTTTAAGGTCAATGGCAGAAAAGGAAATATCTTCGTTTCAAAACTAGACAGAACGATTCTCAGAAACTCCTTTGTGATGTGTGCGTTCAACTCACAGAGTTTAACCTTTCTTTTCATAGAGCAGTTAGGAAACACTCTGTTTGTAAAGTCTGTAAGTGGATATTCAGACCTGCTTTGAGGCCTTCGTTGGAAACGGGATTTCTTCATATTATGCTAGACAGAAGAATTCTCAGCAACTTCCTTGTGTTGTGTGTATTCAACTCAAGGAGTTGAACGATCCTTTACACAGAGCAGACTTGAAACACTCTTTTTGTGGAATTTGTAAGTGGAGATTTCAGCCGCTTTGAGGTTAATGGTAGAAAATGAAATATATTCGTATAGAAACTAGACAGAATGATTCTCAGAAACTCCTTTGTGATGTGTGCGTTCAACTCACAGAGTTTAACCTTTCTTTTCATAGAGCAGTTAGGAAACACTCTGTTTGTAATGTCTGCAAGTGGATATTCAGACATCTTTGAGGCTTTCGTTGGAAACGGGATTTCTTCATATTCTGCTATACAGAAGAATTCCCAGTAACTTCCTTGTGTTGTGTGTGTTCAACTCACCGAGTTGAACTTTCATTTACACAGAGCAGATTTGAAACACTCTTTTTGTGGTATTTGCAAGTGGAGATTTCAAGCGCTTTGAGGCCAAAGGCAGAAAAGGAAATATCTTCGTTTCAAAACTAGACAGAATCATTCTCAGAAACTGCTCTGCGATGTGTGCGTTCAACTCTCAGAGTTTAACTTTTCTTTTCATTCAGCAGTTTGGAAACACTCTGTTTGTAAAGTCTGCACGTGGATATTTTGACCACTTAGAGGCCTTCGTTGGAAAAGGGCTTTTCCCTGTAAGGCTAGACAGAAGAATTCCCAGTAACTTCCTTGTGTTGTGTGCATTCAACTCACAGAGTTGAACGTTCCCTTAGACAGAGCAGGTTTGAAACACTCTATTTGTGCAATTTGCAAGTGTAGATTTCAAGCGCATTAAGGTCAATGGCAGAAAAGGAAATATCTTCGTTTCAAAACTAGACAGAATCATTCCCACAAACAGCGTTGTGATGTGTTCGTTCAACTCACAGAGTTTAACCTTTCTTTTCATAGAGCAGTTAGGAAACAGTCTGTTTGTCAATTCTGTAAGTGGATATTCTGACATCTTGTGGCCTTCGTTGGAAACGGGATTTCTTCATATTCTGCTAGACAGAAGAAATCTCAGTAACTTCCTTGTGTTGTGTGTATTCAACTCACACAGTTGAACGATCCTTTTCAGAGAGCAGACTTGAAACACTCTTTTTGTGGAATTTGCAAGTGGAGATTTCAGCCGCTTTGAGGTCAATGGTAGAAAAGGAAATATCTTCGTATAAAGACTAGACAGAATGATTCTCAGAAACTCCTTTGTGATGTGTGTGTTCAACTCACAGAGTTTAACCTTTCTTTTCATACAGCAGTTAGGAAACACTCTGTTTGTAAATTCTGCAAGTGGATATTTTGACCGCTTTGAGGCCTTCGTTGGAAACAAGTTTTTTTCATGTAAGGCTAGACAGAAGAATTCTCAGTAACTGCCTTGTGTTGTGTGTATTCAACTCACAGAGTTGAACGATCCTTTACACAGAGCAGACTTGAAACACTCTTTTTGTGGAATTTGCAAGTGGAGATTTCAGCCGCTTTGAGGTCAATGGTAGAATAGGAAATATCTTCCTATAGAAACTAGAGAGAATCATTCTCAGAAACTGCTCTGCGATGTGTGCGTTCAACTCTCAGAGTTTTACTTTTCTTTTCATTCAGCAGTTTGGAAACACTCTGTTTGTAAAGTCTGCACGTGGATATTTTGACCATTTAGAGGCCTTCGTTGGAAACGGGTTTTTTTCCTGTAAGGCTAGACAGAAGAATTCTCAGTAACTTCCTTGTGTTGTGTGTATTCAACTCACACAGTTGAACGATCCTTTACACAGAGCAGACTTGTAACACTCTTTTTGTGGAATTTGCAAGTGGAGATTTCAGCCGCTTTGAAGTCAAATGTAGAAAAGGAAATATCTTCCTATAAAAACTAGACATAGTGATTCTCAGAAACTCCTTTGTGATGTCTGCGTTCAACTCACAGAGTTTAACCTTTCTTTTCATAGAGCAGTTAGGAAACACTCTGTTTGTAAAGTCTGCAAGTGGATATAGAGACCTCCTTTAGGCCTTCGTTGGAAATGGGATTTCTTCATATTCTGCTATACAGAAGAATTCTCAGAAACTTCCCTTGTGTTGTGTGTATTCAACTCACAGAGTTGAACGATCGTTTACACAGAGCAGACTTGAGACACTCTTTTTGTGGAATTTGTAAGTGGAGATTTCAGCCGCTTTGAGGTCAATGGTAGAAAAGGAAATATCTTCATATAAAAACTAGACAGAATGATTCTCAGAAACTTCTTTGTGATGTGTGCGTTCAACTCACAGAGTTTAACCTTTCTTTTCATAGAGCAGTTAGGAAACACTCTGTTTGTAAACTCTGCAAGTCGATATTCAGACCTCTTTGAGGCCTTCGTTGGAAACGGGATTTCTTCATACTATGCTAGACAGAAGAATTCCCAGTAACTTCCTTTTGTTGTGTGTGTTCAACTCACAGAGTTGAACTTTCATTTACACAGAGCAGATTTGAAACACTCTTTTTGTGAAATTTGCAAGTGGAGATTTCAAGCGCTTTGAGGCCAAAGGCAGAAAAGGAAATATCTTCGTTTCAAAACTAGACAGAATCATTCTCAGAAACTGCTGCGTGATGTGTGCGTTCAACTCTCAGAGTTTAACTTTTCTTTTCATTCAGCGGTTTGGAAACACTCTGTTTGTAAAGTCTGCACGTGGAAATTTTGACCACTTAGAGGCCTTCATTGGAAACGGGTTTTTTTCATGTAAGGCTAGACAGAAGAATTCCCAGTAACTTCCTTGTGTTGTGTGCATTCAACTCACAGAGTTGAACGTTCCCTTAGACAGAGCAGATTTGAAACAATCTATTTGTGCAATTTGCAAGTGTAGATTTCAAGCGCTTTAAGGTCAATGGCAGAAAAGGAAATATCTTCGTTTCAAAACTAGACAGAATGATTCCCACAAACTGCGTTGTGATGTGTTCGTTCAACTCACAGAGTTTAACCTTTCTGTTCATAGAGCAGTTAGGAAACACTCTGTTTGTAAAGTCTGTAAGTGGATATTCTGACATCTTGTGGCCTTCGTTGGAAACGGGATTTCTTCATATTATGCTAGACAGAAGAATTCTCAGTAACTTCCGCGTGTTGTGTGTATTCAACTCACAGAGTTGAACGATCCTTTACACAGAGCAGACTTGAAACACTCTTTTTGTGGAATTTGCCAGTGGAGATTTCAGCCGCTTTGAGGTCAATGGTAGAAAAGGAAATATCTTCCTGTAAAAACTAGACAGAATGATTCTCAGAAACTCCTTCGTGATGTGTGCGTTGAACTCACAGAGTTTAACCTTTCTTTTCATAGAGCAGTTAGGAAACACTCTGTTTGTAAAGTCTGCAAGTGGATATTCAGACCTCTTTGAGGCGTTCGTTGGAAACGGGTTTTTTTC
Source organism: Homo sapiens (assembly GCF_000001405.40). Lineage (NCBI taxonomy): Eukaryota > Metazoa > Chordata > Mammalia > Primates > Hominidae > Homo > Homo sapiens. The sequence goes on from NC_000005.10 coordinate 48,641,969, forward strand.
ATATAAGGCTAGAGAGAAGAATTCTCAGTAACTTCCATGTGTTGTGAGTATTCAACTCACAGAGTTGAACGATCCTTTACACAGAGCAGACTTGTAACAATCATTTTGTGGAATTTGCAATTGGAGATTTCAGCCGCTTTGAAGTCAAAGGTAGAAAAGGAAATATCTTCGTATAAAAACTAGACAGAATCATTCTCAGAAACTGCTGCGTGATGTGTGCGTTCAACTTCTCAGAGTTTAACTTTGCTTTTCATTCAGCGGTTTGGAAACACTCTGTTTGTAAAGTCTGCACGTGGATATTTTGACCACTTAGTGGCCTTCGTTGGAAACGGGTTTTTTTCATGTAAGGCTAGACAGAAGAATTCCCAGTAACTTCCTTGTGTTGTGTGCATTCAACTCACAGAGATGAACGTTCCCTTAGACAGAGCAGATTTGAAACACTCTATTTGTGCAATTTGCAAGTGTAGATTTCAAGCGCTTTAAGGTCAATGGCAGAAAAGGAAATATCTTCGTTTCAAAAGTAGACAGAATCATTCCCACAAACTGCGTTGTGATGTGTTCGTTCAACTCACAGAGTTTAACCTTTCTTTTCATAGAGCAGTTAGGAAACACTCTGTTGGTAAATTCTGTAAGTGGATATTCTGACATCTTGTGGCCTTCGTTGGAAACAGGATTTCTTCATATTCTGCTACACAGAAGAATTCTCAGAATCTTCCTTGTGTTGTGTGTATTCAACTCACAGAGTTGAACGATCCTTTACACAGAGCAGACTTGAAACACTCTTTTTGTGGAATTTGCAAGTGGAGATTTCAGCCGCTTTGAGGTCAAAGGTAGAAAATGAAGTATCTTCGTATAAAAACTAGACAGAATGATTCTCAGAAACTCCTTTGTGATGTGTGTGTTCAACTCACAGAGTTTAACCTTTCTTTTCATAGAGCAGTTAGGAAACACTCTGTTTGTAAAGTCTGCAAGTGGATATTCAGACCTCTTTGAGGCCTTCGTTGGAAACGGGTTTTTTCATATAAGGCTAGACAAAAAGAATTCTCAGTAACTTCCTTGTGTTGTGTGTATTCAACTGACAGAGTTGAACTTTCATTTAGACAGAGCAGATTTGAAACACTCTTTTTCTGGAATTTGCAAGTGGAGATTTCAAGCGCTTTGAGGCCAAAGGCAGAAAAGGAAATATCTTCGTATAAAAACTACACAGAATCATTCTCAGAAACTGCTCTGCGATGTGTGCGTTCTACTCTCAGAGTTTAACTTTTCTTTTCATTCAGCAGTTTGGAAACACTCTGTTTGTAAAGTCTGCACGTGGATAACTTGACCACTTAGAGGCCTTCATTGGAAACGGGTTTTTTTCATGTAAGGCTAGACAGAAGAATTCTCAGTAACTTCCTTGTGTTGTGTGTATTCAACTCACAGAGTTGAACGATCCTTTACACAGGGCAGACTTGAAACACTCTTTTTGTGGAATTTGCAAGTGGAGATTTCAGCCTCTTTGAGGTTAATGGTAGAAAATGAAATATCTTCCTATAGAAACTAGACAGATTGATTCTCAGAAACTCCTTTGTGATGTGTGCGTTCAAGTCACAGAGTTTAACCTTTCTTTTCATACAGCAGTTAGGAAACACTCTGTTTGTAAAGTCTGCAAGTGGATATTCAGACCTCTTTGTGGCCTTCGTTGGAAACGGGATTTCTTCATATTCTGCTAGACAGAAGAATTCTCAGTAACTTCCTTGTGTTGTGTGTATTCAACTCACAGAGTTGAACGATCCTTTACACAGAGCAGACTTGAAACACTCTTTTTGTGGAATTTGCAAGTGGAGATTTCAGCCGCTTTGAGGTCAATGGTAGAAAAGGGAATATCTTCGTATAGAAACTAGACAGAATGATTCTCAGAAACTCCTTTGTGATGTGTGTGTTCAACTCACAGGAGTTTAACCTTTCTTTTCATAGAGCAGTTAGGAAACACTCTGTTTGTAAAGTCTGCAAGTGGATATTCAGACCTCGTTGAGGCCTTCGTTGGAAACGGGATTTCTTCATATTCTGCTAGACAGAAGAATTCTCAGTAACTTCCTTGTGTTGTGTGTATTCAAACTGACAGAGTTGAACTTTCATTTAGAGAGAGCAGATTTGAAACACTGTTTTTGTGGAATTTGCAAGTGGAGATTTCAAGCGCTTTGGGGCCAAAGGCAGAAAAGGAAATATCTTCGTATAAAAACTAGACAGAATCATTCTCTGAAACTGCTCTGTGATGTGTGCGTTCAACTCTCAGAGTTTAACTTTTCTTTTCATTCAGCAGTTTGGAAACACTCTGTTTGTAAAGTCTGCACGTGGATATTTTGAACACTTAGAGGCCTTCGTTGGAAACGGGTTTTTTTCATGTAAGGCTAGACAGAAGAATTCCCAGTAACTTCCTTGTGTTGTGTGCATTCAACTCACAGAGTTGAACGTTCCCTTAGACAGAGCAGATTTGAAACACTCTATTTGTCCAATTTGCAAGTGTAGATTTCAAGCGCTTTAAGGTCAACGGCAGAAAAGGAAATATCTTCGTTTCAAAACTAGACAGAATCATTCCCACAAACTGCGTTGTGATGTGTTCGTTCAACACACAGAGTTTAACCTTTCTTTTCATAGAGCAGTTAGGAAACAGTCTGTTTGTAAATTCTGTAAGTGGATATTCTGACATCTTGTGGCCTTCGTTGGAAACGGGATTTCTTCATATTCTGCTAGACAGAAGAATTCTCAGTAACTTCCTTGTGTTGTGTGTATTCAACTCACAGAGTTGAACGATCCTTTACACAGAGCGGACTTGAAACACTCTTTTTGTGGAATTTGCAAGTGGAGATTTCAGCCGCGTTGAGGTCAATGGTAGAAAAGGAAATATCTTCGTATAGAAACTAGACAGAATGATTCTCAGAAACTCTTTTGTGATGTGTGCGTTCAACTCACAGAGTTCAACCTTTCTTTTCATAGAGCAGTTGGGAAACACTCTGTTTGTAAAGTCTGCAAGTGGATATTCAGACTTCTTTGAGGCCTTCGTTGGAAGCGGGATTTCTTCATATTCTGCTTGACAGAAGAATTCCCAGTAACTTCCTTGTGTTGTGTGTGTTCAACTCACAGAGTTGAACTTTCATTTACACAGAGCAGATTTGAAACACTCTTTTTGTGGAATTTGCAAGTGGAGATTTCAAGCAGTTTGAGGCCAAAGGTAGAAAAGGAAATATCTTCGTTTCAAAACTAGACAGAATCATTCTCAGAAACTGCTCTGCGATGTGTGCGTTCAACTCTCAGAGTTTAACTTTTCTTTTCATTCAGCAGTTTGGAAACACTTTGTTTGTAAAGTCTGCACGTGGATATTTTGACCACTTAGAGGCCTTCGTTGGAAACGGGTTTTTTTCCTGTAAGGCTAGACAGAAGAATTCCCAGTAACTTCCTTGTGTTGTGTACATTCAACTCACATAGTTGAACGTTCCCTTAGACAGAGCAGATTTGAAACACTCTTTTTGTGCAATTGGCAAATGGAGATTTCAAGCGCTTTAAGGTCAATGGCAGAAAAGGAAATATCTTCGTTTCAAAACTAGACAGAATCATTCCCACAAACTGCGTTGTGATGTGTTCATTCAACTCACAGAGTTTAACCTTTCTGTTCATAGAGCAGTTAGGAAACACTCTGTTTGTAAAGTCTGTAAGTGGATATTCTGACATCTTGTGGCCTTCGTTGGAAACGGGATTTCTTCATATTCTGCTAGACAGAAGAATTCTCAGAAACTTCCTTGTGTTGTGTGTTTTCAACTCACAGAGTTGAACGATCCTTTACACAGAGCAGACTTGCAACACTCCTTTTGTGGAATTTGCAAGTGGAGATTTCATCCGCTTTGAGGTCAATGGTAGAATAGGAAATATCTTCCTATAGAAAGTAGACAGAATGATTCTCAGAAACTCCTTTGTGATGTGTACGTTCAACTCACAGAGTTTAACTTTTCTTTTCATAGAGCAGTTAGGAAACACTCTGTTTGTAAAGTCTGCAAGTGGATATTCAGACCTCTTTGAGGCCTTCGTTGGAAACGGGTTTTTTTCATATAAGGCTAGACAGAAGAATTCCCAGTAACTTTCCTTGTGTTGTGTGTGTTCAACTCACAGAGTTGAACTTTCATTTACACAGAGCAGATTTGAAGCACTCTTTTTGTGGAATTTGCAAGTGGAGATTTCAAGCGCTTTGAGGCCAAAGGCAGAAAAGGAAATATCTTCGTTTCAAAACTAGACAGAATCATTCTCAGAAACTGCTCTGTGATGTGTGCGTTCAACTCTCAGAGTTTAACTTTTCTTTTCATTCAGCAGTTTGGAAACACTCTGTTTGTAAAGTCTGCACGTGGATATTTTGACCACTTAGAGGCCTTCGTTGGAAACGGGTTTTTTTCATGTAAGGCTAGACAGGAGAATTCCCAGTAACTTCCTTGTGTTGTGTACATTCAACTCACAGAGTTGAACGTTCCCTTAGACAGAGCAGATTTGAAACACTCTTTTTGGGCAATTGGCAAGTGGAGATTACAAGCGCTTTAAGGTCAATGGCAGAAAAGGAAATATCTTCGTATCAAAACTAGACAGAATCATTCCCACAAACTGCGTTGTGATGTGTTCGTTCAACTCACAGAGTTTAACCTTTCTGTTCATAGAGCAGTTAGGAATCACTCTGTTTGTAAACTCTGCAAGTGGATATTCAGACCTCTTTGAGGCCTTCGTTGGAAACGGGATTTCTTCATATTATGCTAGACAGAAGAATTCTCAGTAACTTCCTTGTGTTGTGTGTATTCAACTCACAGAGTTGAACGATCCTTTACACAGAGCAGACTTGTAACACTCTTTTTGTGGAATTTGCAAGTGGAGATTTCAAGCGCTTTGAGGCCAAAGGCAGAAAAGGAAATATCTTCGTTTCAAAACTAGACAGAATGATTCTCAGAAACTCCTTTGTGATGTGTGCGTTCAACTCACAGAGTTTTACCTTTCTTTTCATAGAGCAGTTAGGAAACACTCTGTTTCTAAAGTCTGCAAGTGAATATTCAGACCTCTTTGAGGCCTTCGTTGGAAACGGGTTTTTTCATATAAGGCTAGACAGAAGAATTCCCAGTAACTTCCTTGTGTTGTGTGTGTTCAACTCACAGAGTTCTACATTCATTTACACAGAGCAGATTTGAAACACTCTTTTTGTGGAATTTGCAAGTGGAGATTTCAAGCGCTTTGAGGCCAAAGGCAGAAAAGGAAATATCTTCGTATAAAAACTAGACAGAATCATGCTGAGAAACTGCTCTGCGATGTGTGCGTTCAACTCTCAGAAGTTTAACTTTTCTTTTCATTCAGCAGTTTGGAAACACTCTGTTTGTAAAGTCTGCACGTGGATAACTTGACCACTTAGAGGCCTTCGTTGGAAACGGGTTTTTTTCATGTAAGGCTAGACAGAGGAATTCCCAGTAACTTCCTTGTGTTGTGTACATTCAACTCACAGAGTTGAACGTTCCCTTAGACAGAGCAGATTTGAAACACTCTTTTTGTGCAATTGGCAAGTGGAGATTTCAAGCGCTTTAAAGTCAATGGCAGAAAAGGAAATATCTTCGTTTCAAAACTAGACAGAATCATTCCCACAAACTGCGTTGTGATGTGTTCGTTCAACTCACAGAGTTTAACATTTCTTTTCATAGAGCAGTTAGGAAACAGTCTGTTTGTCAATTCTGTAAGTGGATATTCTGACATCTTGTGGCCTTCGATGGAAACGGGATTTCTTCATATTCTGCTAGAGAGAAGAATTCTCAGTAACTTCCTTGTGTTGTGTGTATTCAACTCACAGAGTTGAACGATCCTTTACAGAGAGCAGACTTGAAACACTCTTTTTGTGGAATTCGCAAGTGGAGATTTCAGCCGCTTTGAGGTCAATGATAGAATAGGAAATATCTTCCTATAGAAACTAGACAGAATGATTCTCAGAAACTCCTTTGTGATGTGTGCGTTAAACTCACAGAGTTTAACCTTTCTGTTCATAGAGCAGTTAGGAAACACTCTGTTTGTAAAGTCTGCAAGTGGATATTCAGACCTCCTTGAGGCCTTCGTTGGAAACGGGATTTCTTCCTATTCTGCTAGACAGAAGAATTCTCAGTAACTTCCTTGTGTTGTGTGTATTCAACTGACAGAGTTGAACTTTCATTTAGAGAGAGCAGATTTGAAACACTGTTTTTGTGGAATTTGCAAGTGGAGATTTCAAGCGCTTTGCGGCCAAAGGCAGAAAAGGAAATATCTTCGTATAAAAACTAGACAGAATCATTCTCAGAAACTGCTGCGTGATGTGTGCGTTCAACTCTCAGACTTTAACTTTTCTTTTCATTCAGCCGTTTGGAAACACTCTGTTTGTAAAGTCTGCACGTGGATATTTTGACCACTTAGAGGCCTTCGTTGGAAACGGGTTTTTTTCCTGTAAGGCTAGACAGAAGAATTCCCAGTAACTTCCTTGTGTTGTGTGCATTCAACTCACAGAGTTGAACGTTCCCTTAGACAGAGCAGATTTGAAACACTCTATTTGTGCAATTTGTAGTGTAGATTTCAAGCGCTTTAAGGTCAATGGCAGAAAAGGAAATTTCTTCGTTTCAAAACTAGACAGAATCATTCCCACAAACTGCGTTGTGATGTTTTCGTTCAACTCACAGAGTTTAACCTTTCTGTTCATAGAGCAGTTAGGAAACACTCTGTTTGTAAAGTCTGTAAGTGGATATTCTGACATCTTGTGGCCTTCGTTGGAAACGGGATTTCTTCATATTCTGCTAGACAGAAGAATTCTCAGTAACTTCCTTGTGTTGTGTGTATTCAAATCACAGAGTGGAATGATCCTTTACACAGAGCAGACTTGAAACACTCTTTTTGTGGAATTTGCAAGTGGAGATTTCAGCCGCTTTGAGGTCAATGGTAGAAAAGGAAATATCTACGTATAAAGATTAGACAGAATGATTCTCAGAAACTCCTTTGTGATGTGTGCGTTCAACTCACAGAGTTTAACCTTTCTTTTCATAGAGCAGTTAGGAAACACTCTGTTTATAAAGTCTGCAAGTGGATATTCAGACCTCTTTGAGGCCTTCGTTGGAAACGGGATTTCTTCATATTCTGCTAGACAGAAGAATTCTCAGTAACTTCCTTGTGTTGTGTGTATTCAACTGACAGAGTTGAACTTTCATTTAGAGAGAGCAGATTTGAAACACTGTTTTTGTGGAATTTGCAAGTGGAGATTTCAAGCGCTTTGGGGCCAAAGGCAGAAAACGAAATATCTTCGTATATAAACTAGACAGAATCATTCTCAGAAACTGCTGCGTGATGTGTGCGTTCAACTCTCAGAGTTTAACTTTTCTTTTCATTCAGCGGTTTGGAGACACTCTGTTTGTAAAGTCTGCACGTGGATATTTTGACCACTTAGAGGCCTTCGTTGGAAACGGGTTTTTTTCATGTAAGGCTAGACAGAAGAATTCCCAGTAACTTCCTTCTGTTGCTTACATTCAGCTCACAGAGTTGAACGTTCCCTTAGACAGAGCAGATTTGAAACACTCTTTTTGTGCAATTGGCAAGTGGAGATTTCAAGCGCTTTAAGGTCAGTGGCAGAAAAGGAAATATCTTCGTTTCAAAACTAGACAGAATCATTCCCAAAAACTGCGTTGTGATGTGTTCGTTCAACTCACAGAGTTTAACCTTTCTGTTCATAGAGCAGTTAGGAAACACTCTGTTTGTAAAGTCTGTAAGTGGATATTCTGACATCTTGTGGCCTTCGTTGGAAACGGGATTTCTTCATATTCTGCTAGACAGAAGAATTCTCAGTAACTTCCTTGTGTTGTGTGTATTCAACTCACAGAGTTGAACGATTCTTTACACAGAGCAGACTTGAAACACTCTTTTTGTGAAATTTGCAAGTGGAGATTTCAGCCGCTTTGAGTTCAATGGTAGAATAGGAAATATCTTCCTATAGAAACTAGACAGAATGATTCTCAGAAACTCCTTTGTGATGTGTGCGTTCAACTCACAGAGTTCAACCTTTCTTTTCATAGAGCAGTTGGGAAACACTCTGTTCGTAAAGTCTGCAAGTGGATATTCAGACTTCTTTGAGGCCTTCGTTGGAAGCGGGATTTCTTCAAATTCTGCTAGACAGAAGAATTCCCAGTAACTTCCTTCTGTTGTGTGTGTTCAACTCACAGAGTTGAACTTTCATTTACACAGAGCAGATTTGAAACACTCTTTTTGTGGAATTTGCAAGTGGAGATTTCAAGCGCTTTGAGGCCAAAGGCAGAAAAGGAAATATCTTCGTATAAAAACTAGACAGAATCATTCTCAGAAACCGCTCTGTGATGTGTGCGTTCAACTCTCAGAGTTTAACTTTTCTTTTCATTTAGCAGTTTGGAAACACTCTGTTTGTAAAGTCTGCACGTGGATATTTTGAACACTTAGAGGCCTTCGTTGGAAACGGGTTTTTTTCATGTAAGGCTAGACAGAAGAATTCCCAGTAACTTCCTTGTGTTGTGTGCATTCAACTCACAGAGTTGAACCGTTCCCTTAGACAGAGCAGATTTGAAACACTCTATTTGTGCAATTTGCAAGTGTAGATTTCAAGCGCTTTAAGGTCAACGGCAGAAAAGGAAATATCTTCGTTTCAAAACTAGACAGAATCATTCCCACAAACTGCGTTGTGATGTGTTCGTTCAACTCACAGAGTTTAACCTTTCTGTTCATAGAGCAGTTAGGAAACACTCTGTTTGTAAAGTCTGTGAGTGGATATTCTGACATCTTGTGGCCTTCGTTGGAAACGGGATTTCTTCATATTCTGCTAGACAGAAGAATTCTCAGTAACTTCCTTGTGTTGTGTGTATTCAACTCACAGAGTTGAACGATCCTTTACACAGAGCAGACTTGAATCACTCTTTTTGTGGAATTTGCAAGTGGAGATTTCAGCCGCTTTGAGTTCAATGGTAGAATAGGAAATATCTTCCTATAGAAACTACACAGAATGATTCTCAGAAACTCCTTTGTGATGTGTGCGTTCAACTCACAGAGTTTAACCTTTCTTTTCATAGAGCAGTTAGGAAACACTCTGTTTGGAAAGTCTGCAAGTGGATATTCAGACCTCTTTGAGGCCTTCGTTGGAAACGGGTTTTTTTCATATAAGGCTAGACAGAAGAATTCTCAGTAACTTCCTTGTGTTGTGTGTATTCAACTCACAGAGTTGAACGATCCTTTACACAGAGCAGACTTGTAACACTCTTTTTGTGGAATTTGCAAGTGGAGATTTCAAGCGCTTTGAGGCCAAAGGCAGAAAAGGAAATATCTTCGTATAAAAACTAGACAGAATCATTCTCAGAAACTGCTCTGCGATGTGTGCGTTCAACTCTCAGAGTTTAACTTTTCTTTTCATTCAGCAGTTTGGAAACACTCTGTTTGTAAAGTCTGCACGTGGATATTTTGACCACTTAGAGGCCTTCGTTGGAAACGGGTTTTTTTCATTTAAGGCTAGACAGAAGAATTCCCAGTAACTTCCTTGTGTTGTGTGCATTCAAGTCACAGAGTTGAACGTTCCCTTAGACAGAGCAGATTTGAAACACTCTATTTGTGCAATCTCCAAGTGTAGATTTCAAGCGGTTTAAGGTCAACGGCAGAAAAGGAAATATCTTCGTTTCAAAACTAGACAGAATCATTCTCAGAAACTCCTTTGTGATGTGTGCGTTCAACTCACAGAGTTTAACTTTTCTTTTCATAGAGCCGTTAGGAAACACTCTGTTTGTAAAGTCTGCAAGTGGATATTCAGACCTCTTTGAGGCCTTCGTTGGAAACGGGATTTCTTCATATTATGCTAGACAGAAGAATTCTCAGTAACTTCCTTGTGTTGTGTGTATTCAACTCACAGAGTTGAACGATCCTTTACACAGAGCAGACTTGAAACATTCTTTCTGTGGAATTTGCAAGTGGAGATTTCAGCCGCTTTGAGGTCAATGGTAGAATAGGAAATATTTTCCTATAGAAACTAGACAGAATGATTCTCAGAAACTTCTTTGTGATGTGTGCGTTCAACTCACAGAGTTTAACTTTTCTTTTCATAGAGCAGTTAGGAAACACTCTGCTTGTAATCTCTGCAAGTGGATATTCAGTCCTCTTTGAGGCCTTCGTTGGAAACGGGATTTCATCATACTATGCTAGACAGAAGAATTCTCAGTAACTTCCTTGTGTTGTGTGTATTCAACTGACAGAGTTGAACTTTCATTTAGAGAGAGCAGATTTGAAACACTCTTTTTGTGGAATTTGCAAGTGGAGATTTCAAGCGCTTTGGGGCCAAAGGCAGAAAAGGAAATATCTTCGTATAAAAACTAGACAGAATCATTCTCAGAAACTGCTCTGCGATGTGTGCCTTCAGCGCTCAGAGTTTAACTTTTCTTTTCATTCAGCAGTTTGGAAACACTCTGTTTGTAAAGTCTGCACGTGTATATTTTGACCACTTAGAGGCCTTCGTTGGAAGCGGGTTTTTGTCATGTAAGGTTAGACAGAATAATTCCCAGTAACTTCCTTGTGTTGTGTACATTCAACTTACAGAGTTGAACGTTCCCTTGGACAGAGCAGATTTGAAACACTCTTTTTGTGCAATTGGCAAGTGGAGATTTCAAGCGCTTAAGGTCAATGGCAGAAAAGGAAATATCTTCGTTTCAAAACTAGACAGAATGATTCTCAGAAACTCCTTTGTGATGTGTGCGTTCAACTCACAGAGTTTAACCTTTCTTTTCATAGAGCAGTTAGGAAACACTCTGTTTGCAAAGTCTGCAAGTGGATATTCAGACCTCTTTGAGGCCTTCTTTGGAAACGGGATTTCTTCATATTATGCTATACACAAGAATTCTCAGTAACTTCCTTGTGTTGTGTGTATTCAACTCACAGAGTTGAACGATCTCTTACACAGAGCAGAGTTGAAACACTCTTTTTCTGGAATTTGCAAGTGGAGATTTCAGCCGCTTTGAGGTCAAAGGTAGAATAGGAAATATCTTCCTATAGAAACTAGACAGAATGATTCTCAGAAACTCCTTTGTGATGTGTGCGTTCAACACACAGAGTTTAACCTTTCTTTTCATAGAGCAGTTAGGGAACACTCTGTTTGTAAAGTCTGCAAGTGGATATTCAGACCTCTTTGAGGCCGTCGTTGGAAACGGGATTTCTTCATATTATGCTAGACAGAAGAATTCCCAGTAACTTCCTTGTGTTGTGTGTATTCAACTCACAGAGTTGAACTTTCATTTACACAGAGCAGATTTGAAACACTCTTTTTGTGGAATTTGCAAATGGAGATTTCAAGCGCTTTGAGGCCAAAGGCAGAAAAGGAAATATCTTCGTATAAAAACTAGACAGAATCATTCTCAGAAACTGCTCTGCGATGTGTGCGTTCAACTCTCCGAGTTTAACTTTTCTTTTCATTCAGCAGTTTGGAAACACTCTGTTTGTAAAGTCTGCACGTGGATAATTTGACCACTTAGAGGCCTTCGTTGGAAACGGGTTTTTTTTCATGTAAGGCTAGACAGAAGAATTCCCAGTAACTTCCTTGTGTTGTGTACATTCAACTCACAGAGTTGAACGTTCCCTTAGACAGAGCAGATTTGAAACACTCTTTTTGTGCAATTGGCAAGTGGTGATTTCAGCCGCTTTGAGGTCAATGGTAGAAAAGGAAATATCTTCGTATAAAAACTAGACAGAATGATTCTCATAAACTCCTTTGTGATGTGTGCGTTCAACTCACAGAGTTTAACCTTTCTGTTCATAGAGCAGTTAGGAAACACTCTGTTTGTAAAGTCTGTAAGTGGATATTCTGACATCTTGTGGCCTTCGTTGGAAACGGGATTTCTTCATATTCTGCTAGACAGAAGAATTCTCAGAATCTTCCTTGTGTTGTGTGTATTCAACTCACAGAGTTGAACGATCCTTTACACAGAGCAGACTTGAAACACTCTTTTTGTGGAATTTGCAAGTGGAGATTTCAGCCGCTTTGAGGTCCATGGTAGAAAAGGAAATATCTTCGTCTAAAAACTAGACAGAATGATTCTCATAAACTCCTTTGTGATGTGTGCGTTCAACTCACAGAGTTTAACTTTTCTTTTCATAGAGGAGTTAGGAAACACTCTGTTTGTAAAGTCTGCAAGTGGATATTCAGACCTCTTTGAGGCCTTCGTTGGAAACGGGATTTCTTCATATTCTGCTAGACAGAAGAATTCTCAGTAACTTCCTTGTGTTGTGTGTATTCAACTCACAGAGTTGAACGATCCTTTACACAGAGCAGACTTGAAACACTCTTTTTGTGGAATTTGCAAGTGGAGATTTCAGCCTCTTTGAGGTCAATAGTAGAAAAGGAAATATCTTCGTAGAAAAACTAGACAGAATCATTCTCAAAAACTGCTGCGTGATGTGTGCGTTCAACTCTCAGACTTTAACTTTTCTTTTCATTCAGCCGTTTGGAAACACTCTGTTTGTAAAGTCTGCACGTGGATATTTTGACCACTTAGAGGCCTTCGTTGGAAACGGGTTTTTTTCATGTAAGGCTAGACAGAAGAATTCTCAGTAACTTCCTTGTGTTGTGTGTATTCAACTCACAGAGTTGAACGATCCTTTACTCAGAGCAGGCTTGAAACACTCCTTTTGTGGAACTTGCAATTGGAGATTTCAGCCGCTTTGAGGTCAATGGTAGAATAGGAAATATCTTCCTATAGAAACTAGACAGAATGATTCTCAGAAACTCCTTTGTGCTGTGTGCGTTCAGCTCACAGAGTTTAACCTTTCTTTTCATAGAGCCGTTAGGAAACACTCTGTTTGTAAAGTCTGCAAGTGGATATTCAGACGTCTTTGAGGCCTTCGTTGGAAACGGGATTTCTTCATATTCTGCTAGACAGAAGAATTCTCAGAAACTTCCTTGTGTTGTGTGTTTTCAACTCACGGAGTTGAACGATGCTTTACACAGAGTAGACTTGAAACACTCTTTTTGTGTAATTTGCAAGTGGAGATTTCAGCCGCTTTGAGGTCAATGGTAGAAAAGGAAATATCTTCGTATAAAAACTAGACAGAATGATTCTCAGAAACTCCTTTGTGATGTGTGTGTTCAACTCACAGAGTTTAACCTATCTTTTCATAGAGCAGTTAGTAAACACTCTGTTTATAAAGTCTGCAAGTGGATATTCAGACCCCTTTGAGGCCTTCGTTGGAAACGGGATTTCTTCATATTATGCTAGACAGAAGAATTCTCAGTAACTTCCTTGTGTTGTGTGTATTCAACTGACAGAGTTGAACTTTCATTTAGAGAGAGCAGATTTGAAACACTGTTTTTGTGGAATTTGCAAATGGAGATTTCAAGCGCTTTGGTGCCAAAGGCAGAAAAGGAAATATCTTCGTATAAAAACTAGACAGAATCATTCTCAGAAACTGCTCTGCGATGTGTGCGTTCAACTCTCAGAGTTTAACTTTTCTTTTCATTCAGCAGTTTGGAAACACTCTGTTTGTAAAGTCTGCACGTGGATAATTTGACCTCTTAGAGGCCTTCATTTGAAACGGGTTTTTTTCATGTAAGGCTAGACAGAAGAATTCCCAGTAACTTCCTTGTGTTGTGTGCATTCAAGTCACAGAGTTGAACGTTTCCTTAGACAGAGCAGAATTGAAACACTCTATTTGTGCAATTTGCAAGTGTAGATTTCAACCGCTTTAAGGTCAACGGCAGAAAAGGAAATATCTTCGTTTCAAAACTAGACAGAATCATTCCCACAAACTGCGTTGTGATGCGTTTGTTCAACTCACAGAGTTTAACCTTTCTTTTCATAGAGCAGTTAGGAAACAGTCTGTTTGTAAATTCTGTAAGTGGATATTCTGACATCTTGTGGCCTCGCTGGAAACGGGATTACTTCATATTCTGCTAGACAGAAGAATTCTCAGTAACTTCCTTGTGTTGTGTGTATTCAACTCTCAGAGTTGAACGATCCTTTACACAGAGCAGACTTGAAACACTCTTTTTGTGGAATTTGCAAGTGGAGATTTCAGCCGCTTTGAGGTCAATAGTAGAAAAGGAAATATCTTCGTAGAAACACTAGACAGAATGATTCTCAGAAACTTCTTTGTGATGTGTGCGTTCAACTCACAGAGTTTAACCTTTCTTTTCATAGGGCAGTTAGGAAACACTCTGTTTGTAAACTCTGCAAGTGGATATTCAGACCTCTTTGAGGCCTTCGTTGGAAACGGGATTTCTTCATACTATGCTAGACAGAAGAATTCTCAGTAACTTCCTTGTGTTGTGCTTATTCAACTGACAGAGTTGAACATTCATTTAGAGAGAGCAGATTTGAAACACTGTTTTTGTGGAATTTGCAAGTGGAGATTTCAAGCGCTTTGGGGCCAAAGGCAGAAAACGAAATATCTTCGTATAAAAACTAGACAGAATCATTCTCAGAAACTGCTGCGTGATGTGTGCGTTCAACTCTCAGAGTTTAACTTTTCTTTTCATTCACCGGTTTGGAAACACTCTGTTTGTAAAGTCTGCACGTGGACATTTTGACCACTTAGAGGTCTTCTTTGGAAACGGGTTTTTTTCATGTAAGGCTAGACAGAAGAATTCCCAGTAACTTCCTTGTGTTGTGTGCATTCAACTCACAGAGATGAACGTTCCCTTAGACAGAGCAGATTTCAAACACTCTATTTGTGCAATTTGCAAGTGTAGATTTCAAGCGCTTTAAGGTCAATGGCAGAAAAGGAAATATCTTCGTTTCAAAACTAGACAGAATCATTCCCACAAACTGCGTTGTGAAGTGCTCGTTCAACTCACAGAGTTTAACCTTTCTGTTCATAGAGCAGTTAGGAAACACTCTGTTTGTAAAGTCTGTAAGTGGATATTCTGACATCTTGTGGCCTTCGTTGGAAACGGAATTTCTTCATATTCTGCTAGACAGAAGAATTCTCAGTAACTTCCTTGTGTTGTGTGTATTCAACTCACAGAGTTGAACGATCCTTTACACAGAGCAGACTTGAAACACTCTTTTTGTGGAATTTGCAAGTGGAGATTTCAGCCGCTTTGAGTTCAATGGTAGAATAGGAAATATCTTCCTGTAGAAACTAGACAGAATGATTCTCAGAAACTCCTTTGTGATGTGTGCGTTCAACTCACAGAGTTCAACCTTTCTTTTCATAGAGCAGTTGGGAAACACTCTGTTTGTAAAGTGTGCAAGTGGATATTCAGACTTCTTTGAGGCCTTCGTTGGAAGCGGGATTTCTTCATGTTCTGCTAGAAAGAAGAATTCTCAGTAACTTCCTTGTGTTGTGTGTTTTCAACTGACAGAGTTGAACTTTCATTTAGAGAGAGCAGATTTGTAACACTGTTTTTGTGGAATTTGCAAGTGGAGATTTCAAGCGCTTTGGGGCCAAAGGCAGAAAAGGAAATATCTTCGTATAAAAACTAGACAAAATCATTCTCAGAAACTGCTCTGCGATGTGTGCGCTCAACTCTCAGAGTTTAACTTTTCTTTTCATTCAGCAGTTTGGAAACACTCTGTTTGTAAAGTCTGCACGTGGATATTTTGACCACTTAGAGGCCTTCGTTGGAAACGGGTTTTTTTCCTGTAAGGCTAGACAGAAGAATTCCCAGGAACTTCCTTGTGTTGTGTACATTCAACTCACAGAGTTGAACGTTCCCTTAGACAGAGCAGATTTGAAACACTCTTTTTGTGCAATTGGCAAATGGAGATTTCAAGCGCTTTAAGTTCAATGGCAGAAAAGGAAATATCTTCGTTTCAAAACTAGACAGAATCAATCCCACAAACTGCGTTGTGATGTGTTCGTTCAACTCACAGAGTTTAACCTTTCTGTTCATAGAGCAGTTAGGAAACACTCTGTTTGTAAAGTCTGTAAGTGGATATTCTGACATTTTGTGGCCTTGGTTGGAAATGGCATTTCTTCATATACTCCAAGACAGAAGAATTCTCAGTAACTTCCTTGTGTTGTGTGTATTCAACTCACAGAGTTGAACGATCCTTTACACAGAGCGGACTTGTAACACTCTTTTTGTGGAATTTGCAAGTGGAGATTTCAGCCGCTTTGAAGTCAAAGGTAGAAAAGGAAATATCTTCCTATAAAAACTAGACAGAATGATTCTCAGAAACTCCTTTGTGATGTGTGCGTTCAACACACAGAGTTTAACTTTTCTTTTCATAGAGCAGTTAGGAAACACTCTGTTTGTAAAGTCTGCAAGTGGATATTCAGACCTCTTTGAGGCCTTCGTTGGAAACGGAATTTCTTCATATTATGCTAGACAGAAGAATTCCCAGTAACTTCCTTGTGTTGTGTGTATTCAACTCACAGAGTTGAACTTTCATTTACACAGAGCAGATTTGAAACACTCTTTTTGTGGAATTTGCAAGTGGAGATTTCAAGCGCTTTGAGGCCAAAGGCAGAAAAGGAAATATCTTCGTATAAAAACTAGACAGAATCATTCTCAGAAACTGCTCTGCGATGTGTGCGTTCAACTCTCAGAGTTTAACTTTTCTTTTCATTCAGCAGTTTGGAAACAATCTGTTTGTAAAGTCTGCACGTGGATAATTTGACCACTTAGAGGCCTTCGTTGGAAACGGGTTTTTTTCCTGTAAGGCTAGACAGAAGAATTCCCAGTAACTTCCTTGTGTTGTGTACATTCAACTCACAGAGTTGAACGTTCCCTTAGACAGAGCAGATTTGAAATACTCTTTTTGTGCAATTGGCAAGTGGAGATTTCAAGCGCTTTAAGGTCAATGGCAGAAAAGGAAATATCTGCGTTTCAAAACTAGACAGAATCATTCCCACAAACTGCGTTGTGATGTGTTCGTTCAACTCACAGAGTTTAACCTTTCTTTTCATAGAGCAGTTAGGAAACACTCTGTTTGTAAATTCTGTAAGTGGATATTCTGACATCTTGTGGCCTTCGTTTGAAACGGGATTTCTTCATATTCTGCTAGACAGAAGAATTCTCAGTAACTTTCCTTGTGTTGTGTGTATTCAACTCACAGAGTTGAACGATCCTTTACACAGAGCAGACTTGTAACACTCTTTTTGTGGAATTTCCAAGTGGAGATTTCAGCCGCTTTGAAGTCAAAGGTAGAAAAGGAAATATCTTCCTATAAAAACTAGACAGAATGATTCTCAGAAACTCCTTTGTGATGTGTACGTTCAACTCACAGAGTTTAACCTTTCTTTTCATAGAGTAGTTAGGAAACACTCTGTTTGTAAAGTCTGCAAGTGGATATTGAGACCTCTTTGAGGCCTTCGTTGGAAACGGGTTTTTTTCATATAAGGCTAGACAGAAGAATTCCCAGTAGCTTCCTTGTGTTGTGTGTGTTCAACTCACAGAGTTGAACTTTCATTTACACAGAGCAGATTTGAAACACTCTTTTTGTGGAAGTTGCAAGTGGAGATTTCAAGCGCTTTGAGGCCAAAGGCAGAAAAGGAAATATCTTCGTTTCAAAACTAGACAGAATCATTCTCAGAAACTGCTCTGTGATGTGTGCGTTCAACTCTCAGAGTTTAACTTTTCTTTTCATTCAGCAGTTTGGAAACTCTCTGTTTGTAAAGTCTGCACGTGCATATTTTGAACACTTAGAGGCCTTCGTTGGAAACGGGTTTTTTTCATGTAAGGCTAGACAGAAGAATTCCCAGTAACTTCCTTGTGTTGTTTGCATTCAACTCACAGAGTTGAACGTTCCCTTAGACAGAGCAGATTTGAAACACTGTATTTGTGCAATTTGCAAGTGTAGATTTCAAGCGCTTTAAGGTCAATGGCAGAAAAGGAAATATCTTCGTTTCAAAACTAGACAGAATCATTCCCACAAACTGCGTTGTGATGTGTTCGTTCAACTCACAGAGTTTAACCTTTCTGTTCATAGAGCAGTTAGGAAACACTCTGTTTGTAAAGTCTGTAAGTGGATATTCTGACATCTAGTGGCCTTCGTTGGAAACGGGATTTCTTCATATTCTGCTAGACAGAAGAATTCTCAGTAACTTCCGCGTGTTGTGTGTATTCAACTCACAGAGTTGAACGATCCTTTACACAGAGCAGACTTGTAACACTCTTTTTGTGGAATTTGCAAGTGGAGATTTCAGCCGCTTTGAAGTCAAAGGTAGAAAAGGAAATATGTTCCTATAAAAACTAGACAGAATGATTCTCAGAAACTCCTTTGTGATGTGTGCGTTCAACTCACAGAGTTTAACCTTTCTTTTCATAGAGCAGTTAGGAAACACTCTGTTTGTAAAGTCTGCAAGTGGATATTCAGACCTCTTAGAGGCCTTCGTTGGAAACGGTTTTTTTTCATATAAGGCTAGACAGAAGAATTCTCAGTAACTTTCCTTGTGTTGTGTGTATTCAACTCACAGAGTTGAACGATCCTTTACACAGAGCAGACTTGTAAAACTCTTTTTGTGGAATTTGCAAGTGGAGATTTCAGCCGCTTTGAAGTCAAAGGTAGAAAAGGAAATAACTTCCTATAAAAACTGGACAGAAATCATTCTCAGAAACTGCTCTGCGATGTGTGCGTTCAACTCTCAGCAGTTTAACTTTTCTTTTCATTCAGCAGTTTGGAAACACTCTGTTTGTAAAGTCTGCACGTGGATAATTTGACCACTTAGAGGTCTTCGTTGGAAACGGGTTTTTTTCATGTAAGGCTAGACAGAAGAATTCCCAGTAACTTCCTTGTGTTGTGCGCATTCAACTCACAGAGTTGAACGTTCCCTTAGACAGAGCAGATTTGAAACACTCTATTTGTGCAATTTGCAAGTGTAGATTTCAAGCGCTTTAAGGTCAACGCCAGAAAAGGAAATATCTTCATTTCAAAACTAGACAGAATCATTCCCACAAACTGCGTTGTGATGTGTTCGTTCAACTCACAGAGTTTAACTTTTCTTTTCATAGAGCAGTTAGGAAACACTCTGTTTGTAAAGTCTGTAAGTGGATATTCTGACATCTTGTGGCCTTCGTTGGAAACGAGGATTTTCTTCATATTCTGCTAGACAGAAGAATTCTCATTAACTTCCTTGTGTTGTGTGTATTCAACTCACAGAGTTGAACGATCCTTTACACAGAGCAGACTTGTAACACTCTTTTTGTGGAATTTGCAAGTGGAGATTTCAGCCGCTTTGAAATCAAAGGTAGAAAAGGAAATATCTTCCTATAAAAACTAGACAGAATGATTCTCAGAAACTCCTTTGTGATGCGTGCGTTCAACTCACAGAGTTTAACCTTTCTTTTCATAGAGCAGTTAGGAAACACTCTGTTTGTAAAGTCTGCAAGTGGATATTCAGACCTCTTTGAGGCCTTCGTTGGAAACGGGTTTTTTTCATAGAAGGCTAGACAGAAGAATTCTCAGTAACTTCCTTGTGTTGTGTGTATTCAACTGACAGAGTTGAACTTTCATTTAGAGAGAGCTGATTTGAAACACTGTTTTTGTGGAATTTGCAAGTGGAGATTTCAAGCGCTTTGGGGCCAAAGGCAGAAAAGGAAATATCTTCGTATAAAAACTAGACAGAATCATTCTCAGAAACTGCTGCGTGATGTGTGCGTTCAACTCTTAGAGTTTAACTTTTCTTTTCATTCAGCGGTTTGGAAACACTCTGTTTGTAAAGTCTGCACGTGGATATTTTGACCACTTAGAGGCCTTCGTTGGAAACGGGTTTTTTGCATGTAAGGCTAGACAGAAGAATTCCCAGTAACTTCCTTGTGTTGTGTGCATTCAACTCACAGAGTTGAACGTTCCCTTAGACAGAGCAGATTTGAAACACTCTATTTGTGCAATTTGCAAGTGTAGATCTCAAGCGCTTTAAGGTCAATGGCAGAAAAGGAAATATCTTCGTTTCAAAACTAGACAGAATGATTCTCATAAACTCCTTTGTGATGTGTGCGTTCAACACACAGAGTTTAACCTTTCTGTTCATAGAGCAGTTAGGAAACACTCTGTTTGTAAAGTCTGCAAGTGGATATTCAGACCTCCTTGAGGCCTTCGGTGGAAACGGGATTTCTTCATATTCTGCTAGACAGAATAATTCTCAGTAACTTCCTTGTGTTGTGTGTATTCAACTCACAGAGTTGTACGATCCTTTACAGAGAGCAGACTTGAAACACTCTTTTTGTGGAATTTGCAAGTGGAGATTTCAGCAGCTTTGAGGTCAACGGTAGAATAGGAAATATCTTCCTATAGAAACTAGACAGAATGATTCTCAGAAACTCCTTTGTGATGTGTGCGTTCAACTCACAGAGTTTAACCTTTCTTTTCATAGAGCAGTTAGGAAACACTCTGTTTGTAAAGTCTGCAAGTGGATATTCAGACCTCTTTGAGGCCTTCGTTGGAAACGGGTTTTTTCATATAAGGCTAGACAGAAGAATTCCCAGTAACTTCTTTGTGTTGTGTGTGTTCAACTCACAGAGTTGAACTTTCATTTACACAGAGCAGATTTGAAACACTCTTTTTGTGGAATTTGCAAATGGAGATTTCAAGCGCTTTGAGGCCAAAGGCAGAAAAGGAAATATCTTCGTATAAAAACTAGACAGAATCATTCTCAGAAACTGCTCTGCAATGTGTGCGTTCAACTCTCAGAGTTTAACTTTTCTTTTCATTCAGCAGTTTGGAAACACTCTGTTTGTAAAGTCTGCACGTGGATAATTTGACCACTTAGAGGCCTTCGTTGGAAACGGGTTTTTTTCATGTAAGGCTAGACAGAAGAATTCTCAGTAACTTCCTTGTGTTGTGTGTATTCAACTCACAGAGTTGAACGATCCTTTACACAGAGCAGACTTGTAACACTCTTTTTGTGGAATTTGCAAGTGGAGATTTCAGCCGCTTTGAAGTCAAAGGTAGAAAAGGAAATGTCTTCCTATAAAAACTAGACAGAATCATTCCCACAAACTGCATTGTGATGTGTTCGTTCAACTCACAGAGTTTAACCTTTCTTTTCATAGAGCAGTTAGGAAACACTCTGTTGGTAAATTCTGTAAGTGGATATTCTGACATCTTGTGGCCTTCGTTGGAAACGGGATTTCTTCATATTCTGCTACACAGAAGAATTCTCAGTAACTTCCTTGTGTTGTGTGTGTTCAACTCACAGAGTTGAACGATCCTTTACACAGAGCAGACTTGAAACACTCTTTTTGTGGAATTTGCAAGTGGAGATTTCAGCCGCTTTGAGTTCAATGGTAGAATAGGAAATATCTTCCTATAGAAACTAGACAGAATGATTCTCACAAAATCTTTTGTGATGTGTGCGTTCAACTCACAGAGTTTAACTTTTCTTCTCATAGAGCAGTTAGGAAACACTCTGTTTGTAAAGTCTGCAAGTGGATATTCAGACCTCTTTGAGGCCTTCGTTGGAAACGGGATTTCTTCATATTCTGCTAGACAGAAGAATTCCCAGTAACTTCCTTGTGTTGTGTGTGTTCAACTCACAGAGTTGAACTTTCATTTACACAGAGCAGATTTGAAACACTCTTTTTGTGGAATTTGCAAATGGAGATTTCAAGCGCTTTGACGCCAAAGGCAGAAAAGGAAATATCTTCGTATAAAAACTAGACAGAATCATTCTCAGAAACTGCTCTGCGATGTGTGCGTTCAACTCTCAGAGTTTAACTTTTCTTTTCATTCAGCAGTTTGGAAACACTCTGTTTGTAAAGTCTGCACGTGGATATTTTGACCACTTAGAGGCCTTCGTTGGAAACGGGTTTTTTTCCTGCAAGGCTAGACAGAAAAATTCCCAGTAACTTCCCGTGTGTTGTGTGCATTCAACTCACAGAGTTGAACGTTCCCTTAGACAGAGCAGATTTGAAAAACTCCTTTTGTGCAATTTGGAATTGGAGATTTCAAGCGCTTTAATGTCAATGGCAGAAAAGAAAATACCTTCGTTTCAAAACTAGACAGAATCATTCCCACAAACTGCGTTGTGATGTGTTCGTTCAACTCACAGAGTTTAACCTTTCTTTTCATAGAGCAGTTAGGAAACAGTCTGTTTGTCAATTCTGTAAGTGGATATTCTGACATCTTGTGGTCTTCGTTGGAAACGGGATTTCTTCATATTCTGCTAGACAGAAGAATTCTCAGTAACTTCCTTGTGTTGTGTGTATTCAACTCACAGAGTTGAACGATCCTTTACACTGAGCAGACTTGAAACATTCTTTTTGTGGAATTTGCAAGTGGAGATTTCAGCCGCTTTGAGGTCAATGGTAGAATAGGAAATATCTTCCTATAGAAATTAGACAGAATGATTCTCAGAAACTCCTTTGTGATGTGTGTGTTCAACTCACAGAGTTTAACCTTTCTTTTCATAGAGCAGTTAGTAAACACTCTGTTTATAAAGTCTGCAAGTGGATATTCAGACCCCTTTGAGGCCTTCGTTGGAAACGGCATTTCTTCATATTATGCTAGACAGAAGAATTCTCAGTAACTTCCTTGTGTTGTGTGTATTCAAGTGACAGAGTTGAACTTTCATTTAGAGAGAGCAGATTTGAAACAGTGTTTTTGTGGAATTTGCAAGTGGAGATTTCAAGCGCTTTGGGGCCAAAGGCAGAAAAGGAAATATCTTCGTATAAAAACTAGACAGAATCATTCTCAGAAACTGCTCTGCGATGTGTGCGTTCAACTCTCAGAGTTTAACTTTTCTTTTCATTCAGCAGTTTGGAAACACTCTGTTTGTAAAGTCTGCACGTGGATATTTTGACCATTTAGAGGCCTTCGTTGGAAACGGGTTTTTTTCTTGTAAGGCTAGACAGAAGAATTCCCAGTAACTTCCTTGTGTTGTGTACATTCAACTCACAGGGTTGAACGTTCCCTTAGACAGAGCAGATTTGAAACACTCTTTTTGTGCAATTGGCAAGTGGAGATTTCAAGCGCTTTAAGGTCAATGGCAGAAAAGGAAATATCTTCGTTTCAAAACTAGACAGAATCATTCCCACAAACTGCGTTGTGATGTGTTCGTTCAACTCACAGAGTTTAACCTTTCTTTTCATAGAGCAGTTAGGAAACAGTCTGTTTGAAAATTCTGTAAGTAGATATTCTGACAGCTTGTGGCCTTCGTTGGAAACGGGATTTCTTTATATTCTGCTAGACAGAAGAATTCTCAGTAACTTCCTTGTGTTGTGTGTATTCAACTCACAGAGTTGAACGATCCTTTACACAGACCAGACTTGTAACACTCTTTTTGTGGAATTTGCAAGTGGAGATTTCAGCCGCTTTGAAGTCATAGGTAGAAAAGGAAATATCTTCGTATAAAAACTAGACAGAATGATTCTCAGAAACTCGTTTGTGATGTGTGCGTTCAACTCACAGAGTTTAACCTTTCTTTTCATAGAGCAGTTAGGAAACACTCTGTTTGTAAAGTCTGCAAGTGGATATTCAGACCTCTTTGAGGCCTTCGTTGGAAACGGGGTTTTTTCATATAAGGCTAGACAGAAGAATTCCCAGTAACTTCCTTGTGTTGTGTGTGTTCAACTCACAGAGTTGAACTTTCAGTTACACAGAGCAGATTTGAAACACTCTTTTTGTGGAATTTGCAAGTGGAGATTTCAAGCGCTTTGAGGCCAAAGGCAGAAAAGGAAATATCTTCGTTTCAAAACTAGACAGAATGATTCTCAGAATCTCCTTTGTGATGTGTGCGTTCAACTCTCAGAGTTTAACTTTTCTTTTCATTCAGCGGTTTGGAAACACTCTGTTTGTTAAGTCTGCACGTGGATATTTTGACCACTTAGAGGCCTTCGTTGGAAACGGGTATTTTTCATGTAAGGCTAGACAGAAGAATTCCCAGTAACTTCCTTGTGTTGTGTGCATTCAACTCACAGAGTTGAACGTTCCCTTAGACAGAGCAGATTTGAAACACTCTATTTGTGCAATTGGCAAGTGGAGATTTCAAGCGCTTTAAGGTCAATGGCAGAAAAGGAAATATCTTCGTTTCAAAACTAGACAGAATCATTCCCACAAACTGCGTTGTGATGTGTTCGTTCAACTCACAGAGTTTAACATTTCTGTTCATAGAGCAGTTAGGAAACACTCTGTTTGTAAAGTCTGTAAGTGGATATTCAGACATCTTGTGGCCTTCGTTGGAAACGGGATTTCTTCCTATTCTGCTAGACAGAAGAATTCTCAGTAACTTCCTTGTGTTGTGTGTATTCAACTCACAGAGTTGAAGGATCCTTTACAGAGAGCAGGCTTGAAACACTCTTTTTGTCGAATTTGCAAGTGGAGATTTCAGCCGCTTTGAGGTCAATGGTAGAATAGGAAATATCTTCTTATAGAAACTAGACAGAAATGATTCTCAGAAACTCCTTTGTGATGTGTGTGTTCAACTCACAGAGTTTAACCTTTCTTTTCATAGAGCAGTTAGGAAACACTCTGTTTGTAAAGTCTGCAAGTGGATATTCAGACCTCTTTGAGGCCTTCGTTGGAAACGGGTTGTTTTCATATAAGGCTAGACAGAAGAATTCTCAGTAACTTCCTTGTGTTGTGTGTGTTCAATTCACAGAGTTGAACTTTCATTTACACAGAGCAGATTTGAAACACTCTTTTTGTGGAATTTGCAAGTGGAGATTTCACGCGCTTTGAGGCCAAAGGCAGAAAAGGAAATATCTTCGTTTCAAAACTAGACAGAATCATTCTCAGAAACTGCTCTGCGATGTGTGCGTTCCACTCTCAGAGTTTAACTTTTCTTTTCATTCAGCAGTTTGGAAACACTCTGTTTGTAAAGTCTGCACGTGGATATTTTGACCACTTAGAGGCCTTCGTTGGAAACGGGTTTTTTTCCTGTAAGGCTAGACAGAAGATTTCCCAGTAACTTCCTTGTGTTGTGTGCATTCAACTCACAGAGTTGAACGTTCCGTTAGACAGAGCAGATTTGAAACACTCTATTTGTGCAATTTGCAAGTGTAGATTTCAAGCGCTTTAAGGTCAATGGCAGAAAAGGAAATATCTTCGTTTCAAAACTAGACAGAACGATTCTCAGAAACTCCTTTGTGATGTGTGCGTTCAACTCACAGAGTTTAACCTTTCTTTTCATAGAGCAGTTAAGAAACACTCTGTTTGTAAAGTCTGCAAGTGGATATTCAGACCACTTTGAGGCCTTCGTTGGAAACGGGATTTCTTCATATTCTGCTAGACAGAAGAATTCTCAGTAACTTCCTTGTGTTGTGTGAATTCAACTCACAGAGTTGAACGATCCTTTACACAGAGCAGACTTGAAACACTCGTTTTGTGGAACTTGCAAGTGGAGATTTCAGCCGCTTTGTGGTCAATAGTAGAATAGGAAATATCTTCCTATAGAAACTAGACAGAATGATTCTCAGAAAATCCTTTGTGATGTGTGCGTTCAACTCACAGAGTTTAACATTTCTTTTCATAGAGCAGTTAGGAAACACTCTCTTTGTAAAGTCTGCAAGTGGATATTCAGACCTCTTTGAGGCCTTCGTTGGAAACGGGATTTCTTCATATTCTGCTAGACAGAAGAATTCTCAGTAACTTCCTTGTGTTGTGTGTATTCAACTGACAGAGTTGAACTTTCATTTAGAGAGAGCAGATTTGAAACACGGTTTTTGCGGAATTTGCAAGTGGAGATTTCAAGCGCTTTGGGGCCAAAGGCAGAAAAGGAAATATCTTCGTATAAAAACTAGACAGAATCATTCTCAGAAACTGCTCTGCGATGTGTGCGTTCAACTCTCAGAGTTTAACTTTTCTTTTCATTCAGCAGTTTGGAAACACTCTGTTTGTAAAGTCTGCACGTGGATAACTTGACCACTTAGAGGCCTTCGTTGGAAACGGGTTTTTTTCCTGTAAGGCTAGACAGAAGAATTCCCAGTAACTTCCTTGTGTTGTGTACATTCAACTCACAGAGTTGAACGTTCCCTTAGAGCAGATTTGAAACACTCTTTTTGTGCAATTGGCAAGTGGAGATTTCAAGCGCTTTAAGGTCAATGGCAGTAAAAGAAATATCTTCGTTTCAAAACTAGACAGAATGATTCTCATAAACTCCTTTGTGATGTGTGCGTTCAACACACAGAGTTTAACCTTTCTGTTCATAGAGCAGTTAGGAAACACTCTGTTTGTAAAGTCTGTAAGTGGATATTCTGACATCTTGTTGCCTTCGCTGGAAACGGGATTTCTTCATATTCTGCTAGACAGAAGAATTCTCAGTAACTTCCTTGTGTTGTGTGTATTCAACTCACAGAGTTGAACGATCCTTTACACAGAGCATACTTGAAACACTCTTCTTGTGGAATGTGCAAGTGGAGATTTCAGCCGCTTTGAGGTCCATGGTAGAATAGGAAATATCTTCCTATAGAAACTAGACAGAATGATTCTCATGAACTCCTTTGTGATGTGTGCGTTCAACTCACAGAGTTTAACCTTTCTTTTCATAGAGCAGTTAGGAAACACTCTGTTTGTAAAGTCTGCAAGTGGATATTCAGACCTCCTTGAGGCCTTCGTTGGAAACGGGATTTCTTCATATTCTGCTAGACAGAAGAATTCCCAGTAACTTCCTTGTGTTGTGTGTGTTCAACTCACAGAGTTGAACTTTCCTTTACACAGAGCAGATTTGAAACACTCTTTTTGTGGAATTTGCAAGTGGAGATTTCAAGCGCTTTGAGGCCAAAGGCAGAAAAGGAAATATCTTCGTATAAAAACTAGACAGAATCATTCTCAGAAACTGCTCTGCGATGTGTGCGTTCAACTCTCAGAGTTTAACTTTTCTTTTCATTCAGCAGTTTGGACACACTCTGTTTGTAAAGTCTGCACGTGGATAATTTGACCACTTAGAGGCCTTCGTTGGAAACGGGTTTTTTTCATGTAAGGCTAGACAGAAGAATTCCCAGTAACTTCCTTGTGTTGTGTACGGTTCAACTCACAGAGTTGAACGTTCCCTTAGACAGAGCAGATTTGAAACACTCTTTTTGTGCAATTGGCAAGTGGAGATTTCAAGCGCTTTAAGGTCAATGGCAGAAAAGGAAATATCTTCGTTTCAAAACTAGACAGAATCATTCCCACAAACTGCGTTGTGATGTGTTCGTTCAACTCACAGAGTTTAACCTTTCTGTTCATAGAGCAGTTAGGAAATACTCTGTAAAGTCTGTAAGTGGATATTCTGACATCTTGTGGCCTTCGTTGGAAACGGGATTTCTTCATATTCTGCTAGACAGAAGAATTCTCAGTAACTTCCTTGTGTTGTGTGTATTCAACTCACAGAGCTGAACGATCCTTTACACAGAGCAGACTTGAAACACTCTTTTTGTGGAATTTGCAAGTGGAGATTTCAGCCGCTTTGAGGTCAATGGTAGAAAAGGAAATATCTTCGTATAAAGACTAGACAGAATGATTCTCAGAAACTCCTTTGTGATGTGTGCGTTCAACTCACAGAGTTTAACTTTTCTTTTCATAGAGCAGTTAGGAAACACTCTGTTTGTAATGTCTGCAAGTGGATATTCAGACCTCTTTGAGGCCTTCGTTGGAAACGGGAATTCTTCATATTATGCTAGACAGAAGAATTCTCAGTAACTTCCTTGTGTTGTGTTTATTCAACTCACAGAGTTGAATGATCCTTTACACAGAGCAGTCTTGAAACACTCTTTTTGTGGAATTTGCAAGTGGAGATTTCAGCCGCTTTGAGGTCAATGGTAGAATAGGAAATATCTTCCTATAGAAAATAGACAGAATCATTCTCAGAAACTGCTGCGTGATGTGTGCGTTCAACTCTCAGAGTTTAACTTTTCTTTTCATTCAGCGGTTTGGAAACACTCTGTTTGTAAAGTCTGCACGTGGATATTTTGACCACTTAGAGGCCTTCGTTGGAAACGGGTTTTTTTTCATGTAAGGCTAGACAGAAGAATTCCCAGTAACTTCCCTTGTGTTGTGTGCATTCAACTCACAGAGTTGAACGTTCCCTTAGACAGAGCAGATTTGAAACACTCTATTTGTGCAATTTGAAAGTGTAGATTTCAAGCGCTTTAAGGTCAACGGCAGAAAAGGAAATATCTTCGTTTCAAAACTAGACAGAATCACTCCCACAAACTGCGTTGTGATGTTTTCGTTCAACTCACAGAGTTTAACCTTTCTTTTCATAGAGCAGTTAGGAAACAGTCTGTTTGAAAATTCTGTAAGTGGATATTCTGACATCTTGTGGCCTTCGTTGGAAACGGGATTTCTTCATATTCTGCTAGACAGAAGAATTCTCAGTAACATTCCTTGTGTTGTGTGTATTCAACTCACAGAGTTGAACGATCCTTTACACAGAGCAGACTTGAAACACTCTTTTTGTGGAATTTGCAAGTGGAGATTTCAGCCGCTTTGAGGTCAATGGTAGAATAGGAAATATCTTCCTATAGAAACTAGACAAAATGATTCTCATAAACTCCTTTGTGATGTGTGCGTTCAACTCACAGAGTTTAACCTTTCTTTTCTTAGAGCAGTTAGGAAACACTCTGTTTGTAAAGTCTGCAAGTGGATATTCAGACCTCTTTGAGGCCTTCGTTGGAAACGGGATTTCTTCATATTCTGCTAGACAGAAGAATTCTCAGTAACTTCCTTGTGTTGTGTGTATTCAACTGACAGAGTTGAACTTTCATTTAGAGACAGCAGATTTGAAACACTGTTTTTGTGGAATTTGCAAGTGGAGATTTCAAGCGCTTTGGGGCCAAAGGCAGAAAAGGAAATATCTTCGTATAAAAACTAGACAGAATCATTCTCAGAAACTGCTGCGTGATGTGTGCGTTCAACTCTCAGAGTTTAACTTTTCTTTTCATTCAGCGGTTTGGAAACACTCTGTTTGTAAAGTCTACACGTGGATATTCTGACCACTTAGAGGCCTTCGTTGGAAACGGGTTTTTTGCATGTAAGGCTAGACAGAAGAATTCCCAGTAACTTCCTTGTGTTGTGTGCATTCAACTCACAGAGTTGAACGTTCCCTTAGACAGAGCAGATTTGAAACACTCTATTTGTGCAATTTGCAAGTGTAGATTTCAAGCGCTTTAAGGTCAATGGCAGAAAAGGAAATATCTTCGTTTCAAAACTAGACAGAATCATTCCCACAAACTGTGTTGTGATGTGTTCGTTCATCTCACAGAGTTTAACCTTTCTTTTCATAGAGCAGTTAGGAAACACTATGTTTGTAAATTCTGTAAGTGGATATTCTGACATCTTGTGGCCTTCGTTGGAAACGGGATTTCTTCATATTCTGCTAGACAGAAGAATTCTCAAGTAACTTCCTTGTGTTGTGTGTATTCAACTCACAGAGTTGAACGATCCTTTACACAGAGCAGACTTGAAACATTCTTTTTGTGGAATTGGCAAGTGGAGATTTCAGCCGCTTTGAGGTCAATGGTAGAATAGGAAATATCTTCCTATAGAAACTAGACAGAATGATTCTCAGAAACTCCTTTGAGATGTGTGCTCTCAACTCACAGAGTTTAACCTTTCTTTTCATAGAGCAGTTAGGAAACACTCTGTTTGTAAAGTCTGCAAGTGGATATTCAGACCTCTTTGAGGCCTTCGTTGGAAACGGGTTTTTTTCATATAAGGCTAGACAGAAGAATTCTCAAGTAACTTCCTTGTGTTGTGTGTATTCAACTGACAGAGTTGAACTTTCATTTAGAGAGAGCAGATTTGAAACACTGTTTTTGTGGAATTTGCAAGTGGAGATTTCAAGCGCTTTGGGGCCAAAGGCAGAAAAGGAAATATCTTCGTATAAAAACTAGACAGAATCATTCTCAGAAACTGCTCTGCGATGTGTGCGTTCAACTCTCAGAGTTTAACTTTTCTTTTCATTCAGCAGTTTGGAAACACTCTGTTTGTAAAGTCTGCACGTGGATATTTTGACCACTTAGAGGCCTTCGTTGGAAACGGGTTTCTTTCCTGTAAGGCTAGACAGAAGAATTCCCAGTAAATTCCTTGTGTTGTGTGCATTCAACTCACAGAGTTGAACGTTCCCTTAGACAGAGCAGATTTGAAACACTCTATTTGTGCAATTTGCAAGTGTAGATTTCAAGCGCTTTAAAGGTCAATGGCAGAAAAGGGAATATCTTCGTTTCAAAACTAGACAGAATCATTCCCACAAACTGCGTTGTGATGTGTTCGTTCAACTCACAGAGTTTAACCTTTCTGTTCATAGAGCAGTTAGGAAACACTCTGTTTGTAAAGTCTGCAAGTGGATATTCAGACCTCTTGAAGGCCTTCGTTGGAAACGGGATTTCTTCATATTCTGCTAGACAGAAGAAT
The DNA here is from genome assembly GCF_000001405.40 of Homo sapiens. Taxonomy (NCBI): domain Eukaryota; kingdom Metazoa; phylum Chordata; class Mammalia; order Primates; family Hominidae; genus Homo; species Homo sapiens. Next base: position 48,672,238 of record NC_000005.10, read on the forward strand.
ACCTAGTAACTTCCTTGTGTTGTGTGCATTCAACTCACAGAGTTGAACGATCCTTTACAGAGAGCAGGCTTGAAACACTCTTTTTGTGGAATTTGCAAGTGGAGATTTCAGCCGCTTTGAGGTCAATGGTAGAATAGGAAATATCTTCCTATAGAAACTAGACAGAATGATTCTCAGAAACTCCTTTGTGATGTGTGCGTTCAACTCACAGAGTTTAACCTTTCTTTTCATAGAGCAGTTAGGAAACACCCTGTTTGTAAAGTCTGCAAGTGGATATTCAGACATCCTTGAGGCTTTCGTTGGAAACGGGATTTCTTCATATTATGCTAGACAGAAGAATTCCCAGTAACTCCCTTGTGTTGTGTGTGTTCAACTCACAGAGTTGAACTTTCATTTACACAGAGCAGATTTGAAACACTCTTTTTGTGGAATTTGCAAATGGAGGTTTCAAGCGCTTTGAGGCCAAAGGCAGAAAAGGAAATATCTTCGTATAAAAACTAGACAGAATCATTCTCAGAAACTGCTCTGCGATGTGTGCGTTCAACTCTCAGAGTTTAACTTTTCTTCTCATTCAGAAGTTTGGAAACACTCTGTTTGTAAAGTCTGCACGTGGATAACTTGACCACTTAGAGGCCTTCGTTGGAAACGGGTTTTTTTCATGTAAGGCTAGACAGAAGAATTCCCAGTAACTTCCTTGTGTTGTGTGCATTCAACTCACAGAGTTGAACGTTCCCTTAGACAGAGCAGATTTGAAACACTCTATTTGTGCAATTTGCAAGTGTAGATTTCAAGCGCTTTTAAGGTCAACGGCAGAAAAGGAAATATCTTCGTTTCAAAACTAGACAGAATCATTCCCACAAACTGCGTTGTGATGTGTTCGTTCAACTCACGGACTTTAACCTTTCTGTTCATAGAGCAGTTAAGAAACACTCTGTTTGTAAAGTCTGCAAGTGGATATTCAGACCTCCTAGAGGCCTTCATTGGAAACGGGATTTCTTCATATTCTGCTAGACAGAAGAATTCTCAGTAACTTCCTTGTGTTGTGTGTATTCAACTCACAGAGTTGAACGATCCTTTACACAGAGCAGACCTGTAACACTCTTTTTGTGGAATTTGCAAGTGGAGATTTCAGCCGCTTTGAAGTCAAAGGTAGAAAAGGAAATATCTTCCTATAAAAACTAGACAGAATGATTCTCAGAAACTCCTTTGTGATGTGTGCGTTCAACTCACAGAGTTCAACCTTTCTTTTCATAGAGCAGTTGGGAAACACTCTGTTTGTAAACTCTGCAAGTGGATATTCAGACTTCTTTGAGGCCTTCGTTGGAAGCGGGATTTCTTCATATTCTGCTAGACAGAAGAATTCTCAGTAACTTTCCTTGTGTTGTGTGTATTCAACTCACAGAGTTGAACGATCCTTTACACAGAGCAGACTTGAAACACTCTTTTTGTGGAATTTGCAAGTGGAGATTTCAAGCGCTTTGGGGCCAAAGGCAGAAAAGGAAATATCTTCGTATAAAAACTAGACAGAATCATTCTCAGAAACTGCTCTGCGATGTGTGCGTTCAACTCTCAGAGTTTAACGTTTCTTTTCATTCAGCAGTTTGGAAACACTCTGTTTGTAAAGTCTGCACGTGGATATTTTGACCACTTAGAGGCCTTCGTTGGAAACGGGTTTTTTTCCTGTAAGGCTAGACAGAAGAATTCCCAGTAACTTCCTTGTGTTGTGTACATTCAACTCACAGAGTTGAACGTTCCCTTAGACAGAGCAGATTTGAAACACACTTTTTGTGCAATTGGCAAGTGGAGATTTCAAGCGCTTTAAGGTCAATGGCATAAAAGGAAATATCTTCGTTTCAAAACTAGACAGAATCATTCCCACAAACTGCGTTGTGATGTGTTCGTTCAACTCACAGAGTTTAACCTTTCTTTTCATAGAGCAGTTAGGAAACAGTCTGTTTGTCAATTCTGTAAGTGGATATTCTGACATCTTGTGACCTTCGTTGGAAACGGGATTTCTTCATATTCTGCTAGACAGAAGAATTCTCAGTAACTTCCTTGTGTTGTGTGTATTCAACTCACAGAGTTGAACGATCCTTTACACAGAGCAGACTTGAAACACTCTTTTTGTGGAATTTGCAAGTGGAGATTTCAGCCGCTTTGAGGTCAATAGTAGAAAAGTAAATATCTTCGTAGAAAAACTAGACAGAATGATTCTCAGAAACTCCTTTGTGATGTGTGCGTTCAACTCACAGAGTTTAACCTTTCTGTTCATAGAGCAGTTAGGAAACACTCTGTTTGTAAAGTCTGCAAGTGGATATTCAGACCTCTTTGAGGCCTTCGTTGGAAACGGGAATTCTTCATATTCTGCTAGACAGAAGAATTCTCTGTAACTTCCTTGTGTTGTGTGTATTCAACTGACAGAGTTGAACTTTCATTTAGAGAGAGCAGATTTGAAACACTGTTTTTGTGGAATTTGCAAGTGGAGATTTCAAGCGCTTTGGGGCCAAAGGCAGAAAAGGAAATAACTTCGTATAAAAACTTGACAGAATGATTCTCAGAAACTCCTTTGTGATGTGTGTGTTCAACTCACAGAGTTTAACCTTTCTTTTCATAGAGCAGTTAGGAAACACTCTGTTTGTAAGGTCTGCAAGAGGATATTCAGACCTCTTTGAGGCCTTCGTTGGAAACGGGTTTTTTTCATATAAGGCTAGACAGAAGAATTCCCAGTAACTTCCTTGTGTTGTGTGTGTTCAACTCACAGCAGTTGAACTTTCATTTACACAGAGCAGATTTGAAACACTCTTTTTGTGGAATTTGCAAATGGAGATTTCAAGCGCTTTGAGGCCAAAGGCAGAAAAGGAAATATCTTCGTTTCAAAACTAGACAGAATCATTCTCAGAAACTGCTCTGCGATGTGTGCGTTCAACTCTCAGAGTTTAACTTTTCTTGTCATTCAGCAGTTTGGAAACACTCTTTTTGTAAAGTCTGCACGTGGATATTTTGACCACTTAGAGGCCTTCGTTGGAAACGGGTTTTTTTCATGTAAGGCTAGACAGAAGAATTCTCAGTAACTTCCTTGTGTTGTGTGTATTCAACTCACAGAGTTGAACGATCCTTTACACAGAGCAGACTTGAAACACTCTTTTTGTGGAATTTGCAACTGGAGATTTCAGCCGCTTTGAGGTCAAAGGTAGAAAAGGAAACTATCTTCGTAGAAAAATTAGACAGAATGATTCTCAGAAACTTCTTTGTGATGTGTGCGTTCAACTCACAGAGTTTAACCTTTCTTTTCATAGAGCAGTTAGGAAACACTCTGTTTGTAAAGTCTGCAAGTGGATATTCAGACCTCTTTGAGGCCTTCGTTGGAAACGGGATTTCTTCATACTATGCTAGACACAAGAATTCCCAGTAACTTCCTTGTGTTGTGTGTGTTCAACTCACAGAGTTGAACTTTCATTTACACAGAGCAGATTTGAAACACTCTTTTTGTGGAAATTGCAAATGGAGATTTCAAGCGCTTTGAGGCCAAAGGCAGAAAAGGAAATATCTTCGTATAAAAACTAGACAGAATCATTCTCTGAAACTGCTCTGCGATGTGTGCCTTCAGCGCTCAGAGTTTAACTTTTCTTTTCATTCAGCAGTTTGGAAACACTCTGTTTCTAAAGTCTGCACGTGGATATTTTGACCACTTAGAGGCCTTCGTTGGAAACGGGTTTTTGTCATGTAAGGCTAGACAGAAGAATTCCCAGTAACTCCCTTGTGTTGTGTACATTCAACTCACAGAGTTGAACGTTCCCTTAGACAGAGCAGATTTGAAACACTCTTTTTGTGCAATTGGCAAGTGGAGATTTCAAGCGCTTAAGGTCAATGGCAGAAAAGGAAATATTTCCGTTTCAAAACTAGACAGAAATGATTCTCAGAAACTCCTTTGTGATGTGTGTGTTCAACTCACAGAGTTTAACCTTTCTTTTCATAGAGCAGTTAGGAAACACTCTGTTTGTAAAGTCTGCAAGTGGATATTCAGACCTCCTTGAGGCCTTCGTTGGAAACGGGATTTCTTCATATTCTGCTAGACAGAAGAATTCTCAGTAACTTCCTTGTGTTGTGTGTATTCAACTCACAGAGTTGAACGATCCTTTACACAGAGCAGACTTGGAACACTCTTTTTGTGGAATTTTCAAGTGGAGATTTCAGCCGCGTTGAGGTCAATGGTAGAAAAGGAAATATCTTCGTATAAAAACTAGACAGAACGATTCTCAGAAACTCCTTTGTGATGTGTGCGTTCAACTCACAGACTTTAACCTTTCTTTTCATAGAGCAGTTAGGAAACACTCTGTTTGTAAAGTCTGCAAGTGGATATTCAGACCTCTTTGAGGCCTTCGTTGGAAACGGGATTTCTTCATATTCTGCTAGACAGAAGAATTCCTCAGTAACTTTCTTGTGTTGTGTGTATTCAACTGACAGAGTTGAACTTTCATTTAGAGAGACCAGATTTGAAACACTGTTTTTGTGGAATTTGCAAGTGGAGATTTCAAGCGCTTTGGGGCCAAAGGCAGAAAAGGAAATATCTTCGTATAAAAACTAGACAGAATCATTCTCAGAAACTGCTGCGTGATGTGTGCGTTCAACTCTCAGAGTTTAACTTTTCTTTTCATTCAGCGGTTTGGAAACACTCTGTTTGTAAAGTCTGTACGTGGATATTTTGACCACTTAGAGGCCTTCGTTGCAAACGGGTTTTTTGCATGTAAGGCTAGACAGAAGAATTCCCAGTAACTTCCTTGTGTTGTGTGCATTCAACTCACAGAGTTGAACGTTCCCTTAGACAGAGCAGATTTGAAACACTCTATTTGTGCAATTTGCAAGTGTAGATTTCAAGCGCTTTAAGGTCAATGGCAGAAAAGGAAATTTCTTCGTTTTAAAACTAGACAGAATCATTCCCACAAACTGCGTTGTGATGTGTTCGTTCAACTCACAGAGTTTAACCTTTCTTTTCATAGAGAAGTTAGGAAACACTCTGTTTGTAAAGTCTGCAAGTGGATATTCAGACCTCCTTGAGGCCTTCGTTGGAAACGGGATTTCTTCATATTCTGCTAGACAGAAGAATTCTCAGAATCTTCCTTGTGTTGTGTGTATTCAACTCACAGAGTTGAACGATGGTTTACACAGAGCAGATTTGAAACACTCATTTGGTGGAATTTGCAAGTGGAGATTTCAGCCGCATTGAGGTCAATGGTAGAAAAGGAAATATCTTCGTATAACAACTAGACAGAATGATTCTCATAAACTCCTTTGTGATGTGTGCGTTCAACTCACAGAGTTTAACCTTTCTTTTCATAGAGCAGTTAGGAAACACTCTGTTTGAAAAGTCTGCAAGTGGATATTCAGACCACCTTGAGGCCTTCGTTGGAAACGGGATTTCTTCATATTCTGCTAGACAGAAGAATTCTCTGTAACTTCCTTGTGTTGTGTGTATTCAACTGACAGAGTTGAACTTTCATTTAGAGAGAGCAGGTTTGAAACACTGTTTTTGTGGAATTTGCAAGTGGAGATTTCAAGCGCTTTGGGGCAAAAGGCAGAAAAGGAAATATCTTCGTATAAAAACTAGACAGAATCATTCTCAGAAACTGCGCTGCGATGTGTGCGTTGAACTCTCAGAGTTTAACTTTTCTTTTCATTCAGCAGTTTGGAAACACTCTGTTTGTAAAGTCTGCACGTGGATATTTTGACCACTTAGAGTCCTTCGTTGGAAACGGGTTTTTTTCCTGTAAGGCTAGACAGAAGAATTCCCAGGAACTTCCTTGTGTTGTGTACATTCAACTCACAGAGTTGAACGTTCCCTTAGACAGAGCAGATTTGAAACACTCTTTTTGTGCAATTGGCAAGTGGTGATTTCAGCCGCTTTGAGGTCAATGGTAAAAAAGGAAATAACTTCCTATAAAAACTAGACAGAATCATTACCACAAACTGCGTTGTGATGTGTTCGTTCAACTCACAGAGTTTAACCTTTCTGTTCATAGAGCAGTTAGGAAACACTCTGTTTGTAAAGTCTGTAAGTGGATATTCTGACATCTTGTGGCCTTCGTTGGAAACGGGATTTCTTCATATTCTGCTAGACAGAAGAATTCTCAGTAACTTCCTTGTGTTGTGTGTATTCAACTCACAGAGTTGAACGATCCTTTACACAGAGCAGACTTCAAACACTCTTTTTGTGGAATTTGCAAGTGGAGATTTCAGCCGCTTTGAGGTCAATGGTAGAATAGGAAATATCTTCCTATAGAAACTAGACAGAATGATTCTGAGAAACTCCTTTGTGATGTGTGCATTCAACTCACAGAGTTTAACCTTTCTTTTCATAGAGCAGTTAGGAAACACTCTGTTTGTAAAGTCTGCAAGTGGATATTCAGACCTCCTTGAGGCCTTCGTTGGAAACGGGATTTCTTCATATTATGCTAGACAGAAGAATTTTCAGTAACTTCCTTGTGTTGTGTGTATTCAACTCACAGAGTTGAACGATCCTTTACACAGAGCAGACTTGAAACACTCTTTTTGTGGAATTTGCAAGTGGAGATTTCAGCCGCTTTGAGTTCAATGGTAGAATAGGAAATATCTTCCTATAGAAACTAGACAGAATCATTCTCAGAAACTGCTCTGCGATGTGTGCGTTCAACTCTCAGAGTTTAACTTTTCTTTTCATTCAGCAGTTTGGAAACACTCTGTTTTTTAAAGTCTGCACGTGGATATTTTGACCACTTAGAGGCCTTCGTTGGAAACGGGTTTTTTTCCTGTAAGGCTAGACAGAAGAATTCCCAATAACTTCCTTGTGTTGTGTACATTCAACTCACAGAGTTGAACGTTCCCTTAGACAGAGCAGATTTGAAACACTCTTTTTGTGCAATTGGCAAGTGGAGATTTCAAGCGCTTTAAGGTCAATGGCAGAAAAGGAAATATCTTCGTTTCAAAACTAGACAGAATGATTCTCAGAAACTCCTTTGTGATGTGTGCACTCAACTCACAGAGTTTAGCCTTTCTTTTCATAGAGCAGTTAGGAAACACTCTGTTTGTAAAGTCTGCAAGTGGATATTCAGACCTCTTTGAGGCCTTCGTAGGAAATGGGATTTCTTCATATTATGCTAGACAGAAGAATTCTCAGTAACTTCCTTGTGTTGTGTGTATTCAACTCACAGAGTTGAACGATCCTTTACACAGAGCAGACTTGAAACACTCTTTTTCTGGAATTTGCAAGTGGAGATTTCAGCCTCTTTGAGGTCAATGGTAGAAAAGGAAATATCTTCGTATAAAAACTAGACAGAATGATTCTCAGAAACTCCTTTGTGATGTGTGCGTGCAACTCACAGAGTTTAACCTTTCTTTTCATAGAGCAGTTAGGAAACACTCTGTTTGTAAAGTCTGCAAGTGGATATTCAGACATCTTTGAGGCTTTCGTTGGAAACGGGATTTTTTCATATTCTGCTAGGCAGAAGAATTCTCAGTAACTTCCTTGTGTTGTGTGTATTCAACTGACAGAGTTGAACTTTCATTTGGAGAGAGCAGATTTGAAACACTGTTTTTGTGGAATTTGCAAGTGGAGATTTCAAGCGCTTTGGGGCCAAAGGCAGAAAAGGAAATATCTTCGTATAAAAACTAGAAAGAATCATTCTCAGAAACTGCTCTGCGATGTGTGCGTTCAACTCTCAGAGTTTAACTTTTCTTTTCATTCAGCAGTTTGGAAACACTCTGTTTGGAAAGTCTGCACGTGGATATTTTGACCACTTAGAGGCCTTCGTTGGAAACGGGTTTTTTTCCTGTAAGGCTAGACAGAAGAATTCCCAGTAACTTCCTTGTGTTGTGTGTGTTCAACTCACAGAGTTGAACTTTCATTTACACAGAGCAGATTTGAAACACTCTTTTTGTGCAATTGGCAAGTGGAGATTTCAAGCGCTTTAAGGTCAATGGCAGAAAAGGAAATATCTTCGTTTCAAAACTAGACAGAATGATTCTCAGAAACTTCTTTGTGATGTGTGCGTTCAACTCACAGAGTTTAACCTTTCTTTTCATAGAGGAGTTAGGAAACACTCTGTTTGTAAAGTCTGCAAGTGGATATTCAGACCTCTTTGAGGCCATCGTTGGAAACGGGATTTCTTCATACTATGCTAGACAGAAGAATTCTCAGTAACTTCCTTGTGTTGTGTGTATTCAACTCACAGAGTTGAACGATCCTTTACACAGAGCAGACTTGTAACACTCTTTTTGTGGAATTTGCAAGTGGAGATTTCAGCCGCGTTGAGGTCAATGGTAGAAAAGGAAATATCTTCGTATAAAAACTAGACAGAATGATTCTCAGAAACTCCTTTGTGATGTGTGCGTTCAACTCACAGAGTTTAACCTTTCTTTTCATAGAGCAGTTAGGAAACACTCCGTTTCTAAAGTCTGCAAGTGGATATTCAGACCTCTTTGAGGCCTTCGTTGGAAACGGGTTTTTTTCATATAAGGCTAGAGAGAAGAATTCCCAGTAACTTCCTTGTGTTGTGTGTGTTCAACTCACAGAGTTGAACTTTCATTTACACAGAGCAGATTTGAAATACTCTTTTTGTGGAATTTGCAAGTGGAGATTTCAAGCGCTTTGAGGCCAAAGGCCGAAAAGGAAATATCTTCGTATAAAAACTAGACAGAATGATTCTCAGAAATTTCTTTGTGATGTGTGCGTTCAACTCACAGAGTTTAACTTTTCTTTTCATTCAGCAGTTTGGAAACACTCTGTTTGTAAAGTCTGCAAGTGGATATTCAGACCTCTTTGAGGCCTTCCTTGGAAACGGGTTTTTTTTCATGTAAGGCTAGACAGAAGAATTCCCAGTAACTTCCTTGTGTTGTGTACATTCAACTCACAGAGTTGAACGTTCCCTTAGACAAAGCAGATTTGAAACACTCTTTTTGTGCAATTGGCAAGTGGAGATTTCAAGCGCTTTAAGGTCAATGGCAGAAAAGGAAATATCTTCGTTTCAAAACTAGACAGAATGATTCTCAGAACCTCCTTTGTGATGTGTGCGTTCAACTCACAGAGTTGAACCTTTCTTTTCATAGAGCAGTTAGGAAACACTCTGTTTGTAAAGTCTGCAAGTGGATATTCAGACATCCTTGAGGCTTTCGTTGGAAACGGGATTTCTTCATATTCTGCTAGAAAGAAGAATTCTCAGTAACTTCTTTGTGTTGTGTTTATTCAACTCACAGAGTTGAACGATACTTTACACAGAGCAGACTTGATACACTCGTTTTGTGGAATTTGCAAGTGGAGATTTCAGCCGCTTTGAGGTCCATGGTAGAAAAGGAAATATCTTCGTATAAAAACTTGACAGAATGATTCTCAGAAACTCCTTTGTGATGTGTGCGTTCAACTCACAGAGTTTAACCTTTCTTTTCATAGAGCAGTTAGGAAACACTCTGTTTGTAAAGTCTGCAAGTGGATATTCGGACCTCCTTGAGGCCTTCTTTGGAAACGGGATTTCTTCTTATTATGCTAGACAGAAGAATTCTCAGTAACTTCCTTGTGTTGTGTGTATTCAACTCACAGAGTTGAACTTTCATTTAGAGAGAGCAGATTTGAAACACAGTTTTTGTGGAATTTGCAAGTGGAGATTTCAAGCGCTTTGGGGCCAAAGGCAGAAAAGGAAATATCTTCGTATAAAAACTAGACAGAATCATACTCAGAAACTGCTGCGTGATGTGTGCGTTGAACTCTCAGAGTTTAACTTTTCTTTTCATTCAGCGGTTTGGAAACACTCTGTTTGTAAAGTCTGCACGTGGATATTTTGACCACTTAGAGGCCTTCGTTGGAAACGGGTTTTTTTCATGTAAGGCTAGACAGAAGAATTCCCAGTAACTTCCTTGTGTTGTGTACATTCAACTCACAGAGTTGAACGTTCCCTTAGACAGAGCAGATTTGAAATACTCTTTTTGTGCAATTGGCAAGTGGAGATTTCAAGCGCTTTAAGGTCAATGGCAGAAAAGGAAATATCTTCGTTTCAAAACTAGACAGAATCATTCCCAAAAACTGCGTTGTGATGTGTTCGTTCATCTCACAGAGTTTAACCTTTCTTTTCATAGAGCAGTTAGGAAACACTCTGTTTGTAAATTCTGTAAGTGGATATTCTGACATCTTGTGGCCTTCGTTGGAAACGGGATTTCTTCATATTCTGCTAGACAGAAAAATTCTCAGTAACTTCCTTGTGTTGTGTGTATTCAACTCACAGAGTTGAACGATCCTTTACACAGAGCAGACTTGAAACACTCTTTTTGTGGAATTTGCAAGTGGAGATTTCAGCCGCTTTGAGGTCAATGGTAGAAAAGGAAATATCTTCCTATAGAAACTGGACAGAAAGATTCTCAGAAACTCCTTTGTGATGTGTGCGTTCAACTCACAGAGTTTAACCTTTCTTTTCATAGAGCAGTTAGGAAACACTCTGTTTGTAAAGTCTGCAAGTTCATATTCAGACCTCTTTGAGGCCTTCGTTGGAAACGGGTTTTTTTCATATAAGGCTAGAGAGAAGAATTCCCAGTAACTTCCTTGTGTTGTGTGTGTTCAACTCACAGAGTTGAACTTTCATTTACACAGAGCAGATTTGAAACACTCTTTTTGTGGAATTTGCAAATGGAGATTTCAGCCGCGTTGAGGTCAACGGTAGAAAAGGATATATCTTCGTTTCAAAACTAGACAGAATCATTCTCAGAAACTGCTCTGCGATGTGTGCGTTGAACTCTCAGAGTTTAACTTTTCTTTTCATTCAGCAGTTTGGAAACACTCTGTTTGTAAAGTCTGCACGTGGATATTTTGACCACTTAGAGGCCTTTGTTGGAAACGGGTTTTTTTCCTGGAAGGCTAGACAGAAGAATTCCCAGTAACTTTCCTTGTGTTGTGTGCATTCAACTCACAGAGTTGAACGTTCCCTTAGACAGAGCAGATTTGAAACACTCTATTTGTGCAATTGGCAAGTGTAGATTTCAAGCGCTTTAAGGTCAATGGCAGAAAAGGAAATATCTTCGTTTCAAAACTAGACAGAATGATTCTCAGAAACTCCTTTGTGATGTGTGCCTTCAACTCACAGAGTTTAACTTTTCTTTTCATAGAGCAGTTAGGAAACACTCTGTTTCTAAAGTCTGCAAGTGGATATTCAGACCTCTTTGAGGCCTTCGTTGGAAACGGGATTTCTTCATATTCTGCTAGACAGAAGAATTCTCAGTAACTTCCGTGTGTTGCGTGTATTCAACTCACAGAGTTGAACGATCCTTTACACAGAGCAGACTTGAAACACTCTTTTTGTGGAATTTGCAAGTGGAGATTTCAGCCGCTTTGAGGTCAAAGTTAGAAAGGAAATATCTTCCTATAAAAACTAGACAGAATGATTCTCAGAAACTCCTTTGTGATGTGTGCGTTCAACTCACAGAGTTCAACCTTTCTTTTAATAGAGCAGTTGGGAAACACTCTGTTTGTAAAGTCTGCAAGTGGATATTCAGACTTCTTTGAGGCCTTCGTTGGAAGCGGGCTTTCTTCATATTCTGCTAGACAGAAGAATTCCCAGTAACTTCCATGTGTTGTGTGTGTTCAACTCACAGAGTTGAACGTTCCCTTAGACAGAGCAGATTTGAAACACTCTTTTTGTGGAATTTGCAAGTGGAGATTTCAAGCGCTTTGAGGCCAAAGGCAGAAAAGGAAATATCTTCGTATAAAAACTAGACAGAATCATTCTCAGAAACTGCTGCGTGATGTGTGCGTTCAAGTCTCAGAGTTTAACTTTTCTTTTCATTCAGCGGTTTGGAAACACTCTGTTTGTAAAGACTGCACGTGGATATTTTGACCACTTAGAGGCCTTCGTTGGAAACGGGTTTTTTTTCATGTAAGGCTAGACAGAAGAATTCCCAGGAACTTCCTTGTGTTGTGTACATTCAACTCACAGAGTTGAACGTTCCCTTAGACAGAGCAGATTTGAAACACTCTTTTTGTGCAATTGGCAAGTGGTGATTTCAGCCGCTTTGACGTCAATGGTAGAAAAGGAAATATCTTCGTATAAAAACTAGACAGAATCATTCCCACAAACTGCGTTGTGATGTGTTCGTTCAACTCACAGAGTTTAACCTTTCTTTTCATAGAGCACTTAGGAAACAGTCTGTTTGTAAATTCTGTAAGTGGATATTCTGACATCTTGTGGCCTTCGTTGGAAACGGGATTTCTTCATATTCTGCTAGACAGAATAATTCTCAGTAAGTTCCTTGTTTTGTGTGTATTCAACTCACAGAGTTGAAGGATCCTTTAGAGAGAGCAGGCTTGAAACACTCTTTTTGTCGAAATTGCAAGTGGAGATTTCAGCCGCTTTGAGGTCAATGGTAGAATAGGAAATATCTTCCTATAGAAACTAGACAGAATGATTCTCAGAAACTCCTTTGTGATGTGTGTGTTCAACTCACAGAGTTTAACCTTTCTTTTCATAGAGCAGTTAGGAAACACTCTGTTTGTAAAGTCTGCAAGTGGATATTCAGACCTCTTTGAGGCCTTCTTTGGAAACGGGATTTTTCATATAAGGCTAGACAGAAGAATTCCCAGTAACTTCCTTGTGTTGTGTGTGTTCAACTCACAGAGTTGAACTTTCATTTACACAGAGCAGATTTGAAACACTCTTTTTGTGGAATTTGCAGGTGGAGATTTCAAGCGCTTTGAGGCCAAAGGCAGAAAAGGAAATATACTTCGTATAAAAACTAGACAGAATCATTCTCAGAAACTGCTCTGCGATGTGTGCGTTCAACTCTCAGAGTTTAACTTTTCTTTTCATTCAGCAGTTTGGAAACACTCTGTTTGTAAAGTCTGCACGTGGATAATTTGACCACTTAGAGGCCTTCGTTGGAAACGGGTTTTTTTCATGTAAGGATAGACAGAAGAATTCCCAGTAACTTCCCTTGTGTTGTGTGCATTCAACTCACAGAGTTGAACGTTCCCTTAGACAGAGCAGATTTGAAACACTCTATTTGTGCAATTTGCAAGTGTAGATTTCAAGCGCTTTAAGGTCAATGGTAGAAAAGGAAATATCTTCGTTTTAAAACTAGACAGAATCACTCCCACAAACTGCGTTGTGATGTGTTCGTTCAACTCACAGAGTTTAACCTTTCTTTTCATAGAGCAGTTAGGAAACAGTCTGTTTGAAAATTCTGTAAGTGGATATTCTGACATCTTGTGGCCTTCGTTGGAAACGGGATTTCTTCATATTCTGCTAGACAGAAGAATTCTCAGAATCTTCCTTGTGTTGTGTGTATTCAACTCACAGAGTTGAACGATCCTTTACACAGAGCAGATTTGAAACACTCTTTTTGTGGAATTTGCAAGTGGAGATTTCAGCCGCTTTGAGGTCAATGGTAGAAAAGGAAATATCTTCCTATAAAAACTAGACAGAATGATTCTCAGAAACTCGTTTGTGATGTGTGCGTTCAACTCACAGAGATTAACTTTTCTTTTCATAGAGCAGTTAGGAAACACTCTGTTTGTAAAGTCTGCAAGTGGATATTCAGACCTCTTTGTGGCCTTCGTTGGAAACGGGATTTCTTCATATTATGCTAGACAGAAGAATTCTCAGTAACTTCCTTGTGTTGTGTGTATTCAACTGACAGAGTTGAACTTTCATTTAGAGAGAGCAGATTTGAAACACTGTTTTTGTGGAATTTGCAAGTGGAGATTTCAAGCGCTTTGGGGCCAAAGGCAGAAAAGGAAATATCTTCGTATAAAAAGTAGACAGAATCATTCTCAGAAACTGCTGCGTGATGTGTGCGTTCAACTCTCAGAGTTTAACTTTTCTTTTCATTCAGCAGTTTGGAAACACTCTGTTTGTAAAGTCTGCACGTGGAAATTTTGACCACTTAGAGGCCTTCGTTGGAAACGGGTTTTTTTCATGTAAGGCTAGACAGAAGAATTCCCAGTAACTTCCTTGTGTTATGTGCATTCAACTCACAGAGTTGAACGTTCCCTTAGACAGAGCAGATTTGAAACACTCTATTTGTGCAATTTGCAAGTGTAGATTTCAAGCGCTTTAAGGTCAATGGCAGAAAAGGAAATATCTTCGTTTCAAAACTAGACAGAATCATTCCCACAAACTGCGTTGTGATGTGTTCGTTCAACTCACAGAGTTTAACCTTTCTTTTCATAGAGCAGTTAGGAAACAGTCTGTTTGTAAATTCTGTAAGTGGATATTCTGATATCTTGTGGCCTTCGTTGGAAACGGGATTTCTTCATATTCTGCTAGACAGAAGAATTCTCAGTAACTTCTTTGTGTTGTGTGTATTCAACTCACAGAGTTGAGCGATCCTTTACACAGAGCAGACTTGAAACACTCGTTTTGTGGAATTTGCAAGTGGAGATTTCAGCCGCTTTGAGGTCAATGGTAGAAAAGGAAATATCTTCGTATAAAAACTAGACAGAATGATTCTCAGAAACTCCTTTGTGATGTGTGCGTTCAACTCACAGAGTTTAACCTTTCTTTTCATAGAGCAGTTAAGAAACACTCTGTTTGTAAAGTCTGCAAGTGGATATTCAGACCTCTTTGAGGCCTTCGTTGGAAACGGGATTTCTTCATATTCTGCTAGACAGAAGAATTCCCAGTAACTTCCCTTGTGTTGTGTGTGTTCAACTCACAGAGTTGAACTTTCATTTACACAGAGCAGATTTGAAACACTCTTTTTGTGGAATTTGCAAGTGGAGATTTCAAGCGCTTTCAGGCCAAAGGCAGAAAAGGAAATATCTTCGTATAAAAACTAGGCAGAATCATTCTCAGAAACTGCTCTGCGATGTGTGCGTTCAACTCTCAGAGTTTAACTTTTCTTTTCATTCAGCAGTTTGGAAACACACTGTTTGTAAAGTCTGCACGTGGATATTTTGACCACTTAGAGGCCTTCGTTGGAAACGGGTTTTTTTCCTGTAAGGCTAGACAGAAGAATTCCCAGTAACTTCCTTGTGTTGTGTACATTCAACTCACAGAGTTGAACGTTCCCTTAGACAGAGCAGATTTGAAACACTCTTTTTGTGCAATTGGCAAGTGGAGATTTCAAGCGCTTTGAGGTCAATGGCAGAAAAGGAAATATCTTCGTTTCAAAACTAGACAGAATGATTCTCAGAAACTCCTTTGTGATGTGTGCGTTCAACTCACAGAGTTTAAGTTTTCTTTTCATAGAGCAGTTAGGAAACACTCTGTTTGTAAAGTCTGCAGGTGGATATTCAGACCTCTTTGAGGCCTTCGTTGGAAAAGGGATTTCTTCATATTATGCTAGACAGAATAATTCTCAGTAACTTCCTTGTGTTGTGTGTATTCAACTCAGAGTTGTACGATCCTTTACAGAGAGCAGACTTGAAACACTCTTTTTGTGGAATTTGCAAGTGGAGATTTCAGCCGCTTTGAGGTCAATGGTAGAACTAGGAAATATCTTCCTATAGAAACTAGACAGAATGATTCTCAGAAACTCCTTTGTGATGTGTGTGTTCAACTCACAGAGTTTAACCTTTCTTTTCATAGAGCAGTTAGTAAACACTCTGTTTATAAAGTCTGCAAGTGGATATTCAGAGCCCTTTGTGGCCTTCGTTGGAAACGGGGTTTCTTCATATTATGCTAGACAGAAGAATTCCCAGTAACTTCCTTGTGTTGTGTGTGTTCAACTCACAGAGTTGAACTTTCATTTACACAGAGCAGATTTGAAACACTCTTTTTGTGGAATTTGCAAGTGGAGATTTCAAGCGCTTTAAGGCCAAAGGCAGAAAAGGAAATATCTTCGTTTCAAAACTAGACAGAATCATTCTCAGAAACTGCTGCGTGATGTGTGCGTTCAACTCTCAGAGTTTAACTTTTCTTTTCATTCAGCGGTTTGGAAACACTCTGTTTGTAAAGTCTGCAAGTGGATATTCAGACCTCTTTGAGGCCTTCGTTGGAAACGGGATTTCTTCATATTATGCTAGACAGAAGAATTCCCAGTAACTTCCTTGTGTTGTGTACATTCAACTCACAGAGTTGAACGTTCCCTTAGACAGAGCAGATTTGAAACACTTTTTTTGTGCAATTGGCAAGTGGTGATTTCAACCGCTTTGAGGTCAATGGTAGAAAAGGAAATATCTTCGTATAAAAACTAGACAGAATCATTCCCACAAACTGCGTTGTGATGTGTTCGTTCAACTCACAGAGTTTAACCTTTCTGTTCATAGAGCAGTTAGGAAACACTCTGTTTGTAAAGTCTGCAAGTGGATATTCAGACCTCCTTGAGGCTTTCGTTGGAAACGGGATTTGTTCATATTCTGCTAGACAGAAGAATTCTCAGTAACTTCCTTGTGTTGTGTGTATTCAACTCACAGAGTTGAACGATCCTTTACACAGAGCAGACTTGAAACACTCTTTTTCTGGAATTTGCAAGTGGAGATTTCAGCCGCTTTGAGGTCAATGGTAGAAAAGGAAATATCTTCGTATAAAAACTAGACAGAATGATTCTCAGAAACTCCTTTGTGATGTGTGCGTTCAACTCACAGAGTTTAACCTTTCTTTTCATAGAGCAGTTAGGAAACACTCTGTTTGTAAAGTCTGCAAGTGGATATTCAGACCTCTTTGAGGCCTTCGTTAGAAACGGGATTTCTTCATATTATGCTAGACAGAAGAATTCTCAGTAACTTCCTTGTGTTGTGTGTATTCAACTGACAGTGTTGAACTTTCATTTAGAGAGAGCAGATTTGAAACACTGTTTTTGTGGAATTTGCAAGTGGAGATTTCAAGCGCTTTGGGGCCAAAGGCAGAAAAGGAAATATCTTCGTATAAAAACTAGACAGAATCATTCTCAGAAACTGCTGCGTGATGTGTGCGTTCAACTCTCAGAGTTTAACTTTTCTTTTCATTCAGCGGTTTGGAAACACTCTGTTCGTAAAGTCTGCACGTGGATATTTTGACCACTTAGAGGCCTTCGTTGGAAACGGGTTTTTTTCATGTTAGGCTAGACAGAAGAATTCCCAGTAACTTCCTTGTGTTGTGTACATTCAACTCACAGAGGTGAACGTTCCCTTAGACAGAGCAGATTTGAAACACTCTTTTTGTGCAATTGGCAAGTGGAGATTTCAAGCGCTTTAAGGTCAATGGCAGAAAAGGAAATATCTTCGTTTCAAAACTAGACAGAATGATTCTCAGAAACTCCTTTGTGATGTGTGCATTCAACTCACAGAGTTTAACCTTTCTTTTCATAGAGCAGTTAGGAAACACTCTGTTTGTAAAGTCTGCAAGTGGATATTCAGACCTCCTTGAGGCCTTCGTTGGAAACGGGATTTCTTCATATTCTGCTATACAGAAGAATTCTCAGAAACTTCCTTGTGTTGTGTGTATTCAACTCACAGAGTTGAACGATCGTTTACACAGAGCAGACTTGAGACACTCTTTTTGTGGAATTTGTAAGTGGAGATTTCAGCCGCTTTGAGGTCAATGGTAGAAAGGGAAATATCTTCATATAAAAACTAGACAGAATGATTCTCAGAACCTCCTTTGTGATGTGTGCGTTCAACTCACAGAGTTTAACCTTTCTTTTCATAGAGCAGTTAGGAAACACTCTGTTTGTAAAGTCTGCAAGTGGATATTCAGACCTCTTTGAGGCCTTCGTTGGAAACGGGATTTCTTCATATTATGCTAGACAGAAGAATTCTCAGTAACTTCCTTGTGTTGTGTGTATTCAACTCACAGAGTTGAACTTTCATTTACACAGAGCAGATTTGAAACACTCTTTTTGTGGAATTTGCAAGTGGAGATTTCAAGCGCTTTGAGGCCAAAGGCAGAAAAGGAAATATCTTCGTTTCAAAACTAGACAGAATCATTCTCAGAAACTGCTCTGCGATGTGTGCGTTCAACTCTCAGAGTTTAACTTTTCTTTTCATTCAGCAGTTTGGAAACACTCTGTTTGTAAAGTCTGCACGTGGATAACTTGACCACTTAGAGGCCTTCGTTGGAAACGGGTTTTTTTCCTGTAAGGCTAGACAGAAGAATTCCCAGGAACTTCCTTGTGTTGTGTACATTCAACTCACAGAGTTGAACGTTCCCTTAGACAGAGCAGATTTGAAACACTCTTTTTGTGCAATTGGCAAGTGGTGATTTCAGCCGCTTTGAGGTCAATGGTAGAAAAGGAAATATCTTCGTTTCAAAACCAGACAGAATGATTCTCAGAAACTCCTTTGTGATGTGTGCGTTCAACTCACAGAGTTTAACCTTTCTTTTCATAGAGCAGTTAGGAAACACTCTATTTGTAAAGTCTGCAAGTGGATATTCAGACATCCTTGAGTCTTTCTTTGGAAACGGGATTTCTTCATATTCTGCTAGAAAGAATAATTCTCAGTAACTTCCTTGTGTTGTGTGTATTCAACTCACAGAGTTGAACGATCCTTTACACAGAGCAGACTTGAAACACTCTTTTTGTGGAATTTGCAATTGGAGATTTCAGCCGCTTTGAGGTCAATGGTAGAATAGGAAATATCTTCCTATAGAAACTAGACAGAATGATTCTCAGAAACTCCTTTCTGATGTGTGTGTTCAACTCACAGAGTTTAAACTTTCTTTTCATAGAGCAGTTAGGAAACACTCTGTTTATAAAGTCTGCAAGTGGATATTCAGACCCCTTTGTGGCCTTCGTTGGAAACGGGATTTCTTCATATTATGCTAGACAGAAGAATTCTCAGTAACTTCCTTGTGTTGTGTGTATTGAACTCGCAGAGTTGAACGATCCTTTACACAGAGCAGACTTGAAACACTCTTTTTGTGGAATTTGCAAGTGGAGATTTCAGCCGCATTGAGGTCAATAGTAGAAAAGGAAATATCTTCGTAGAAAAACTAGACAGAATCATTCTCAGAAACTGCTCTGCGATGTGTGCGTTCAACTCTCAGAGTTTAACTTTTCTTTTCATTCAGCAGTTTGGAAACACTCTGTTTGTAAAGTCTGCACGTGGATATTTTGACCACTTAGAGGCCTTCGTTGGAAACGGGTTTTTTTCCTGTAAGGCTACACAGAGGAATTCCCAGTAACTTCCTTGTGTTGTGTACATTCAACTCACAGAGTTGAACGTTCCCTTAGACAGAGCAGATTTGAAACACTCTTTTTGTGCAATTGGCAAATGGAGATTTCAAGCGCTTTAAGTTCAATGGCAGAAAAGGAAATATCTTCGTTTCAAAACTAGACAGAATCATTCCCACAAACTGCGTTGTGATGTGTTCGTTCAAATCACAGAGTTTAACCTTTCTGTTCATAGAGCAGTTAGGAAACACTCTGTTTGTAAAGTCTGTAAGTGGATATTCTGACATCTTGTGGCCTTCGTTGGAAACGGGATTTCTTCATATTCTGCTAGACAGAAGAATTCTCAGTAACTTCCTTGTGTTGTGTGTATTCAACTCACAGAGTTGAACGATCCTTTACACAGAGCAGACTTGAAACACTCTTTTTGTGGAATTTGCAAGTGGAGATTTCAGCCGCTTTGAGGTCAATGGTAGAATAGGAAATATCTTCCTATAGAAAATAGACAGAATGATTCTCAGAAACTCTTTTATGATGTGTGCGTTCAACTCACAGAGTTTAACTTTTCTTTTCATAGAGCAGTTAGGAAACACTCTGTTTGTAAACTCTGCAAGTGGATATTCAGACCTCTTTGAGGCCTTCGTTGCAAACGGGATTTGTTCATATTATGCCTGACAGAAGAATTCTCAGTAACTTCCTTGTGTTGTGTGTATTCAACTCACAGAGTTGAACTTTCATTCACACAGAGCAGATTTGAAACACGCTTTTTATGGAATTTGCAAGTGGAGATTTCAAGCGCTTTGAGGCCAAAGGCAGAAAAGGAAATATCTTCGTTTCAAAACTAGACAGAATCATTCTCAGAAACTGCTCTGCGATGTGTGCGTTCAACTATCAGAGTTTAACTTTTCTTTTCATTCAGCAGTTTGGAAACACTCTGTTTGTAAAGCCTGCACGTGGATAATTTGACCACATAGAGGCCTTCGTTGGAAACGGGTTTTTTTCATGTAAGGCTAGACAGAAGAATTCCCAGTAACTTCCTTGTGTTGTGTGCATTCAACTCACAGAGTTGAACGTTCCCTTAGACAGAGCAGATTTGAAACACTCTATTTGTGCAATTTGCAAGTGTAGATTTCAAGCGCTTTAAGGTCAATGGCAGAAAAGGAAATATCTTCGTTTCAAAACTAGACAGAATGATTCTCAGAAACTCCTTTGTGATGTGTGCGTTCAACTCACAGAGTTCAACCTTTCTTTTCCTAGAGCAGTTGGGAAACACTCTGTTTGTAAAGTCTGCATGTGGATATTCAGACATCCTTGAGGCTTTCGTTGGAAACGGGATTTCTTCATATTCTGCTAGAAAGAAGAATTCTCAGTAACTTCCTTGTGTTGTGTGTATTCAACTCACAGAGTTGAACGATCCTTTACAGAGAGCAGACTTGACACACTCTTTTTGTGGAATTTGCAAGTGGAGATTTCAGCCGCTTTGTGGTCAATGGTAGAATAGGAAATATCTTCCTATAGAAACTAGACAGAATGATTCTCAGAAACTCCTTTGTGATGTGTGCGTTCAACTCACAGAGTTTAACCTTTCTTTTCATAGAGCAGTTAGGAAACTCTCTGTTTGTAAAGTCTGCAAGTGGATATTCAGACATCCTTGAGGCTTTCGTTGGAAACGGGATTTCTTCATATTCTGCTAGAAAGAAGAATTCCCAGTAACTTCCTTGTGTTGTGTGTGTTCAACTCACAGAGTTGAACTTTCATTTACACAGAGCAGATTTGAAACACTCTTTTTGTGGAATTTGCAAGTGGAGATTTCAAGCGCTTTGAGGCCAAAGGCAGAAAAGTAAATATCTTCGTTTCAAAACTAGACAGAATCATTCTCAGAAACTGCTGCGTGATGTGTGCGTTCAACTCTCAGAGTTTAACTTTTCATTTCATTCAGCGGTTTGGAAACACTCTGTTTGTAAAGTCTGCACGTGGAAATTTTGACCACTTAGAGGCCTTCGTTGGAAACGGGTTTTTTTCATGTAAGGCTAGACAGAAGAATTCCCAGTAACTTCCCTTGTGTTGTGTACATTCAACTCACAGAGTTGAACGTTCCCTTAGACAGAGCAGATTTGAAACACTCTTTTTGTGCAATTGGCAAATGGAGATTTCAAGCGCTTTAAGGTCAATGGCAGGAAAGGAAATATCTTCGTTTCAAAACTAGACAGAATCATTCCCACAAACTGCGTTGTGATGTGTTCGTTCAACTCACAGAGTTTAACCTTTCTGTTCATAGAGCAGTTAGGAAACACTCTCTTTGTAAAGTCTGTAAGTGGATATTCTGATATCTTGTGGCCTTCGTTGGAAACGGGATTTCTTCATATTATGCTAGACAGAAGAATTCTCAGTAACTTCCTTGTGTTTTGTGTATTCAACTCACAGAGTTGAACGATCCTTTACACAGAGCAGACTAGAAACATTCTTTTTGTGGAATTTGCAAGTGGAGATTTCAGCCGCTTTGAGGTCAATCGTAGAATAGGAAATATCTTCCTATAGAAACTAGACAGAACGATTCTCAGAAACTCCTTTGTGATGTGAGCGTTCAACTCACAGAGTTTAACCTTTCTTTTCTTAGAGCAGTTAGGAAACACTCTGTTTGTAAAGTCTGCAAGTGGATATTCAGACCTCTTTGAGGCCTTCGTTGGAAACGGGATTTCTTCATATTCTGCTAGACAGAAGAATTCTCAGTAACTTCCCTTGTGTTGTGTGTATTCAACTGACAGAGTTGAACTTTCATTTAGAGAGAGCAGATTTGAAACACTGTTTTTGTGGAATTTGCAAGTGGAGATTTCATGCGCTTTGGGGCCAAAGGCAGAAAAGGAAATATCTTCGTATAAAAACTAGACAGAATCATTCTCAGAAACTGCTCTGCGATGTGTGCGTTCAACTCTCAGAGTTTAACTTTTCTTTTCATTCAGCAGTTTGGAAACACTCTGTTTGTAAAGTCTGCACGTGGATAACTTGACCACTTAGAGGCCTTCGTTGGAAACGGGTTTTTTTTCCTGTAAGGCTAGACAGAAGAATTCCCAGGAACTTCCTTATGTTGTGTACATTCAACTCAGAGAGTTGAACGTTCCCTTAGACAGAGCAGATTTGAAACACTCTTTTTGTGCAATTGGCAAGTGGTGATTTCAGCCGGTTTGAGGTCAATGGTAGAAAAGGAAATATCTTCGTATAAAAACTAGACAGAATCATTCCCACAAACTGCGCTGTGATGTGTTCGTTCAACTCACAGAGTTTAACCTTTCTTTTCATAGAGCAGTTAGGAAACAGTCTGTTTGTAAATTCTGTAAGTGGATATTCTGACATCTTGTGGCCTTCGTTGGAAACGGGATTTCTTCATATGCTGCTAGACAGAAGAATTCTCAGTAACTTCCTTTTGTTGTGTGTATTCAACTCACAGAGTTGAACGATCCTTTACACAGAGCAGACTTGAAACACTCTTTTTGTGGAATTTGCAAGTGGAGATTTCAGCCGCTTTGAGGTCAATCGTAGAAAAGGAAATATCTTCGTAGAAAAACTAGACAGAATGATTCTCAGAAACTCCTTTGGGATGTGTGCGTTCAACTCACAGAGTTTAACCTTTCTTTTCATAGAGCAGTTAGGAAACACTCTGTTTGTAAAGTCTGCAAGTGGATATTCAGACCTCTTTGAGGCCTTCGTTGGAAACGGGATTTCTTCATACTGTGCTAGACAGAAGAATTCTCAGTAACTTCCTTGTGTTGTGTGTATTCAACTCACAGAGTTGAACGATCCTTTACACAGAGCGGACTTGAAACACACTTTTTGTGGAATTTGCAAGTGGAGATTTCAGCCGCGTTGAGGTCAATGGTAGAAAAGCAAATATCTTCGTATAAAAAATAGACAGAATCATTCTCAGAAACTGCTCTGCGATGTGTGCGTTCAACTCTCAGAGTTTAACTTTGCTTTTCATTCAGCAGTTTGGAAACACTCTGTTTGTAAACTCTGCACGTGGATAATTTGACCACTTAGAGGCCTTCGTTGGAAACGGGTTTTTTTCATGTAAGGCTAGACAGAAGAATTCCCAGTAACTTCCTTGTGTTGTGTACATTCAACTCACAGAGTTGAACGTTCCCTCAGACAGAGCAGATTTGAAACACTCTTTTTGTGCAATTGGCAAATGGAGATTTCAAGCGCTTTAAGGTCAATGGCAGAAAAGGAAATATCTTCGTTTCAAAACTAGACAGAATCATTCCCACAAACTGCGTTGTGATGTGTTCGTTCAACTCACAGAGTTTAACCTTTCTGTTCATAGAGCAGTTAGGAAACAGTCTGTTTGTCAATTCTGTAAGTGGATATTCTGACATCTTGTGGCCTTCGTTGGAAACGGGATTTCTTCATATTCTGCTAGACAGAAGAATTCTCAGAAACTTCGTTGTGTTGTGTGTTTTCAACTCACAGAGTTCAACGATCCTTTACACAGAGTAGACTTGAAACACTCTTTTTGTGGAATTGGCAGGGTGGAGATTTCAGCCGCTTTGAGGTCAATGGTAGAAAAGGAAATATCTTCGTATAAAAACTAGACAGAACGATTCTCAGAAACTCCATTGTGATGTGTGCGTTCAACTCACAGAGTTTAACCTTTCTTTTCATAGAGCAGTTAGGAAACACTCTGTTTGTAAAGTCTGCAAGTGGATATTCAGACCTCCTTGAGGCCTTCGTTGGAAACGGGATTTCTTCATATTCTGCTAGACAGAAGAATTCCCAGTAACTTCCTTGTGTTGTGTGTGTTCAACTCACAGTGTTGAACTTTCATTTACACAGAGCAGATTTGAAACACTCTTTTTGTGGAATTTGCAAGTGGAGATTTCAAGCGCTTTGAGGCCAAAGGCAGAAAAGGAAATATCTTCGTTTCAAAACTAGACAGAATCATTCTCAGAAACTGCTCTGCGATGTGTGCGTTCAACTCTCAGAGTTTAACTTTTCTTTTCATTCAGCAGTTTGGAAACACTCTGTTTGTAAAGTCTGCACGTGGATATTTTGACCACTTAGAGGCCTTCGTTGGAAACGGGTTTTTTTCCTGTAAGGATAGACAGAAGAATTCCCAGTAACTTCCTTGTGTTGTGTGCATTCAACTCACAGAGTTGAACGTTCCCTTAGACAGAGCAGATTTGAAACACTCTATTTGTTCAATTTGCAAGTGTAGATTTCAAGCGCTTTAAGGTCAATGACAGAAAAGGAAATATCTTCGTTTCAAAACTAGACAGAATCATTCCCACAAACTGCGTTGTGATGTGTTCGTTCAACTCACAGAGTTTAACCTTTCTGTTCATAGAGCAGTTAGGAAACACTCTGTTTGTAAAGTCTGCAAGTGGATATTCAGACCTCCTTGAGGCCTTCGTTGGAAAAGGGATTTCTTCATATTCTGCTAGACAGAAGAATTCTCAGAAACTTCCTTGTGTTGTGTGTTTTCAACTCACAGAGTTGAACGATCCTTTACACAGAGCAGACTTGAAACACTCCTTTTGTGGAATTTGCAAGTGGAGATTTCAGCCGCTTTGAGGTCAGTGGTAGATTAGGAAATATCTTCCTATAGAAACTAGACAGAATGATTCTCAGAAACTCCTTTGTGATGTGAGCGTTCAACTCACAGAGTTTAACCTTTCTTTTCATAGAGCAGTTAGGAAACACTCTGTTTGTAAAGTCTGCAAGTGGATATTCAGACATCCTTGAGGCTTTCGTTGGAAACGGGATTTCTTCATATTCTGCTAGAAAGAAGAATTCTCAGTAACTTCCTTGTGTTGTGTGTATTCAACTGACAGAGTTGAGCTTTCATTTGGAGAGAGCAGATTTGAAACACTGTTTTTGTGGAATTTGCAAGTGGAGATTTCAAGCGCTTTGGGGCCAAAGGCAGAAAAGGAAATATCTTCGTATAAAAACTAGACAGAATCATTCTCAGAAACTGCTCTGCGATGTGTGCGTTCAACTCTCAGAGTTTAACTTTTCTTTTCATTCAGCAGTTTGGAAACACTCTGTTTGTAAAGTCTGCACGTGGATATTTTGACCACTTAGAGGCCTTCGTTGGAAACGGGTTTCTTTCCTGTAAGGCTAGACAGAAGAATTCCCAGTAACTTCCTTGTGTTGTGTACATTCAACTCACAGAGTTGAACGTTCCCTTAGACAGAGCAGATTTGAAACACTCTTTTTGTGCAATTGGCAAGTGGAGATTTCAAGCGCTTTGAGGCCAAAGGCAGAAAAGGAAATATCTTCGTATAAAAACTAGACAGAATCATTCCCACAAACTGCGTTGTGATGTGTTCGTTCAACTCACAGAGTTTAACCTTTCCGTTCATAGAGCAGTTAGGAAACACTCTGTTTGTAAAGTCTGTAAGTGGATATTCTGACATCTTGTGGCCTTCGTTGGAAACGGGATTTCTTCATATTATGCTAGACAGAAGAATTCTCAGTAACTTCCTTGTGTTGTGTGTATTCAACTCACAGAGTTGAACGATTCTTTACACAGAGCAGACTTGAAACACTCTTTTTGTGGAATTTGCAAGTGGAGATTTCAGCCACTTTGAGGTCAATAGTAGAAAAGGAAATATCTTCGTAGAAAAACTAGACAGAATGATTCTCAGAAACTCCTTTGTGATGTGTGCGTTCAACTCACAGAGTTTAACCTTTCTTTTCATAGAGCAGTTAGGAAACACTCTGTTTGTAAAGTCTGCAAGTGGATATTCAGTCCTCCTTGAGGCCTTCGTTGGAAACGGGTTTTTTTCATATAAGTCTAGACAGAAGAATTCTCAGTAATTTCCTTGTGTTGTGTGTATTCAACTGACAGAGTTGAACTTTCATTTAGAGAGAGCAGATTTGAAACACTGTTTTTGTGGTATTTGCAAGTGGAGATTTCAAGCGCTTTGGGGCCAAAGGCAGAAAAGGAAATATCTTCGTATAAAAACTAGACAGAATCATTCTCAGAAACTGCTCTGCGATGTGTGCGTTCAACTCTCAGAGTTTAACTTTTCTTTTCATTCAGCAGTTTGGAAACACTCTGTTTGTAAAGTCTGCACGTGCATAATTTGACCACTTAGAGGCCTTCGTTGGAAACGGGTTTTTTTCATGTAAGGCTAGACAGAAGAATTCTCAGTAACTTCCTTGTGTTGTGTGTATTCAACTCACAGAGTTGAACGATCCTTTACACAGAGCAGACTTGAAACACTCTTTTTGTGGAATTTGCAGGTGGAGATTTCAGCCGCTTTGAGGTCAATGGTAGAATAGGAAATATCTTCCTATAGAAACTAGACAGAATGATTCTCAGAAACTCCTTTGTGATGTGTGCGTTCAACTCACAGAGTTTAACCTTCCAATTCATAGAGCAGTTAGGAAACACTCTGTTTGTAAAGTCTGCAAGTGGATATTCAGACCTCTTTGAGGCCTTCTTTGGAAACGGGATTTCTTCATTTTCTGCTAGACAGAAGAATTCTCAGTAACTTCTTTGTGTTGTGTGTATTCAACTCACAGAGTTGAACGATCCTTTACACAGAGCAGACTTGAAACACTCTTTTTGTGGAATTTCAAGTGGAGATTTCAGCCGCTTTGAGGTCAATGGTAGAATAGGAAATATCTTCCTATAGAAACTAGACAGAATGATTCTCAGAAAATCTTTTGTGATGTGTGCTTTCAACTCACAGAGTTTAACTTTTCTTCTCATAGAGCAGTTAGGAAACACTCTGTTTGTAAAGTCTGCAAGTGGATATTCAGACCTGTTTGAGGCCTTCGTTGGAAACGGGATTTCTTCATATTATGCTAGACAGAAGAATTCTCAGTAACTTCCTTGTGTTGTGTGTATTCAGCTGACAGAGTTGAACTTTCATTTAGAGAGAGCAGATTTGAAACACTGTTTTTGTGGAATTTGCAATTGGAGATTTCAAGCGCTTTGGGGCCAAAGGCAGAAAAGGAAATATCTTCGTATAAAAACTAGACAGAATCATTCTCAGAAACTGCTGCGTGATGTGTGCGTTCAACTCTCAGAGTTTAACTTTTCTTTTCATTCAGCGGTTTGGAGACACTCTGTTTGTAAAGTCTGCAAGTGGATATTTTGACCACTTAGAGGCCTTCGTTGGAAACGGGTTTTTTTCATGTAAGGCTAGACAGAAGAGTTCTCAGTAACTTCCTTGTGTTGTGTGTATTCAACTCACACAGTTGAACGATCCTTTACAGAGAGCGGACTTGTAACACTCTTTTTGTGGAATTTGCAAGTGGAGATTTCAGCCGCTTTGAAGTCAAAGGTAGAAAAGGGAATATCTTCCTATAAAAACTAGACAGAATCATTCCCAGAAACTGCGTTGCGATGTGTTCGTTCAACTCACAGAGTTTAACCTTTCTTTTCATAGAGCACTTAGGAAACAGTCT
Source organism: Homo sapiens (assembly GCF_000001405.40). Lineage (NCBI taxonomy): Eukaryota > Metazoa > Chordata > Mammalia > Primates > Hominidae > Homo > Homo sapiens. Next base: position 48,699,691 of record NC_000005.10, read on the forward strand.
GTTTGTAAATTCTGTAAGTGGATATTCTGACATCTTGTGGCCTTCGTTGGAAACGGGATTTCTTCATATTCTGCTAGACAGAAGAATTCTCAGTAACTTCCTTGTGTTGTGTGTATGCATCTCACAGAGTTGAACGATCCTTTACACAGAGCAGACTTGAAACACTCTTTTTGTGGAATTTGCAAGTGGAGATTTCAGCCGCTTTGAGGTCAATGGTAGAAAAGGAAATATCTTCCTATAAAAACTAGACAGAATGATTCTCAGAAACTCCTTTGTGATGTGTGTGTTCAACTCGCAGAGTTTAACCTTTCTTTTCATAGAGCAGTTAGTAAACACTCTGTTTATAAAGTCTGCAAGTGGATATTCAGACCCCTTTGAGGCCTTCGTTGGAAACGGGATTTCTTCATATTATGCTAGACAGAAGAATTCTCAGAATCTTCCTTGTGTTGTGTGTATTCAACTCACAGAGTTGAACGATGGTTTACACAGAGCAGATTTGAAACACACTTTTTGTGGAATTTGCAAGTGGAGATTTCAAGCGCTTTGAGGCCAAAGGCAGAAAAGGAAATATCTTCGTATAAAAACTAGACAGAATCACTCTCAGAAACTGCTCTGCGATGTGTGCGTTCAACTCTCAGAGTTTAACTTTTCTTTTCATTCAGCAGTTTGGAAACACTCTGTTTGTAAAGTCTGCACGTGGATATTTTGACCAATCAGAGGCCTTCGTTGGAAACGGGTTTTTTTCCTGTAAGGCTAGACAGAAGAATTCTCAGTAACTTCCTTGTGTTGTGTGTATTCAACTGACAGAGTTGAACTTTCATTTAGAGAGAGGAGATTTGAAACACTGTTTTTGTGGAATTTGCAAGTGGAGATTTCAAGCGCTTTAAGGTCAATGGCAGAAAAGGAAATATCTTCGTTTCAAAACTAGACAGAATCATTCCCACAAACTGCGTTGTGATGTGTTCCTTCAACTCACAGAGTTTAAGCTTTCTGTTCATAGAGCAGTTAGGAAACACTCTGTTTGTAAAGTCTGTAAGTGGATATTCTGACATCTTGTGGCCTTCGTTGGAAACGGGATTTCTTCATATTATGCTAGACAGAAGAATTCTCAGTAACTTCCTTGTGTTGTGTGTATTCAACTCACAGAGTTGAACGATCCTTTACACAGAGCAGACTTGTAACACTCTTTTTGTGGAATTTGCAAGTGGAGATTTCAGGGGCTTTGAAGTCAAAGGTACAAAAGGAAATATCTTCCTATAAAAACTAGACAGAATGATTCTCAGAAACTCCTTTGTGATGTGTGCGTTCAACTCACAGAGTTTAACCTTTCTTTTCATAGAGCAGTTAGGAAACACTCTGTTTGTAAAGTCTGCAAGTGGATATTCAGACCTCTTTGAGGCCTTCGTTGGAAACGGGTTTTTTACATATAACGCTAAACAGAAGAATTCCCAGTAACTTCCTTGTGTTGTGTGTGTTCAACTCACAGAGTTGAACTTTCATTTACACAGAGCAGATTTGAAACACTCTTTTTGTGGAATTTGCAAGTTTAGATTTCAAGCGCTTTGAGGCCAAAGGCAGAAAAGGAAATATCTTCGTATAAAAACTAGACAGAATCATTCTCAGAAACTGCTCTGCGATGTGTGCGTTCAACTCTCAGAGTTCAACTTTTCTTTTCATTCAGCAGTTTGGAAACACTCTGTTTGTAAAGTCTGCACGTGGATAATTTGACTACTTAGAGGCCTTCGTTGGAAACGGGTTTTTTTCATGTAAGGCTACACAGAAGAATTCCCAGTAACTTCCTTGTGTTGTGTACATTCAACTCACAGAGTTGAACGTTCCCTTAGACAGAGCAGATTTGAAACACTCTTTTTGTGCAATTGGCAAATGGAGATTTCAAGCGCTTTAAGTTCAATGGCAGAAAAGGAAATATCTTCGTTTCAAAACTAGACAGAATCATTCCCACAAACTGCGTTGTGATGTGTTCGTTCAACTCACAGAGTTTAACCTTTCTTTTCATAGAGCAGTTAGGAAACAGTCTGTCAATTCTGTAAGTGGATATTCTGACCTCTAGTGGCCTTCGTTGGAAACGGGATTTCTTCATATTCTGCTAGACAGAAGAATTCTCAGAATCTTCCTTGTGTTGTGTGTATTCAACTCACAGAGTTGAACGATCCTTTACACAGAGCAGACTTGAAACACTCTTTTTGTGGAATTTGCAAGTGGAGATTTCAGCCGCTTTGAGGTCAATGGTAGAAAAGGAAATATTTTCGTATAAAAACTAGACAGAATGATTCTCATAAACTCCTTTGTGATGTGTGCGTTCAACTCACAGAGTTTAACCTTTCTTTTCATAGAGCAGTTAGGAAACACTCTGTTTGTAAAGTCTGCAAGTCGATATTCAGACCTCTTTGAGGCCTTCGTTGGAAACGGGATTTCTTCATATTCTGCTAGACAGAAGAATTCTCAGTAACTTCCTTGTGTTGTGTGTATTCAACTGACAGAGTTGAACTTTCATTTAGAGAGAGCAGATTTGAAACACTGTTTTTGTGGAATTTGCAAGTGGAGATTTCATGCGCTTTCGGGCCAAAGGCAGAAAAGGAAATATCTTCGTATAAAAACTAGACAGAATCATTCTCAGAAACTGCTCTGCGATGTGTGCGTTCAACTCTCAGAGTTTAACTTTTCTTTTCATTCAGCAGTTTGGAAACACTCTGTTTGTAAAGTCTGCACGTGGATATTTTGACCACTTAGAGGCCTTCGTTGGAAACGGTTTTTTTCATGTAAGGCTAGACAGAAGAATTCCCAGTAACTTCCTTGTGTTGTGTGCATTCAACTCACAGAGTTGAACGTTCCCTTAGACAGAGCAGATTTGAAACACTCTATTTGTGCAATTTGCAAGTGTAGATTTCAAGCGCTTTAAGGTCAACGGCAGAAAAGGAAATACCTTCGTTTCAAAAGTAGACAGAATCATTCCCACAAACTGCGTTGTGATGTGTTCGTTCAACTCACAGAGTTTAACCTTTCTTTTCATAGAGCAGTTAGGAAACAGTCTGTTTGTAAATTCTGTAAGTGGATATTCTGACATCTTGTGGCCTTCGTTGGAAACGGGATTTTATCATATTCTGCTAGACAGAAGATTCTCAGTAACTTCCTTGTGTTGTGTGTATTCAACTCACAGAGTTGAACGATCCTTTACACAGAGCGGACTTGAAACAAACTTTTTGTGGAATTTGCAAGTGGAGATTTCAGCCGCGTTGAGGTCAATGGTAGAAAAGGAAATATCTTCGTATAAAAACTAGACAGAATGATTCTCAGAAACTCCTTTGTGATGTGTGCGTTCAACTCACAGAGTTTAACCTTTCTTTTCATAGAGCAGTTAGGAAACACTCTGCTTGTAAAGTCTGCAAGTGGATATTCAGCCCTCTTTGAGGCCATCGTTGGAAACGGGTTTTTTTCATATAAGGCTAGACAGAAGAATTCTCAGTAACTTCCTTGTGTTGTGTGTATTCAAGTGACAGAGTTGAACTTTCATTTAGAGAGAGCAGATTTGAAACACTGTTTTTGTGGAATTTGCAAGTGGAGATTTCAAGCGCTTTGGGGCCAAAGGCAGAAAAGGAAATATCTTCGTATAAAAACTAGACAGAATCATTCTCAGAAACTGCTCTGCGATGTGTGCGTTCAACTCTCAGAGTTTAACTTTTCATTCAGCAGTTTGGAAACACTCTGTTTGTAAAGTCTGCGCGTGGATAACTTGACCATTTAGAGGCCTTCGTTGGAAACGGGTTTTTTTCATGTAAGGCTAGACAGAAGAATTCCCAGTAACTTCCTTGTGTTGTGTGCATTCAACTCACAGAGTTGAACGTTCCCTTGGACAGAGCAGATTTGAAACACTCTATTTGTGCAATTTGCAAGTGTAGATTTCAAGCGCTTTATGGTCAATGGCAGAAAAGGAAATATCTTCGTTTCAAAACTAGACAGAATCATTCCCACAAACTGCGTTGTGATGTGTTCGTTCAACTCACAGAGTTTAACCTTTCTGTTCATAGAGCAGTTAGGAAACGCTCTGTTTGTAAAGTCTGTAAGTGGATATTCTGACATCTTGTGGCCTTCGTTGGAAACGGGATTTCTTCATATTCTGCTAGACAGAAGAATTCTCAGTAACTTCCTTGTGTTGTGTGTATTCAACTCACAGAGTTGAACGATGCTTTACACAGAGCATACTTGAAACACTCTTCTTGTGGAATTTGCAAGTGGAGATTTCAGCCGCTTTGAGGTCAATGGTAGAATAGGAAATATCTTCCTATAGAAACTAGACAGAATGATTCTCAGAAACTTCTTTGTGATGTGTGCGTTCAACTCACAGAGTTTAACCTTTCTTTTCATAGAGCAGTTAGGAAACACTCTGTTTGTAAACTCTGCAAGTGGATATTCAGACCTCTTTGAGGCCTTCGTTGGAAACGGGATTTCTTCATACTATGCTACACAGAAGAATTCCCAGTAACTTCCTTGTGTTGTGTGTGTTCAACTCGCAGAGTTGAACTTTCATTTACACAGAGCAGATTTGAAACACTCTTTTTGTGGAATTTGCAAATGGAGATTTCAAGCGCTTTGAGGCCAAAGGCAGAAAAGGAAATATCTTCGTATAAAAACCAGACAGAATCATTCTCAGAAACTACTGCGTGATGTGTGCGTTCAACTCTCAGAGTTTAACTTTTCTTTTCATTCAGCGGTTTGGAAACACTTTGTTTGTAAAGTCTGCACGTGGATATTTTGACCACCTAGAGGCCTTCGTTGGAAACGGGTTTTTTTCATGTAAGGCTAGACAGAAGAATTCCCAGTAACTTCCTTGTGTTGTGTACATTCAACTCACAGAGTTCAACGTTCCCTTAGACAGAGCAGATTTGAAACACTCTTTTTGTGCAATTGGCAAGTGGAGATTTCAAGCGCTTTAAGGTCAATGGCAGAAAAGGAAATATCTTCGTTTCAAAACTAGACAGAATCATTCCCACAAACTGCGTTGTGATGTGTTCGTTCAACTCACAGAGTTTAACCTTTCTTTTCATAGAGCAGTTAGGAAACACTCTGTTGGTAAATTCTGTAAGTGGATATTCTGACATCTTGTGGCCTTCGTTGGAAACAGGATTTCTTCATATTCTGCTACACAGAAGAATTCTCAGAAACTTCCTTGTGTTGTGTGTATTCAACTCTCAGAGTTGAACGACCCTTTACACAGAGCAGACTTGAAACACTCTTTTTGTGGAATTTGCAAGTGGAGATTTCAGCCGCTTTGAGGTCAATGGTAGAAAAGGAAATATCTTCGTATAAAAACTAGACAGAATGATTCTCAGAAACTCCTTTGTGATGTGTGTGTTCAACTCTGAGAGTTTAACCTTTCTTTTCATAGAGCAGTTAGGAAACACTCTGTTTATAGAGTCTGCAAGTGGATATTCAGACCCCTTTGTGGTCTTCTTTGGAAACGGATTTCTTCATATTATGCTAGACAGAAGAATTCTCAGTAACTTCCTTGTGTTGTGTGTATTCAACTGACAGAGTTGAACTTTCATTTAGAGGGAGCAGATTAGAAACACTGTTTTTGTGGAATTTGCAAGTGCAGATTTCAAGCGCTTTGTGGCCAAAGGCAGAAAAGGAAATATCTTCGTATGAAAACTAGACAGAATCATTCTCAGAAACTGCTCTGTGATGTGTGCGTTCAACTCTCAGAGTTTAACTTTTCTTTTCATTCAGCAGTTTGGAAACACTCTGTTTGTAAAGTCTGCACGTGGATAATTTGACCACTTAGAGGCCTTCGTTGGAAACGGGTTTTTTTCATGTAAGGCTAGACAGAAGAATTCCCAGTAACTTCCTTGTGTTGTGTGCATTCAACTCAGAGAGTTGAACTTTCCTTTAGACAGAGCAGATTTGAAACACTCTATTTGTGCAATTTGCAAGTGTAGATTTCAAGCGCTTTAAGGTCAATGGCAGAAAAGGAAATATCTTCGTTTCAAAACTAGACAGAATCATTCCCACAAACTGCGTTGTGATGTGTTCGTTCAACTCACAGAGTTTAACTTTTCTGTTCATAGAGCAGTTAGGAAACACTCTGTTTGTAAAGTCTACAAGTGGATATTCAGACCTCCTTGAGGCCTTCGTTGGAAACGGGATTTCTTCATATTCTGCTAGACCGAAGAATTCTCAGAATCTTCCTTGTGTTGTGTGTATTCAACTCACACAGTTGAACGATGGTTTACACAGAGCAGATTTGAAACACTCTTTTTGTGGAATTTGCAAGTGGAGATTTCAGCCGCGTTGAGGTCAATGGTAGAAAAGGAAATATCTTCGTATAAAAACTAGACAGCATGATTCTCAGAAACTCCTTTGTGATGTGTGCGTTCAATTCACAGAGTTTAACTTTTCTTTTCATAGAGCAGTTAGGAAACACTCTGTTTGTAAAGTCTGAAAGTGGATATTCAGACCTCTTTGTGGCCTTCGTTGGAAACGGGATTTCTTCATATTCTGCTAGACAGAAGAATTCTCAGTAACTTCCTTGTGTTGTGTGTATTCAACTCACAGAGTTGAACGATCCTTTACACAGAGCAGACTTGAAACACTCTTTTTGTGGAATTTGCAAGTGGAGATTTCAAGCGCTTCGGGGCCAAAGGCAGAAAAGGAAATATCTTCGTATAAAAACTAGACAGAATCATTCTCAGAAACTGCTGCGTGATGTGTGCGTTCAACTCTCAGAGTTTAACTTTTCTTTTCATTCAGCGGTTTGGAAACACTCTGTTTGTAAAGTCTGCACGTGGAAATTTTGACCACTTAGAGGCCTTCGTTGGAAACGGGATTTTTTCATGTAAGGCTAGACAGAATAATTCCCGGTAACTTCCTTGTGTTGTGTACATTCAACTTACAGAGTTGAACGTTCCCTTGGACAGAGCAGATTTGAAACACTCTTTTTGTGCAATTGGCAAGTGGAGATTTCAAGCGCTTAAGGTCAATGGCAGAAAAGGAAATATCTTCGTTTCAAAACTAGACAGAATCATTCCCACAAACTGCGTTGTGATGTGTTCGTTCAACTCACAGAGTTTAACCTTTCTGTTCATAGAGCAGTTAGGAAACACTCTGTTTGTAAAGTCTGTAAGTGGATATTCTGATATCTTGTGGCCTTCGTTGGAAACGGGATTTCTTCATATTCTGCTAGACAGAAGAATTCTCAGAAACTTCCTTGTGTTGTGTGTATTCAACTCACAGAGTTGAACGATCGTTTACACAGAGCAGACTTGAGACCCTCTTTTTGTGGAATTTGTAAGTGGAGATTTCAGCCGCTTTGAGGTCAATGGTAGAAAAGGAAATATCTTCATATAAAAACTAGACAGAATGATTCTCAGAAACTCCTTTGTGATGTGTGTGTTCAACTCACAGAGTTTAACCTTTCCTTTCATAGAGCAGTTAGTAAACACTCTGTTTATAAAGTCTGCAAGTGGATATTCAGACCCCTTTGAGGCCTTCGTTGGAAACGGGATTTCTTCATATTATGCTAGACAGAAGAATTCCCAGTAACTTCTTTGTGTTGTGTGTGTTCAACTCACAGAGTTGAACTTTGATTTACACAGAGCAGATTTGAAACACTCTTTTTGTGGAATTTGCAAGTGGAGATTTCAAGCGCTTTGAGGCCAAAGGCAGAAAAGGAAATATCTTCGTATAAAAACTAGACAGAATCATTCTCAGCAATCTGCTGCGTGATGTGTGCGTTCAACTCTCAGAGTTTAACTTTTCTTTTCATTCAGCGGTTTGGAAACACTCTGTTTGTAAAGTCTGCACGTGGATATTTTGACCACTTAGAGGCCTTCGTTGGAAACGGGTTTTTTTCATGTAAGGCTAGACAGAAGAATTCCCAGTAACTTCCTTGTGTTGTGTACATTCAACTCACAGAGTTGAACGTTCCCTTAGACAGAGCAGATTTGAAACACTCTTTTTGTGCAATTGGCAAGTGGAGATTTCAAGCGCTTTAAGGTCAATGGCAGAAAAGGAAATATCTTCGTTTCAAAACTAGACAGAATCATTCCCACAAACTGCGTTGTGATGTGTTCGTTCATCTCACAGAGTTTAACCTTTCTTTTCATAGAGCAGTTAGGAAACAGTCTGTTTGTAAATTCTTTAAGTGGATATTCTGACATCTTGTGGCCTTCGTTGGAAACGGGATTTCTTCATATTCTGCTAGACAGAAGGATTCTCAGTAACTTCCTTGTGTTGTGTGTATTCAACTCACAGAGTTGAACGATCCTTTACACAGAGCAGACTTGAAACACTCTTTTTGTGAAATTTGCAAGTGGAGATTTCAGCCGCTTTGAGGTCAATAGTAGAAAAGGAAATATCTTCGTAGAAAAACTAGACAGAATGATTCTCAGAAACTCCTTTCTGATGTGTGCATTCAACTCACAGAGTTTCACCTTTCTTTTCATAGAGCAGTTAGGAAACACTCTGTTTGTAAAGTCTGCAAGTGGATATTCAGACCTCCTTGAGGCCTTCGTTGGAAACGGGATTTCTTCATATTCTACTAGACAGAATCATTCTCAGAAACTGCTGCGTGATGTGTGCGTTCAACTCTCAGAGTTTAACTTTTCTTTTCATTCAGCGGTTTGGAAACACTCTGTTTCTAAAGTCTGCACGTGGAAATTTTGACCACTTAGAGGCCTTCGTTGGAAACGGGTTTTTTTCATGTAAGGCTAGACAGAAGAATTCCCAGTAACTTTCCTTGTGTTGTGTGCATTCAACTCACAGAGTTGAACGTTCCCTTAGACCGAGCAGATTTGAAACACTCTATTTGTGCAATTTGCAAGTGTAGTTTTCAAGCTCTTTAAGGTCAACGGCAGAAAAGGAAATATCTTCGTTTCAAAACTAGACAGAATCATTCCCACAAACTGCGTTGTGATGTGTTCGTTCAACTCACAGAGTTTAACCTTTCTGTTCATAGAGCAGTTAGGAAACACTCTGTTTGTAAAGTCTGCAAGTGGATATTCAGACCTCCTAGAGGCCTTCGTTGGAAACAGGATTTCTTCATATTCTGCTAGACAGAAGAATTCTCAGTAACTTCCTTGTGTTGTGTTTATTCAACTCACAGAGTTGAATGATCCTTTACACAGAGCAGACTTGAAACACTCTTTTTGTGGAATTTGCAAGTGGAGATTTCAGCCGCTTTGTGGTCAATGGTAGAAAAGGAAATATCTTCGTATAAAGACTAGACAGAATGATTCTCAGAAACTCCTTTGTGATGTGTGTGTTCAACTCACAGAGTTTAACCTTTCTTTTCATAGAGCAGTTAGGAAACACTCTGTTTGTAAAGTCTGCAAGTGGATATTCAGACCTCTTTGAGGCCTTCGTTGGAAACTGGTTTTTTTCATGTAAGGCTAGACAGAAGATTTCCCAGTAACTTCCTTGTGTTGTGTGTGTTCAACTCACAGAGTTGAACTTTCATTTACACAGAGCAGATTTGAAACACTCTTTTTGTGGAATTTGCAAATGGAGATTTCAAGCGCTTTGAGGCCAAAGGCAGAAAAGGAAATATCTTCGTATGAAAACTAGACAGAATCATTCTCAGAAACTGCTCTGCGATGTGTGCGTTCAACTCTCAGAGTTTAACTTTTCTTTTCATTCAGCAGTTTGGAAACACTCTGTTTGTAAAGTCTGCACGTGGATATGTTGACCACTTAGAGGCCTTCGTTGGAAACGGGTTTCTTTCCTGTAAGGCTAGATAGAAGAATTCCCAGTAACTTCCTTGTGTTGTGTACATTCAACTCACAGAGTTGAACGTTCCCTTAGACAGAGCAGATTTGAAACACTCTTTTTGTGCAATTGGCAAGTGGAGATTTCAAGCGCTTTAAGGTCAATGGCAGAAAAGGAAATATCTTCGTTTCAAAACTAGACAGAATCATTCCCACAAACTGCGTTGTGATGTGTTCGTTCAACTCACAGAGTTTAACCATTCTGTTCATAGAGCAGTTAGGAAACACTCTGTTTGTAAAGTCTGTAAGTGGATATTCTGACATCTTGTGGCCTTCGTTGGAAAAGGGATTTATTCATATTCTGCTAGACAGAAGAATTCTCAGTAACTTCCTTGTGTTGTGTTTATTCAACTCACAGAGTTGAATGATCCTTTACACAGAGCAGACTTGAAACACTGTTTTTGTGGAATTTGCAAGTGGAGATTTCAGCCGCTTTGAAGTCAATGGTAGAAAAGTAAATATCTTCGTATAAAAACTAGACAGAATGATTCTCAGAAACTCCTTTGTGATGTGTGCGTTCAACTCACAGAGTTTAACCTTTCTTTTCATAGAGCAGTTAGGAAACACTCTGTTTGTAAAGTCTGCAAGTGGATATTCAGACATCTTTGAGGCTTTCGTTGGAAACGGGATTTCTTCGTATTCTGCTATACAGAAGAATTCTCAGTAACTTCCTTGTGTTGTGTGTATTCAACTGACAGAGTTGAACTTTCATTTAGGTAGAGCAGATTTGAAACACTGTTTTTGTGGAATTTGCAAGTGGAGATTTCAAGCGCTTTGGGGCCAAAGGCAGAAAAGGAAATATCTTCGTATAAAAACTAGACAGAATCATTCTCAGAAACTGCTGCGTGATGTGTGCGTTCAACTCTCAGAGTTTAACTTTTCTTTTCATTCAGCGGTTTGGAAACACTCTGTTTGTAAAGTCTGCACGTGGAAATTTTGACCACTTAGAGGCCTTCGTTGGAAACGGGATTTTTTCATGTAAGGCTAGACAGAAGAATTCCCAGTAACTTCCTTGTGTTGTGTGCATTCAACTCACAGAGTTGAACGTTCCCTTAGACAGAGCAGATTTGAAACACTCTATTTCTGCAATTTGCAAGTGTAGTTTTCAAGCTCTTTAAGGTCAACGGCAGAAAAGGAAATATCTTCGTTTCAAAACTAGACAGAATGATTCTCAGAAACTCCTTTGTGATGTGTGCGTTCAACTCACAGAGTTTAACCTTTCTTTTCATAGAGCAGTTAGGAAACACTCTGTTTGTAAAGCCTGCAAGTGGATATTCAGACATCCTTGAGGCTTTCGTTGGAAACGGGATTTCTTCATATTCTGCTAGAAAGAAGAATTCTGAGTAACTTCCTTGTGTTGTGTGTATTCAACTCACAGAGTTGAACGATCCTTTACACAGAGCAGACTTGTAACACTCTTTTTGTGGAATTTGCAAGTGGAGATTTCAGCCACTTTGAAGTCAAAGGTAGAAAAGGAAATAAGTTCCTATAAAAACTAGACAGAATGATTCTCAGAAAATCCTTTGTGATGTGTGCGTTCAACTCACAGAGTTTAACTTTTGTTTTCATAGAGCAGTTAGGAAACACTCTGTTTGTAAAGTCTGCAAGTGGATATTCAGACCTCTTTGAGGCCTTCATTGGAAACGGGATTTCTTCATATTATGCTAGACAGAAGAATTCCCAGTAACTTCCTTGTGTTGTGTGTTTTTTAAGTCACAGAGTTGAACTTTCATTTACACAGAGCAGATTTGAAACACTCTTTTTGTGGAATTTGCAAGTGGAGATTTCAAGTGCTTTGAGGCCAATGGCAGAAAAGGAAATATCTTCGTATAAAAACTAGACAGAATCATTCTCAGAAACTGCTCTGCGATGTGTGCGTTCAACTCTCAGAGTTTAACTTTTCTTTTCATTCAACAGTTTGAAAACACTCTGTTTGTAAAGTCTGCACGTGGATATTTTGACCACTTAGAGGCCTTCGTTGGAAACGGGTTTTTTTCCTGTAAGGCTAGACAGAAGAATTCTCAGTAACTTCCTTCTGTTGTGTGTATTCAACTCACAGAGTTCAACGATCCTTTACACAGAGCAGACTTGAAACACTCTTTTTGTGGAATTTGCAAGTGGACATTTCAGCCGCTTTGAGGTCAATGGTAGAAAAGGATATATCTTCGTATAAAAACTAGACAGAATTATTCTCAGAAACTCCTTTGTGATGTGTGCGTTCAACTCACAGAGTTTAACCTTTCTTTTCGTAGAGCAGTTAGGAAACACTCTGTTTGTAAAGTCGGCAAGTGGATATTCAGACCTCTTTGGGGCCATCGTTGGAAATGGGATTTCTTCATATTCTGCTAGACAGAAGAATTCTCAGTAACTTCCTTGTGTTGTGTGTATTCAACTGACAGAGTTGAACGATCCTTTACACAGAGCAGACTTGAAACACACTTTTTGTGGATTTTGCAAGTGGAGATTTCAGCCTCTTTGAGATCAATGGTAGAATAGGAAATATCTTCCTATAGAAACTAGACAGAATGATTCTCAGAAACTCCTTTGTGATGTGTGCGTTCAAGTCACAGAGTTTAACCTTTCTTTTCATAGAGCAGTTAGGAAACACTCTGTTTGTAAAGTCTGCAAGTGGATATTCAGACCTCTTTGAGGCCTTCGTTGGAAACGGGTTTTTTTCATATAAGGCTAGACAGAAGAATTCTCAGTAACTTCCTTGTGTTGTGTGTATTCAACTGACAGAGTTGAACTTTCATTTAGAGAGAGCAGATTTGAAACACTGTTTTTGTGGAATTTGCAAGTGGAGATTTCAAGCCCTTTGGGGCCAAAGGCAGAAAAGGAAATATCTTCGTGTAAAAATTAGACAGAATCATTCTCAGAAACTGCTGCGTGATGTGTGCGTTCAACTCTCAGAGTTTAACTTTTCTTTTCATTCAGCGGTTTGGAAACACTCTGTTTGTAAAGTCTGCACGTGGATATTTTGACCACTTAGAGGCCTTCGTTGGAAACGGGTTTTTCTCATGTAAGGCTAGACAGAAGAATTCCCAGTAACTTCCTTGTGTTGTGTACATTCAACTCACAGAGTTGAACGTTCCCTTAGACAGAGGAGATTTGAAACACTCTTTTTGTGCAATTGGCAAGTGGAGATTTCAAGCGCTTTAAGGTCAATGGCAGAAAAGGAAATATCTTCGTTTCAAAACTAGACAGAATGATTCTCAGAAACTACTTTGTGATGTGTGCGTTCAACTCACAGAGTTTAACCTTTCTTTTCCTAGAGTAGTTAGGAAACACTCTGTTTGTAAAGTCTGCAAGTGGATATTCAGACCTCTTTGTGGCCTTCATTGGAAACGGGATTTCTTCATATTATGCTAGACAGAAGAATTCTCAGTAACTTCCTTGTGTTGTGTGCATTCATATCACAGAGTTGAACGATCCTTTACGCAGAGCAGATTAGAAACACTCTTTTTGTGGAACTTGCAATTGGAGATTTCAGCCGCTTTGAGGTCAATGGTAGAAAAGGAAATATCTTTGTATAAAAACTAGACAGAATGATTCTCAGAAACTCCTTTGTGATGTGTGCGTTCAACTCACAGAGTTTAACCTTTCTTTTCATAGAGCAGTTAGGAAACACTCTGTTTGTAAAGTCTGCAAGTGGATATTCAGACCTCTTTGAGGCCTTCGTTGGAAACGGGTTTTTTTCATATAAGCCTAGACAGAAGAATTCCCAGTAACTTCCTTGTGTTGTGTGTGTTCAACTCACAGAGTTGAACTTTCATTTACACAGAGCAGATTTGAAACACTCTTTTTGTGGAATTTGCAGGTGGAGATTTCAAGCGCTTTGAGGCCAAAGGCAGAAAACGAAATATCTTCGTATAAAAACTAGACAGAATCATTCTCAGAAAGTGCTCTGCGATGTGTGTGTTCAACTCTCAGAGTTTAACTTTTCTTTTCATTCAGCAGTTTGGAAGCACTCTGTTTGTAAAGTCTGCACGTGGATAATTTGACCACTTAGAGGCCTTCGTTGGAAACGGGTTTTTTTCCTGTAAGGCTAGACAGAAGAATTCCCAGTAACTTCCTTGTGTTGTGTACATTCAACTCACAGAGTTGAACGTTCCCTTAGACAGAGCAGATTTGAAACACTCTTTTTGTGCAATTGGCAAGTGGAGATTTCAAGCGCTTTGAGGTCAATGGCAGAAAAGGAAATATCTTCGTTTCAAAAGTAGACAGAATCATTCCCACAAACTGCGTTGTGATGTGTTCGTTCAACTCACAGAGTTTAACCTTTCTGTTCATAGAGCAGTTAGGAAACACTCTGTTTGTAAACTCTGTAAGTGGATATTCTGACATCTTGTGGCCTTCGTTGGAAACGGGATTTCTTCACATTCTGCTAGACAGAAGAATTCTCAGTAACTTCCTTGTGTTGTGTGTATTCAACTCACAGAGTTGAACGATCCTTTACACAGAGCAGACTTGTAACACTCTTTTTGTGGAATTTGCAAGTGGAGATTTCAGCCGCTTTGACGTCAAAGGTAGAAAAGGAAATATCTTCCTATAAAAACTAGGCAGAATGATTCTCAGAAAATCTTTTGTGATGTGTGCGTTCAACTCACAGAGTTTAACTTTTGTTCTCATAGAGCAGTTAGGAAACACTCTGTTTGTAAAGTGTGCAAGTGGATATTCAGACCTCTTTGAGGCCTTCGTTGGAAACGGGATTTCTTCATATTCTGCTAGACAGAAGAATTCCCAGTAACTTCCTTGTGTTGTGTGTGTTCAACTCACAGAGTTGAACGATCCTTTACACAGAGCAGACTTGTAACACTCTTTTTGTGGAATTTGCAAATGGAGATTTCAAGCGCTTTGAGGCCAAAGGCAGAAAAGGAAATATCTTCGTATAAAAACTAGACAGAATCATTCTCAGAAACTGCTCTGCGATGTGTGCGTTCAACTCTCAGTGTTTAACTTTTCTTTTCATTCAGCAGTTTGGAAACACTCTGTTTGTAAAGTCTGCACGTGGATAACTTGACCACTTAGAGGCCTTCGTTGGAAACGGGTTTTTTTCATGTAAGGCTAGACAGAAGAATTCTCAGTAACTTCCTTGTGTTGTGTGTATTCAACTGACAGAGTTGAACGATCCTTTACACAGAGCAGACTTGTAACACTCTTTTTGTGGAATTTGCAAGTGGAGATTTCAGCCGCTTTGAAGTCAAAGGTAGAAAAGGAAATATCTTCCTATAAACACTAGACAGAATCATTCCCACAAACTGCGTTGTGATGTGTTCGTTCATCTCACAGAGTTTAACCTTTCTTTTCATAGAGCAGTTAGGAAACAGTCTGTTTGAAAATTCTGTAAGGGGATATTCTGACATCTTGTGGCCTTCGTTGGAAACGGGATTTCTTCATATTCTGCTAGACAGAAGAATTCTCAGTAACTTCCTTGTCTTGTGTGTATTCAACTCACAGAGTTGAACGATCCTTTACACAGAGCAGACTTGAAACACTCTTTTTGTGGAATTTGCAAGTGGAGATTTCAGCCGCTTTGAGGTCAATGGTAGAAAAGGAAATATCTTCGTATAAAAACTAGACAGAATGATTCTCAGAAACTCCTTTGTGATGTGTGTGTTCAACTCACAGAGTTTAACCTTTCTTTTCATAGAGCAGTTAGTAAACACTCTGTTTATAAATTCTGCAAGTGGATATTCAGACCCCTTTGAGGCCTTCGTTGGAAACGGGATTTCTTCATATTATGCTAGACAGAAGAGTTCCCAGTAACTTCCTTGTGTTGTGTGTGTTCAACTCACAGAGTTGAACTTTCATTTACACAGAGCAGATTTGAAACACTCTTTTTGTGGAATTTGCAAGTGGAGATTTCAAGCGCTTTGAGGACAAAGGCAGAAAAGGAAATATCTTCGTATAAAAACTAGACAGAATCATTCTCAGAAACTGCTCTGTGATGTGTGCGTTCAACTCTCAGAGTTTAACTTTTCTTTTCATTCAGCAGTTTGGAAACACTCTGTTTCTAAAGTCTGCACGTGGATAATTTGACCACTTAGAGGCCTTCGTTGGAAACGGGTTTTTTTCATGTAAGGCTAGACAGAAGAATTCCCAGTAACTTCCTTGTGTTGTGTACATTCAACTCACAGAGTTGAACGTTCCCTTAGACAGAACACATTTGAAACACTCTTTTTGTGCAATTGGCAAGTGGTGATTTCAGCCGCTTTGAGGTCAATGGTAGAAAACGAAATATCTTCGTATAAAAACTAGACAGAATCATTCCCACAAACTGCGTTGTGATGTGTTCGTTCAACTCACAGAGTTTAACCTTTCTGTTCATAGAGCAGTTAGGAAACACTCTGTTTGTAAAGTCTGTAAGTGGATATTCTGACATCTTGTGGTCTTCGTTGGAAACGGGATTTCTTCATATTCTGCTAGACAGAAGAATTCTCAGTCACTTCCTTGTGTTGTGTGTATTCAACTCACAGAGTTGAACGATCCTTTACACAGAGCAGACTTGAAACACTCTTTTTGTGGAATTTGCAAGTGGAGATTTCAGCCGCTTTGAGGTCAATTGTAGAATAGGATATATCTTCGTATAGAAACTAGACAGAATGATTCTCAGAAACTCCTTAGTGATGTGTGCGTTCAACTCACAGAGTTTAACCTTTCTGTTCATAGAGCAGTTAGGAAACACTCTGTTTGTAAAGTCTGCAAGTGGATATTCAGACCTCCTTGAGGCCTTCGTTGGAAACGGGATTTCTTCATATTCTGCTAGACAGAAGAATTCCCAGTAACTTCCTTGTGTTGTGTGTGTTCAACTCACAGAGTTGAACTTTCATTTACACAGAGCAGATTTGAAACACTCTTTTTGTGGAATTTGCAAATGGAGATTTCAAGCGGTTTGAGGCCAAAGGCAGAAAAGGAAATATCTTCGTATAAAAACTAGACAGAATCATTCTCAGAAACTGCTGCGTGATGTGTGCGTTCAACTCTCAGAGTTTAACTTTTCTTTTCATTCAGCGGTTTGGAAACACTCTGTTTGTAAAGTCTGCACGAGGAAATTTTGACCACTTAGAGGCCTTCGTTGGAAACGGGTTTTTTTCATCTAAGGCTAGACAGAAGAATTCCCAGTAACTTCCTTGTGTTGTGTGCATTCAACTCACAGAGTTGAACGTTACCTTAGACAGAGCAGATTTGAAACACTCTATTTGTGCAATTTGCAAGTGTAGATTTCAAGCGCTTTAAGGTCAACGGCAGAAAAGGAAATATCTTCGTTTCAAAACTAGACAGAATCATTCCCACAAACTGCGTTGTGATGTGTTCGTTCAACTCACAGAGTTTAACCTTTCTGTTCATAGAGCAGTTAGGAAACACTCTGTTTGTAAAGTCTGTAAGTGGATATTCTGACATCTTGTGGCCTTCGTTGGAAACGGGATTTCTTCATATTCTGCTAGACAGAAGAATTCTCAGAAACTTCCTTGTGTTGTGTGTTTTCAACTCACAGAGTTGAACGATCCTTTACACAGAGCAGACTTGAAACACTCCTTTTGTGGAATTTGCAAGTGGAGATTTCATCCGCTTTGAGGTCAATGGTAGAATAGGAAATATCTTCCTATAGAAAGTAGACAGAATGATTCTCAGAAACTCCTTTGTGATGTGTGCGTACAACTCACAGAGTTTAACCTTTCTTTTCATAGAGCAGTTAGGAAACACTCTGTTTGTAAAGTCTGCAAGTGGATATTCAGACCTCTTTGAGGCCTTCGTTGGAAACGGGTTTTTTTCATATAAGGCTAGACAGAAGAATTCCCAGTAACTTCCTTGTGTTGTGTGTGTTCAACTCACAGAGTTGAACTTTCATTTACACAGAGCCGATTTGAAACACTCTTTTTGTGGAATTTGCAAGTGGAGATTTCAGCCGCTTTGAGGTCAATGGTAGAAAAGGAAATATCTTCGTATAAAAACTAGACAGAATGATTCTCAGAAAGTCCTTTGTGATGTGTTTGTTCAACTCACAGAGTTTAACCTTTCTTTTCATAGAGCAGTTAGGAAACACTCTGTTTGTAAAGTCTGCAAGTGGATATTCAGACCTCTTTGAGGCCTTCGTTGGAAACGGGATTTCTTCATATTCTGCTAGACAGAAGAATTCTCAGTAACTTCCTTGTGTTGTGTGTATTCAACTCACAGAGTTGAACGATCCTTTACACAGAGCAGACTTGAAACACTCTTTTTGTGGAATTTGCAACTGTAGATTTCAAGCGCTTTAAGGTCAATGGCAGAAAAGGAAATATCTTCGTTTCAAAACTAGACAGAATCATTCCCACAGACTGCGTTGTGATGTGTTCGTTCAAATCACAGAGTTTAACCTTTCTTTTCATAGAGCAGTTAGGAAACAGTCTGTTTGTAAATTCTGTAAGTGGATATTCTGACAACTTGTGGCCTTCGTTGGAAACGGGATTTCTTCATATTCTGCTAGACAGAATAATTCTCAGTAACTTCCTTGTGTTGTGTGTATTCAACTCACAGAGTTGAACGATCCTTTACACAGAGCAGAATTGAAACACTCTTTTTGTGGAATTTGCAAGTCGAGATTTCAGCCGCTTTGAGGTCAATAGTAGAAAAGGAAATATCTTCGTAGAAAAACTAGACAGAATGATTCTCAGAAACTCCTTTGTGATGTGTGCGTTCAACTCACAGAGTTTAACCTTTCTTTTCATAGAGCAGTTATGAAACACTCTGTTTGTAAAGTCTGCAAGTTGATATTCAGACCTCCTTGAGGCCTTCGTTGGAAACGGGATTTCTTCATATTATGCTAGACAGAAGAATTCCCAGTAACTTCCTTGTGTTGTGTGTGTTCAACTCACAGAGTTGAACTTTCATTTACACAGAGCAGATTTGAAACACTCTTTTTCTGGAATTTGCAAATGGAGATTTCAAGCGCTTTGAGGCCAAAGGCAGAAAAGGAAATATCTTCGTATAAAAACTAGACAGAATCATTCTCAGAAACTGCTCTGCGATGTGTGCGTTCAACTCTCAGAGTTTAACTTTTCTTTTCATTCAGCAGTTTGGAAACACTCTGTTTGTAAAGTCTGCACGTGGATATTTTGACCACTTAGAGGCCTTCGTTGGAAACGGGCTTTTTCCTGTAAGGCTAGACAGAAAGAATTCCCAGTAACTTCCTTGTGTTGTGTACATTCAACTCACAGAGTTGAACGTTCCCTTAGACAGAGCAGATTTGAAACACTCTTTTTGTGCAATTGGCAAATGGAGATTTCAAGCGCTTTAAGGTCAATGGCAGAAAAGGAAATATCTTCGTTTCAAAACTAGACAGATGATTCTCAGAAACTCCTTTGTGATGTGTGCGTTCAACTCACACAGTTTAACCTTTCTTTCCATAGAGCAGTTAGGAAACACTCTGTTTGTAAAGTCTGCAAGTGGATATTCAGACCTCCTACAGGCCTTCGTTGGAAACGGGATTTCTTCATATTATGCTAGACAGAAGAATTCTCAGTAACTTCCTTGTGTTCTGTGTATTCAACTCACAGAGTTGAACGATACTTTACACAGAGCAGACTTGAAACACTCTTTTTGTGGAATTTGCAAGTGGAGATTTCAGCCGCTTTGAGGTCAATTGTAGAAAAAGAAATATCTTCGTATAGAAACTAGACAGAATGATTCTCAGAAACTCCTTTGTGATGTGTGCGTTCAACTCAGAGAGTTTAACCTTTCTTTTCATAGAGCAGTTAGGAAACACGCTGTTTATAAAGTCTGCAAGTGGATATTCAGACCCCTTTGAGGCCTTCGTTGGAAACGGGATTTCTTCATATTATGCTAGACAGAAGAATTCCCAGTAACTTCCTTGTGTTGTGTGTGTTCAACTCACAGAGTTGAACTTTCATTTACACAGAGCAGATTTGAAACACTCTTTTTGTGGAATTTGCAAGTGGAGATTTCAAGCGCTTTGAGGCCAAAGGCAGAAAAGCAAATATCTTCGTATAAAAACTAGACAGAATCATTCTCAGAAACTGCTCTGCGATGTGTGCGTTCAACTCTCAGAGTTTAACTTTTCTTTTCATTCAGCAGTTTGGAAACACTCTGTTTGTAAAGTCTGCACGTGGATAATTTGACCACTTAGAGGCCTTCGTTGGAAACGGGATTTTTTCATGTAAGGCTAGACAGAAGAATTCCCAGTAACTTCCTTGTGTTGTGTACATTCAACTCACAGAGTTGAACGTTCCGTTAGACAGAGCAGATTTGAAACACTCTTTTTGTGCAATTGGCAAGTGGAGATTTCAAGCGCTTTGAGGTCAATGGCAGAAAAGGAAATATCTTCGTTTCAAAACTAGACAGAATCATTCCCACAAACTGCGTTGTGATGTGTTCGTTCAACTCACAGAGTATAACCTTTCTGTTCATAGAGCAGTTAGGAAACACTCTGTTTGTAAAGTCTGTAAGTGGATATTCTGACATCTTGTGGCCTTCGTTGGAAACGGGATTTCTTCATATTCTGCTAGACAGAAGAATTCTCAGAAACTTCCTTGTGTTCTGTGTTTTCAACTCACAGAGTTGAACGATGCTTTACACAGAGTAGACTTGAAACACTCTTTTTGTGGAATTTGCAAGTGGAGTTTTCAGCCGCTTTGAGGTCAATGGTAGAAAAGGAAATATCTTCGTATAAAAACTAGACAGAATGATTCTCAGAAACTACTTTGTGATGTGTGCGTTCAACTCACAGAGTTTAACCTTTCTTTTCATAGAGCAGTGAGGAAACACTCTGTTTGTAAAGTCTGCAAGTGGATATTCAGACCTCCTTGATGCCTTCGTTGGAAACGGGATTTCTTCATATTATGCTAGACAGAAGAATTCCCAGTAACTTCCCTTGTGTTGTGTGTGTTCAACTCACAGAGTTGAACTTTCATTTACACAGAGCAGATTTGAAACACTCTTTTTGTGGAATTTGCAAGTGGAGATTTCAAGCGCTTTGAGGCCAAAGGCAGAAAAGGAAATATCTTCGTATAAAAACTAGACAGAATCATTCTCAGAAACTGCTCTGCGATGTGTGCGTTCAACTCTCAGAGTTTAACTTTTCTTTTCATTCAGCAGTTTGGAAACACTCTGTTTGTGAAGTCTGCACGTCGATATTTTGACCACTTAGAGGCCTTCGTTGGAAACGGGTTTTTTTCCTGTAAGGCTAGAGAGAAGAATTCCCAGGAACTTCCTTGTGTTGTGTACATTCAACTCACAGAGTTGAACGTTCCCTTAGACAGAGCAGATTTGAAACACTCTTTTTGTGCAATTGGCAAGTGGTGATTTCAGCCGCTTTGAGGTCAATGGTAGAAAAGGAAATATCTTCGTATAAAAACTAGACAGAATGATTCTCAGAAACTTCATTGTGACGTGTGCGTTCAACTCACAGAGTTTAACCTTTCTTTTCATAGAGCAGTTAGGAAACACTCTGTTTGTAAAGTCTGCAAGTGGATATTCAGACCTCTTTGAGGCCTTCGTTGGAAACGGGATTTCTTCATAATGTGCTAGACAGAAGAATTCTCAGTAACTTCCTTGTGTTGTGTGTATTCAACTCACAGAGTTGAACGATCCTTTACACAGAGCAGACTTGAAACACTCTTTTTGTGGAATTTGCAAGTGGAGATTTCATCCGCTTTGAGGTCAATGGTAGAATAGGAAATATCTTCCTATAGAAACTAGACAGAATGATTCTCATAAACTCCTTTGTGATGTGTGCGTTCAACTCACAGAGTTTAACCTTTCTTTTCATAGAGCAGTTAGGAAACACTCTGTTTGTAAAGTCTGCAAGTGGATATTCAGACCTCCTTGAGGCCTTCGTTTGAAACGGGATTTCTTCATATTCTGCTAGACAGAAGAATTCCCAGTAACTTCCTTGTGTTGTGTGTGTTCAACTCACAGAGTTGAACTTTCATTTACACAGAGCAGATTTGAAACACTCTTTTTGTGCAATTTGCAAGTGGAGATTTCAAGCGCTTTGAGACCAAAGGCAGAAAAGGAAATATCTTCGTTTCAAAACTAGACAGAATCATTCTCAGAAACTGCTCTGCGATGTGTGCGTTCAACTCTCAGAGTTTAACTTTTCTTTTCATTCAGCAGTTTGGAAACACTCTGTTTGTAAAGTCTGCACGTGGATATGTTGACCACTTAGAGGCCTTCGTTGGAAACGGGTTTTTTTCATGTAAGGCTAGACAGAAGAATTCCCAGTAACTTCCTTGTGTTGTGTGCATTCAACTCACAGAGTTGAACTTTCCCTTAGACAGAGCAGATTTGAAACACTCTATTTGTGCAATTTGCAAGTGTAGATTTCAAGCGCTTTAAGGTCAACGGCAGAAAAGGAAATATCTTCGTTTCAAAACTAGACAGAATCATTCCCACAAACTGCGTTGTGATGTGTTCGTTCAACTCACAGAGTTTAACCTTTCTTTTCATAGAGCAGTTAGGAAACAGTCTGTTTGTCAATTCTGTAAGTGGATATTCTGACATCTTGTGGCCTTCGTTGGAAACGGGATTTCTTCATATTCTGCTAGACACAAGAATTTTCAGTAACTTCCTTGTGTTGTGTGTATTCTACTCACAGAGTTGAACGATCCTTTACACAGAGCAGACTTGAAACACTCTTTTTGTGGAATTTGCAAGTGGAGATTTCAGCCGCTTTGAGGTCAATGGTAGAAAAGGAAATATCTTCGTATAAAGACTAGACAGAATGATTCTCAGAAACTCCTTTGTGATGTGTGCGTTCAACTCACAGAGTTTAACCTTTCTTTTCATGGAGCTGTTAGGAAACACTCTGTTTGTAAAGTCTGCAAGTGGATATTCAGACCTCTTTGAGGCCTTCGTTGGAAACGGGATTTCTTCATACTGTGCTAGACAGAAGAATTCTCAGTAACTTTCTTGTGTTGTGTGTATTCAACTGACAGAGTTGAACTTTCATTTAGAGAGAGCAGATTTGAAACACTGTTTTTGTGGAATTTGCAAGTGGAGATTTCAAGCGCTTTGGGGCCAAAGGCAGAAAAGGAAATATCTTCGTATAAGCACTAGACAGAATCATTCTCAGAAACTGCTCTGCGATGTGTGCGTTCAACTCTCAGAGTTAAACTTTTCTTTTCATTCAGCAGTTTGGAAACACTCTGTTTGTAAAGTCTGCACGTGGATATTTTGACCACTTAGAGGCCTTCGTTGGAAACGGGTTTTTTTCCTGTAAGGCTAGACAGAAGAATTCCCAGTAACTTCCTTGTGTTGTGCGCATTCAACTCACAGAGTTGAACGTTCCCTTAGACAGAGCAGATTTGAAACAGCCTATTTGTGCAATTTGCAAGTGTACATTTCAAGCGCTTTAAGGTCAACGGCAGAAAAGGAAATATCTTCCTTTCAAAACTAGACAGAATCACTCCCACAAACTGCGTTGCGATGTGTTCGTTCAACTCACAGAGTTTAACATTTCTTTTCATAGAGCACTTAGGAAACAGTCTGTTTGTAAATTCTGTAAGTGGATATTCTGACATCTTGTGGCCTTCGTTGGAAACGGGATTTCTTCATATTCTGCTAGACAGAAGAATTCTCAGTAACTTCCTTGTGTTGTGAGTATTCAACTCACAGAGTTGAACGATCCTTTACACAGAGCAGACTTGAAACACTCTTTTTGTGGAATTTGCAAGAGGAGATTTCAGCCGCTTTGAGGTCAATAGTAGAAAAGGAAATATCTTCGTAGAAAAACTAGACAGAATGATTCTCAGAAACTCCTTTGTGATGTGTGCGTTCAACTCACAGAGTTTAACCTTTCTTTTCATAGAGCAGTTAGGAAACACTCTGTTTGTAAAGTCTGCAAGTGGATATTCAGACCTCTTTGAGGCCTTCGTTTTAAACGGGATTTCTTCATATTATGCTAGACAGAGGAATTCCCAGTAACTTCCTTGTGTTGTGTGTGTTCAACTCACAGAGTTGAACTTTCATTTACACAGAGCAGATTTGAAACACTCTTTTTGTGGAATTTGCAAGTGGAGATTTCAAGCGCTTTGAGGCCAAAGGCAGAAAAGGAAATATCTTCGTTTCAAAACTAGGCAGAATCATTCTCAGAAACTGCTCTGCGATGTGTGTGTTCAACTCTCAGAGTTTAACTTTTCTTTTCATTCAGCAGTTTGGAAACACTCTGTTTGTAAAGTCTGCACGTGGATAATTTGACCACTTAGAGGCCTTCGTTGGAAACGGGTTTTTTTCAGTAAGGCTAGATAGAAGAATTCCCAGTAACTTCCTTGTGTTGTGTGCATTCAACTCACAGAGTTGAACGTTCCCTTAGACAGAGCAGATTTGAAACACTCTATTTGTGCAATTTGCAAGTGTAGATTTCAACCGCTTTAAGGTCAACGGCAGAAAAGGAAATATCTTCGTTTCAAAACTAGACAGAAATCATTCCCACAAACTGCGTTGTGATGTGTTCGTTCAACTCACAGAGTTTAACCTTTCTTTTCATAGAGCAGTTAGGAAACAGTCTGTTTGTCAATTCTGTAAGTGGATATTCTGACATCTTGTGGCATTCGTTGGAAACGGGATTTCTTCATATTCTGCTAGACAGAAGAACTCTCAGAAACCTCCTGGTGTTGCGTGTTTTCAACTCACAGAGTTCAACGATCCGTTACACAGAGTAGACTTGAAAAACTCTTTTTGTTGAATTGGCCAGTGGAGATTTCAGCCGCTTTGAGGTCAATGGTAGAAAAGGAAATATCTTCGTATAAAAACTAGACAGAACGATTCTCAGAAACTCCTTTGTGATGTGTGTGTTCAACTCACAGAGTTTAACCTTTCTTTTCATAGAGCAGTTAGGAAACACTCTGTTTGTAAAGTCTGCAAGTGGATATTCAGACCTCTTTGAGGCCTTCGTTGGAAACGGGATTTCTCCATATTCTGCTAGACAGAAGAATTCTCAGTAACTTCCTTGTGTTGTGTGTATTCAACTGACAGAGTTGAACTTTCATTTAGAGAGAGCAGATTTGTAAGACTGTTTTTGTGGAATTTGCAAGTGGAGATTTCAAGCGCTTTGCGGCCAAAGGCAGAAAAGGAAATATCTTCGTATAAAAACTAGACAGAATCATTCTCAGAAACTGCTCTGTGATGTGTGCGTTCAACTCTCAGAGTTTAACTTTTCTTTTCATTCAGCAGTTTCGAAACACTCTGTTTGTAAAGTCTGCACGTGGATATTTTGACCACTTAGAGGCCTTCGTTGGAAACGGGTTTTCTTCATGTAAGGCTAGACAGAAGAATTCCCAGTAACTTCCTTGTGTTGTGTGCATTCAACTCACACAGATGAACGTTCCCTTAGACAGAGCAGATTTGAAACACTCTATTTGTGCAATTTGCAAGTGTAGATTTCAAGCGCTTTAAGGTCAATGGCAGAAAAGGAAATATCTTCGTTTCAAAACTAGACAGAATGATTCTCAGAAACTCCTTTGTGATGTGTGCGTTCAAGTCACAGAGTTTAACCTTTCTTTTCATAGAGCAGTTAGGAAACACTCTGTTTGTAAAGTCTGCAAGTGGATATTCAGACCTCCTTGAGGCCTTCGTTGGAAACGGGATTTCTTCCTATTATGCTAGACAGAAGAATTCTCAGTAACTTCCTTGTGTTGTGTGTATTCAACTCACAGAGTTGAACCATCCTTTACACAGAGCAGACTTGAAACACTCTTTTTGTGGAATTTGCAAGTGGAGATTTCAGCCGCTTTGAGGTCAATGGTAGAAAAGGAAATATCTTCGTATAAAAACTAGACAGAAATGATTCTCAGCAAACTCCTTTGTGAGGTGTGTGTTCAACTCACAGAGTTTAACCTTTCTTTTCATAGAGCAGTTAGTAAACACTCTGTTTATAAAGTCTGCAAGTGGATATTCAGACCCCTTTGAGGCCTTCGTTGGAAACGGGATTTCTTCATATTCTGCTAGACAGAAGAATTCTCAGTAACTTCCTTGTGTTGTGTGTATTCAACTGACAGAGTTGAACTTTCATTTAGAGAGAGCAGATTTGAAACACTGTTTTTGTGGAATTTGCAAGTGGAGATTTCAAGCGCTTTGGGGCCAAAGGCAGAAAAGGAAATATCTTCGTATAAAAACTAGTCAGAATCATTCTCAGAAACTGCTGCGTGATGTGTGCGTTCAACTCTCAGAGTTTAACTTTTCTTTTCATTCAGCGGTTTGGAAACACTCTGTTTGTAAAGTCTGGACGTGGAAATTTTGACCACTTAGAGGCCTTCGTTGGAAACGGGTTTTTTTCATGTAAGGCTAGACAGAAGAATTCCCAGTAACTTCCTTGTGTTGTGTGCATTCAACTCACAGAGTTGAACGTTCCCTTAGACAGAGCAGATTTGAAACACTCTATTTGTGCAATTTGCAAGTGTAGTTTTCAAGCTCTTTTAGGTCAACGGCAGAAAAGGAAATATCTTGGTTTCAAAACTAGACAGAATCATTCTCAGAAACTGCTCTGCGATGTGTGCGTTCAACTCTCAGAGTTTAACTTTTCTTTTCATTCAGCAGTTTGGAAACACTCTGTTTGTGAAGTCTGCACGTGGATAATTTGACCACTTAGAGGCCTACGTTGGAAACGGGTTTTTTTCATGTAAGGCTAGACAGAAGAATTCTCAGAAACTTCCTTGTGTTGTGTGTTTTCAACTCACAGAGTTAAACGATCCATTACACAGAGTAGACTTGAAACACTCTTTTTGTGGAATTGGCAAGTGGAGATTTCAGCCGCTTTGAGGTCAATGGTAGAATAGGAAATATCTTCCTATGGAAACTAGACAGAATGATTCTCAGAAACTCCTTTGTGATGTGGGCGTTCAACTCACAGAGTTCAACCTTTCTTTTCATAGAGCAGTTGGGAAACACTCTGTTTGTAAAGTCTGCAAGTGGATATTCAGACTTCTTTGAGGCCTTCGTTGGAAGCGGGATTTCTTCATATTCTGCTAGACAGAAGAATTCCCAGTAACTTCCTTGTGTTGTGTGTGTTCAACTCACAGAGTTGAACTTTCATTTACACAGAGCAGATTTGAAACACTCTTTTTGTGGAATTTGCAAGTGGAGATGTCAAGCGCTTTGAGGCCAAAGGCAGAAAAGGAAATACCTTCGTTTCAAAACTAGACAGAATCATTCTCAGAAACTGCTCTGCGATGTGTGCGTTCAACTCTCAGAGTTTAACTTTTCTTTTCATTCAGCAGTTTGGAAACACTCTCTTTGTAAAGTCTGCACTTGGATATTTTGACCACTTAGAGGCCTTCGTTGGAAACGGGTTTTTTTCCTGTAAGGCTAGACAGAAGAATTCCCAGTAACTTCCTTGTGTTGTGTACATTCAACTCACAGAGTTGAACGTTCCCTTAGACAGAGCAGATTTGAAACACTCTTTTTGTGCAGTTGGCAAATGGAGATTTCAAGCGCTTTAAGGTCAATGGCAGAAAAGGAAATATCTTCGTTTCAAAACTAGACAGAATCATTCCCACAAACTGCGTTGTGATGTGTTCGTTCAACTCACAGAGTTTAACAATTCTTTTCATAGAGCAGTTAGGAAACACTCTGTTTGTAAATTCTGTAAGTGGATATTCTGACATCTTTTGGCCTTCGTTGGAAACGGGATTTCTTCATATTCTGCTAGACAGAAGAATTCTCAGTAACTTCCTTGTGTTGTGTGTATTCAACTCACAGAGTTGAACGATCCTTTACACAGAGCGGACTTGAAACACTCGTTTTGTGGAATTTGCAAGTGGAGGTTTCTGCCGCGTTGAGGTCAATGGTAGAAAAGGAAATATCTTCGTATAAAAACTAGACAGAATGATTCTCAGAAACTCCTTTGTGATGTGTGAGTTCAACTCACAGAGTTTAACCTTTCTTTTCATAGAGCAGTTAGGAAACACTCTGTTTGTAAAGTCTGCAAGAGGATATTCAGACCTCTTTGAGGCCTTCGTTGGAAACGGGTTTTATTCATATAAGGCTAGACAGAAGAATTCTCAGTAACTTCCTTGTGTTGTGTGTATTCAACTCACAGAGTTGAACGATCCTTTACACAGAGCAGACTTGAAACACTCTTTTTGTGGAAATTGCAAGTGGAGATTTCAGCCGCTTTGAGGTCAATGATAGAAAAGGAAATATCTTCGTATAAAAACTAGACAGAATCATTCTCAGAAACTGCTGCGTGATGTGTGGGTTCAACTCTCAGAGTTTAACTTTTCTTTTCATTCAGCGGTTTGGAAACACTCTGTTTGTAAAGTCTGCACGTGGAAATTTTGACCACTTAGAGGCCTTCGTTGGAAACGGGTTTTTTTCATGTAAGGCTAGACAGAAGAATTCCCAGTAACTTCCTTGTGTTGTGTGCATTCAACTCACAGAGTTGAACGTTCCCTTAGACAGAGCAGATTTGAAACACTCTATTTGTGCAATTTGCAAGTGTAGATTTCAAGCGCATTAAGGTCAATGGCAGAAAAGGAAATATCTTCGTTTCAAAATTAGACAGAATCACTCCCACAAACTGCGTTGTGATGTGTTCGTTCAACTCACAGAGTTTAACCTTTCTTTTCTTAGAGCAGTTAGGAAACAGTCTGTTTGAAAATTCTGTAAGTGGATATTCTGACATCTTGTGGCCTTCGTTGGAAACGGGATTTCTTCATATTCTGCTAGACAGAATAATTCTCAGTAACTTCCTTGTGTTGTGTGTATTCAACTCACAGAGTTGAACGATCCTTTACAGAGAGCAGACTTGAAACACTCTTTTTGTGGAATTTGCAAGTGGAGAATTCAGCCGCTTTGAGGTCAATGGTAGAAAAGGAAATATCTTCGTATAAAGACTAGACAGAATGATTCTCAGAAACTCCTTTGTGATGTGTGCGTTAAACTCACAGAGTTTAACTTTTCTTTTCATAGAGCAGTTAGGAAACACTCTGTTTGTAAAGTCTGCAAGTGGATATTCAGACCTCTTTGACGCCTTCGTTGGAAACGGGATTTCTTCATATTCTGCTAGACAGAAGAATTCTAAGTAACTTCCTTGTGTTGTGTGTATTCAACTGACAGAGTTGAACTTTCATTTAGAGAGAGCAGATTTGAAACACTGTTTTTGTGGAATTTGCAAGTGGAGATTTCAAGCGCTTTGGGGCCAAAGGCCGAAAAGTAAATATCTTCGTATAAAAACTAGACAGAATCATTCTCAAAAACTGCTGCGTGATGTTTGCGTTCAACTCTCAGAGTTTAACTTTTCTTTTCATTCAGCGGTTTGGAAACACTCTGTTTGTAAAGTTTGCACGTGGATATTTTGACCACTTAGAGGCCTTCGTTGGAAACGGGTTTTTTTCATGTAAGGCTAGACAGAAGAATTCCCAGTAACTTCCTTGTGTTGTGTGCATTCAACTCACAGAGTTGAACAGTTCCCTTAGACAGAGCAGATTTGAAACACTCTATTTGTGCAATTTGCAAGTGTAGATTTCAAGCGCTTTAAGGTCAATGGCAGAAAAGGAAATATCTTCGTTTCAAAACTAGACAGAATGATTCTCAGAAACTCCTTTGTGATGTGTGCGTTCAACTCACAGAGTTTAACCTTTCTTCTCATAGAGCAGTTAGGAAACACTCTGTTTGTAAAGTCTGCAAGTGGATATTCAGACCTCTTTTAGGCCTTCGTTGGAAACGGGATTTCTTCATATTCTGCTAGACAGAAGAATTCTCAGTAACTTCCTTGTGTTGTGTATTCAACTCACAGAGTTCAACGATCCTTTACACAGAGCAGACTTGAAACACTCTTTTTGTGGAATTTGCAAGTGGGGATTTCAGCCGCTTTGAGGTCAATGTTAGAAAAGGAAATATCTTCGTATAAAAACTAGACAGAATGATTCTCAGAAACTCCTTTGTGATGTGTGCGTTCAACTCACAGAGTTCAACCTTTCTTTTCATAGAGCAGTTAGGAAACACTCTGTTTATAATGTCTGCAATTGGATATTCAGACCTCTTTGAGGCCTTCGTTGGAAACGGGATTTCTTCATATTCTGCTAGACAGAAGAATTCCCAGTAACTTCCTTGTGTTGTGTGTGTTCAACTCACAGAGTTGAACTTTCGTTTACACAGAGCAGATTTGAAACACTCTTTTTGTGGAATTTGCAAGTGGAGATTTCAAGCGCTTTGAGGCCAAAGGCAGAAAAGGAAATATCTTCGTATAAAAACTAGACAGAATCATTCTCAGAACCTGCTTCGTGATGTGTGCGTTCAACTCTCAGAGTTTAACTTTTCTTTTCATTCAGCGGTTTGGAAACACTCTGTTTGTAAAGTCTGCACGTGGAAATTTTGACCACTTAGAGGCCTTCGTTGGAAACGGGTTTTTTTCATGTAAGGCTAGACAGAAGAATTCCCAGTAACTTCCTTGTGTTGTGTGCATTCAACTCACAGAGTTGAACGTTCCCTTAGACAGAGCAGATTTGAAACACTCTATTTGTGCAATTTGCAAGTGTAGATTTCAAGCGCTTTAAGGTCAATGGCAGAAAAGGAAATATCTTCGTTTCAAAACTAGACAGAATCATTCCCACAAACTGCGTTGTGATGTGTTCGTTCAACTCACAGAGTTTAACCTTTCTATTCATAGAGCAGTTAGGAAACACTCTGTTTGTAAAGTCTGTAAGTGGATATTCTGACATCTTGTGGCCTTCGTTGGAAACGGGATTTCTTCATATTCTGCTAGACAGAAGAATTCTCAGTAACTTCCTTGTGTTGTGTGTATTCACCTCACAGAGTTGTATGATCCTTTACACAGAAGAGTCTTGAAACACTCTTTTTGTGGAATTTGCAAGTGGAGATTTCAGCCGCTTTGAAGTCAATGGTAGAATAGGAAATATCTTCCTATAGAAACTAGACAGAATGATTCTCATAAACTCCTTTGTGATGTGTGCGTTCAACTCACAGAGTTTAACCTTTCTTTTCATAGAGCAGTTAGGAAACACTCTGCTTGTAAAGTCTGCAAGTGGATATTCAGCCCTCTTTGAGGCCTTCGTTGGAAACGGGTTTTTTTCATATAAGGCTAGACAGAAGAATTCCCAGTAACTTCCTTGTGTTGTGTGTGTTCAACTCACAGAGTTGAACTTTCATTTACACAGAGCAGATTTGAAACACTCTTTTTGTGGAATTTGCAAATGGAGATTTCAAGTGCTTTGAGGCCAAAGGCAGAAAAGGAAATGTCTTCGTTTCAAAACTAGACAGAATCATTCTCAGAAACTGCTCTGCGATGTGTGCGTTCAACTCTCAGAGTTTAACTTTTCTTTTCATTCAGCAGTTTGGAAACACTCTGTTTGTAAAGTCTGCACCTGGATAACTTGACCACTTAGAGGCCTTCGTTGGAAACGGGTTTTTTTCCTGTAAGGCTAGACAGAAGAATTCCCAGTAACTTCCTTGTGTTGTGTGCATTCAACTCACAGAGTTGAACGTTCCCTTAGACAGAGCAGATTTGAAACACTCTATTTGTGCAATTTGCAAGTGTACATTTCAAGCGCTTTAAGGTCAACGGCAGAAAAGGAAATATCTTCGTTTCAAAACTAGACAGAATGATTCTAAGAAACTTCTTTGTGATGTGTGCGTTCAACTCACAGAGTTTAACCTTTCTTCTCATAGAGCAGTTAGGAAACACTCTGTTTGTAAACTCTGCAAGTGGATATTCAGACCTCTTTGAGGCCTTCGTTGGAAACGGGATTTCTCCATACTGTGCGAGACAGAAGAATTCTCAGTAACTTCCTTGTGTTGTGTGGATTCAACTCACAGAGTTGAACGATCCTTTACAGAGAGCGGACTTGAAACACTCGTTTTGTGGAATTTGCAAGTGGAGATTTCAGCCGCTTTGAGGTCAATGGTAGAAAAGGAAATATCTTCGTACAAAAACTAGACAGATAATCATTCCCACAAACTGCGTTGTGATGTGTTCGTTCAACTCACAGCGTTTTACCTTTCTGTTCATAGAGCAGTTAGGAAACACTCTGTTTGTCAAGTCTGTAAGTGGATATTCTGACATCTTGTGGCCTTCGTTGGAAATGGGATTTCTTCATATTCTGCTAGACAGAAGAATTCCCAGTAACTTCCTTGTGTTGTGTGTATTCAACTCACAGAGTTGAACTTTCATTTACACAGAGCAGATTGGAAACACTCTTTTTGTGGAATTTGCAAGTGGAGATTTCAAGCGCTTTGAGGCCAAATGCAGAAAAGGAAATATCTTCGTATAAAAACTAGACAGAATCATTCTCAGAAACTGCTCTGCGATGTGTGCGTTCAACTCTCAGAGTTTAACTTTTCTTTTCATTCAGCAGTTTGGAAACACTCTGTTTGTAAAGTCTGCACGTGGATATTTTGACCACTTAGAGGCCTTCGTTGGAAACGGGTTTCTTTCTTGTAAGGCTAGACAGAAGAATTCTCAGTAACTTCCTTGTGTTGTGTGTATTCAACTCACAGAGTTGAATGATCTTTTACACAGAACAGACTTGAAACACTCTTTTTGTGGAATTTGCAAGTGGAGATTTCAGCCGCTTTGAGGTCAATGGTAGAAAAGGAAATATCTTCGTATAAAAACTAGACAGAATGATTCTCAGAAACTCCTTTGTGATGTGTGCGTTCAACTCACAGAGTTTAACCTTTCTTTTCATAGAGCAGTTAGGAAACACTCTGTTTGTAAAGTCTGGAAGTGGATATTCAGACCTCTTTGAGGCCTTCGTTGGAAACGGGATTTCTTCATATTCTGCTAGAGAGAAGAATTCTCAGTAACTTCCTTGTGTTGTGTGTATTCAACTCACAGAGTTCAACGATCCTTTACACAGAGCAGACTTGAAACACTCTTTTTGTGGAATTTGCAAGTGGAGATTTCAGCCGCTTTGAGGTCAATGGTAGAATAGGAAATATCTTCCTATAGAAACTAGACAGAATGATTCTCAGAAACTCCTTTGTGATGTGTGCGTTCAACTCACAGACTTTAACCTTTCTTTTCATAGAGCAGTTAGGAAACACTCTGTTTGTAAAGTCTGCAAGTGGATATTCAGACCTCCTTGAGGCCTTCGTTGGAAACGGGATTTCTTCATATTATGCTAGACAGAAGAATTCTCAGTAACTTCCTTGTGTTGTGTGTATTCAACTGACAGAGTTGAACTTTCATTTGGAGAGAGCAGATTTGAAACACTGTTTTTGTGGAATTTGCAAGTGGAGATTTCAAGCGCTCTGGGGCCAAAGGCAGAAAAGGAAATATCTT
This sequence comes from Homo sapiens, assembly GCF_000001405.40. Classification (NCBI taxonomy): domain Eukaryota; kingdom Metazoa; phylum Chordata; class Mammalia; order Primates; family Hominidae; genus Homo; species Homo sapiens. The sequence goes on from NC_000005.10 coordinate 48,732,706, forward strand.
CGTATAAAAACTAGACAGAATCATTCTCAGAAACTGCTGTGTGATGTGTGCGTTCAACTCTCAGAGTTTAACTTTTCTTTTCATTCAGCGGTTTGGAAACACTCTGTTTGTAAAGTCTGCACGTGGATATTTTGACCACTTAGAGGCCTTCGTTGGAAACGGGTTTTTTTCATGTAAGGCTAGACAGAAGAATTCTCAGTAACTTCCTTGTGTTGTGTGTATTCAACTCACAGAGTTGAACGATCCTTTACACAGAGCAGACTTGAAACACTCTTTTTGTGGAATTTGCAAGTGGAGATTTCAGCCGCTTTGAGTTCAATGGTAGAATAGGAAATATCTTCCTATAGACACTAGACAGAATGATTCTCAGAAACTCCTTTGTGATGTGTGCGTTCAACTCACAGAGTTCAACCTTTCTTTTCATAGAGCAGTTGGGAAACACTCTGTTTGTAAAATCTGCAAGTGGATATTCAGACTTCTTTGAGGCCTTCCTTGGAAGCGGGATTTCTTCATATTCAGCTAGACAGATTAATTCTCAATAACTTCCTTGTGTTGTGTGTATTCAACTCACAGAGTTGAACGATCCTTTACAGAGAGCAGACTTGAAACACTCTTTTTGTGGAATTTGCAAGTGGAGATTTCAGCCGCTTTGAGGTCAATGGTAGAATAGGGAATATCTTCCTATAGAAACTAGACAGAGTGATTCTCAGAAACTCCTTTGTGATATCTGCGTTCAACTAACAGAGTTTAAACTTTCTTTTCATAGAGCAGTTAGGAAACACTCTGTTTGTAAAGTCTGCAAGTGGATATTCAGACCTCCTTGAGGCCTTCGTTGGAAACGGGATTTCTTCATATTCTGCTATACAGAAGAATTCTCAGTAACTGCCTTGTGTTGTGTGTATTCAACTCACACAGTTGAACGATCCTTTACACAGAGCAGACTTGAAACACTCTTTTTGTGGAATTTGCAAGTGGAGATTTCAGCCGCTTTGAGGTCAATGGTAGAATAGGAAATATCTTCCTATAGAAACTAGACAGAATGATTCTCAGAAACTCCTTTGTGATGTGTGCGTTCAACTCACAGAGTTTATCCTTTCTTTTCATAGAGCAGTTGGGAAACACTCTGTTTGTAAAGTCTGCAAGTGGATATTCAGACATCCTTGAGGCTTTCGTTGGAAACGGGATTTCTTCATATTCTGCTAGAAAGAAGAATTCCCAGTAACTTCCTTGTGTTGTGTGCATTCAACTCACAGAGTTGAACGTTCCCTTAGAGAGAGCAGATTTGAAACACTCTATTTGTGCAATTTGCAAGTGTAGATTTCAAGCGCTTTAAGGTCAATGGCAGAAAAGGAAATATCTTCGTTTCAAAACTAGACAGAATCATTCCCACAAACTGCGTTGTGATGTGTTCGTTCAACTCACAGAGTTTAACCTTTCCGTTCATAGAGCAGTTAGGAAACACACTGTTTGTAAAGTCTGTAAGTGGATATTCTGACATCTTGTGGCCTTCGTTGGAAACGGGATTTCTTCATATTCTGCTAGACAGAAGAATTCTCAGTAACTTCCTTGTGTTGTGTGTATTCAACTCACAGAGTTGAACTGATCCTTTACACAGAGCAGACTTGAAACACTCTTTTTGTTGAATTTGCAAGTGGAGATTTCAGCCGCTTTGAGGTCAATAGTAGAAAAGGAAATATCTTCGTAGAAAAACTAGACAGAATGATTCTCAGAAACTCCTTTGTGATGTGTACGTTCAACTCACAGAGTTTAACCTTTCTTTTCTTAGAGCAGTTAGGAAACACTCTGTTTGTAAAGTCTGCAAGTGGATATTCAGACCTCTTTGAGTCCTTCGTTGGAAACGGGTTTTTTTCATATAAGGCTAGACAGAAGAATTCCCAGTAACTTCCTTGTGTTGTGTGTGTTCAACTCACAGAGTTGAACTTTCATTTACACAGAGCAGATTTGAAACACTCCTTTTGTGGAATTTGCAAGTGGAGATTTCAAGCGCTTTGAGGCCAAAGGCAGAAAAGGAAATATCTTCGTTTCAAAACTAGACAGAATCATTCTCAGAAACTGCTGCGTGATGTGTGCGTTCAACTCTCAGAGTTTAACTTTTCTTTTCATTCAGCGGTTTGGAAACACTCTGTTTGAAAAGTCTGCACGTGGATATTTTGACCACTTAGAGGCCTTCGTTGGAAACGGGTTTTTTTCATGTAAGGCTAGAGAGAAGAATTCCCACTAACTTCCTTGTGTTGTGTACATTCAACTCACAGAGTTGAACGTTCCCTTAGACAGAGCAGACTTGTAACACTCTTTTTGTGGAATTTGCAAGTGGAGATTTCAGCCGCTTTCAAGTCAAAGGTAGAAAAGGAAATATCTTCCTATAAAAACTAGACAGAATCATTCCCACAAACTGCGTTGTGATGTGTTCGTTCAACTCACAGAGTTTAACCTTTCTGTTCATAGAGCAGTTAGGAAACACTCTGTTTGTAAAGTCTGCAAGTGGATATTCAGACCTCTTTGAGGCCTTCGTTGGAAACGGGATTTCTTCATATTCTGCTAGACAGAAGAATTCTCAGTAACTTCCTTGTGTTGTGTGTATTCAACTCACACAGTTGAACGATCCTTTACACAGAGCAGACTTGTAACACTCTTTTTGTGGAATTTGCAAGTGGAGATTTCAGCCGCTTTTAAGTCAAAGGTAGAAAAGGAAATATCTTCCTATAAAAACTAGACAGAGTGATTCTCAGAAACTCCTTTGTGATGTCTGCGTTCAACTCACAGAGTTTAACCTTTCTTTTCATAGAGCAGTTAGGAAACACTCTGTTTGTAAAGTCTGCAAGTGCATATTCAGACCTCCTTGAGGCCTTCGTTGGAAACGGGATTTCTTCATATTCTGCTATACAGAAGAATTCTCAGAAACTTCCTTGTGTTTTGTGTGTTCAACTCACAGAGTTGAACGATCCTTTACACAGAGCAGACTTGAAACACTCTTTTTGTGGAATTTGCAAGTGGAGATTTCAGCCGCTTTGAGGTCAATGGTAGAAAAGGAAATATCTTCGTATAAAAACTAGACAGAATCATTCTCAGAAACTGCTGCGTGATGTGTGCGTTCAACTCTCAGAGTTTACCTTTTCTTTTCATTCAGCGGTTTGGAAACACTCTATTTGTTAAAGTCTGCACGTGGATATTTTGACCACTTAGAGGCCTTCGTTGGAAACGGGATTTTTTCATGTAAGGCTAGACAGAAGAATTCCCAGTAACTTCCTTGTGTTGTGTGCATTCAACTCACAGAGTTGAACGTTCCCTTAGACAGAGCAGATTTGAAACACTCTATTTGTGCAATTTGCAAGTGTAGATTTCAAGCGCTTTAGGGTCAAAGGCAGAAAAGGAAATATCTTCGTTTCAAAACTAGACAGAATCATTCCCACAAACTGCGTTGTGATGTGTTCGTTCAAATCACAGAGTTTAACCTTTCTTTTCATAGAGCAGTTAGGAAACAGTCTGCTTGTAAATTCTGTAAGTGGATATTCTGACATCTTGTGGCCTTCGTTGGAAACGGCATTTCTTCATATTCTGCTAGACAGAAGAATTCTCAGTAACTTCCTTGTATTGTGTGTATTCAACTCACAGAGTTGAACGATCCTTTACACAGAGCAGACTTGAAACACTCTTTTTGAGGAATTTGCAAGTGGAGATTTCAGCCGCTTTGAAGTCAATGGTAGAAAAGGAAATATCTTCGTATAAAAACTAGACAGAATGATTCTCAGAAACTCATTTGTGATGTGTGCGTTCAACTCACAGAGTTTAACCTTTCTTTTCATAGAGCAGTTAGGAAACACTCTGTTTGTAAAGTCTGCAAGTGGATATTCAGACCTTTTTGAGGCCTTCGTTGGAAACGGGATTTCTTCATATGATGCTACACAGAAGAATTCTCAGTAACTTCCTTGTGCTGTGTGTATTCAACTGACAGAGTTGAACTTTCATTTAGACAGAGCAGATTTGAAACACTCTTTTTGTGGAATTTGCAAGTGGAGATTTTAAGCGCTTTGAGGCCAAAGGCAGAAAAGGAAATATCTTCGTATAAAAACTAGACAGAATCATTCTCAGAAACTGCTCTGCGATGTGTGCGTTCAACTCTCAGAGTTTAACTTTTCTTTTCATTCAGCAGTTTGAAAACACTCTGTTTGTAAAGTCTGCACGTGGATATTTTGACCACTTAGAGGCCTTCGTTGGAAACGGGTTTTTTTGCCTGTAAGGCTAGACAGAAGAATTCCCAGTAATTTCCTTGTGTTGTGTGCATTCAACTCACAGAGTTGAACGTTCCCTTAGACAGAGCAGATTTGAAACACTCTATTTGTGCAATTTGCAAGTGTAGATTTCAAGCGCTTTAAGGTCAATGGCAGAAAAGGAAATATCTTCATTTCAAAACTAGACAGAATCATTCCCACAAACTGCATTGTGATGGGTTCGTTCAACTCACAGAGTTTAACCTTTCTGTTCATAGAGCAGTTAGGAAACACTCTGTTTGTAAAGTCTGTAAGTTGATATTCAGACCTCTTTGAGGCCTTCGTTGGAAATGGATTTCTTCATATTCTGTTAGACAGAAGAATTCTCAGAAACTTCGTTGTGTTGTGTGTTTTCAACTCACAGAGTTCAACGATCCTTTACACAGAGTAGACTTGAAACACTCTTTTTGTGGAATTGGCAGGGTGGAGATTTCAGCCGCTTTGAGGTCAATGGAAGAAAAGGAAATATCTTCGTATAAAAACTAGACAGAGTGATTCTCAGAAACTCCTTTGTGATGTCTGTGTTCAACTCACAGAGTTTAACCTTTCTTTTCATAGAGCAGTTAGGAAACACTCTGTTTGTAAAGTCTGCAAGTGGATATTCAGACCTCCTTGAGGCCTTCGTTGGAAACGGGATTTCTTCATATTCTGCTATACAGAAGAATTCCCAGTAACTTCCTTGTGTTGTGTGTGTTCAACTCACAGAGTTGAACTTTCATTTACACAGAGCAGATTTGAAACACTCTTTTTGTGGAATTTGCAAATGGAGATTTCAAGCGCTTTGAGGCCAAAGGCAGAAAAGGAAATATCTTCGTAGAAAAACTAGACAGAATCATTCTCAGAAACTGCTGCGTGATGTGTGCGTTCAACTCTCAGAGTTTAACTTTTCTTTTCATTTAGCGGTTTGGAAACACTCTGTTTGTAAAGTCTGCACGTGGATATTTTGACCACTTAGAGGCCTTCGTTGGAAACGGGTTTTTTTTCATGTAAGGCTAGACAGAAGAATTCCCAGTAACTTCCTTGTGTTGTGTGCATTCAACTCACAGAGTTGAACGTTCCCTTAGACAGAGCAGATTTGAAACACTCTATTTGTGCAATTTGCAAGTGTAGATTTCAAGTGCTTTCAGGTCAATGGCAGAAAAGGAAATATCTTCGTTTCAAAACTAGACAGAATCATTCCCACAAACTGCGTTGTGAGGTGTTCGTTCAACTCACAGAGTTTAAACTTTCTTTTCATAGAGCAGTTAGGAAACAGTCTGTTTGTAAATTCTGTACGTGGATATTCTGACATCTTGTGGCCTTCGTTGGAAACGGGATTTCTTCATATTCTGCTAGACAGAAGAATTCTCAGTAACTTCCTTGTGTTGTGTGTATTCAACTCACAGAGTTGAACGATCGTTTACACAGAGCAGACTTGAAACACTCCTTTTGTGGAATTTGCAAGTGGAGATTTCAGCCGCGTTGAGGTCAATGGTAGAAAAGGAAATATCTTCGTATAAAAACTAGACAGAATGATTCTCAGAAACTCCTTTGTGATGTGTGCGTTCAACTCACAGAGTTTAACCTTTCTTTTCATAGAGCAGTTAGGAAACACTCTGTTTGTAAAGTCTGCAAGTGGATATTCAGACCTGTTTGAGGCCTTCGTTGGAAACGGGTTTTTTTCATATAAGGCTAGACAGAATTCTCAGTAACTTCCTTGTGTTGTGTGTGTTCAACTCACAGAGTTGAACTTTCATTTACACAGAGCAGATTTGAAACACTCTTTTTGTGGAATTTGCAAGTGGAGATTTCAAGCGCTTTGAGGCCAAAGGCAGAAAGGGAAATATCTTCGTATAAAAACTAGACAGAATCATTCTCAGAAACTGCTCTGCGATGTGTGCGTTCAACTCTCAGAGTTTAACTTTTCTTTTCCTTCAGCAGTTTGGAAACACTCTGTTTGTAAAGTCTGCACGTGGATAATTTGGCCACTTAGAGGCCTTCGTTGGAAACGGGTTTTTTCATGTAAGGCTAGACAGAAGAATTCACAGTAACTTCCTTGTGTTGTGTGCATTCAACTCACATAGTTGAACGTTCCCTTAGACAGAGCAGATTTGAAACACTCTATTTGTGCAATTCGCAACTGTAGATTTCAAGCGCTTTAAGATCAATGGCAGAAAAGGAAATATCTTCGTTTCAAAACTAGACAGAATCATTCCCACAAACTGCGTTGTGATGTGTTCGTTCAACTCACAGAGTTTAACCTTTGTGTTCATAGAGCAGTTAGGAAACACTCTGTTTGTAAAGTCTGTAAGTGGATATTCTGACATCTTGTGGCCTTCGTTGGAAACGGGATTTCTTCATATTCTGCTAGACAGAATAATTCTCAGTAACTTCCTTGTGTTGTGTGTATTCAACTCACAGAGTTGAACGATCCTTTACAGAGAGGAGACTTGAAACACTCTTTTTGTGGAATTTGCAAGTGGAGATTTCAGCCGCTTTGAGGTCAATGGTAGAATAGGAAATATCTTCCTATAGAAACTAGACAGAATAATTCTCAGAAACTCCTTTGTGATGTGTGTGTCCAACTCACAGAGTTTAACCTTTCTTTTCATAGAGCAGTTAGGAAACACTCTGTTTGTAAAGTCTGCAAGAGGATATTCAGACCTCTTTGAGGCCTTCGTTGGAAACGGGTTTTTTTCATATAAGGCTAGACAGAATAATTCTCAGTAACTTCCTTGTGTTGTGTGTATTCAACTCACAGAGTTGAAGGATCCTTTACAGAGAGCAGGCTTGAAACACGCTTTTTGTCGAATTTGCAAGTGGAGATTTCAGCCGCTTTGAGGTCAATGGTAGAATAGGAAATATCTTCTTATAGAAACTAGACAGAATCATTCTCAGAAACTGCTCTGCGATGTGTGCGTTCAACTCTCAGAGTTTAACTTTTCTTTTCATTCAGCAGTGTGGAAACACTCTGTTTGTAAAGTCTGCACGTGGATATTTTGACCGCTTAGAGGCCTTCGTTGGAAACGGGTTTTTTTCCTGTAAGGCTAGACAGAAGAATTCCCAGTAACTTCCTTGTGTTGTGTACATTCAACTCACAGAGTTGAACGTTCCCTTAGACAGAGCAGATTTGAAACACTCTTTTTGTGCAATTGGCAAATGGAGATTTCAAGCGCTTTAAGGTCAATGGCAGAAAAGGAAATATCTTCGTTTCAAAACGAGACAGAATCATTCCCACAAACTGCGTTGTGATGTGTTCGTTCAACTCACAGAGTTTAACCTTTCTGTTCATAGAGCAGTTAGGAAACACTCTGTTTGTAAAGTCTGCAAGTGGATATTCAGACCTCCTTGAGGTCTTCGTTGGAAACGGGATTTCTTCATATTCTGCTAGACAGAAGAATTCTCAGTAACTTCCTTGTGTTGTGTGTATTCACCTCACAGAGTTGAACGATCCTTTACACAGAGCAGACTTGTAACACTCTTTTTGTGGAATTTGCAAGTGGTGATTTCAGCCGCTTTGAAGTCAAAGGTAGAAAAGGAAATATCTTCCTATAAAAACTAGACAGAGTGATTCTCAGAAACTCCTTTGTGATGTCTGCGTTCAACTCACAGAGTTTAAACTTTCTTTTCACAGAGCAGTTAGGAAACACTCTGTTTGTAAAGTCTGCAAGTGGATATTCAGACCTCCTTGAGGCCTTCGTTGGAAACGGGATTTCTTCATATTCTGCTATACAGAAGAATTCCCAGTAACTTCCTTGTGTTGTGTGTGTTCAACTCACAGAGCTGAACTTTCATTTACACAGAGCAGATTTGAAACACTCTTTTTGTGGAATTTGCAAATGGAGATTTCAAGCGCTTTGAGGCCAAAGGCAGAAAAGGAAATATCTTCGTTTCAAAACTAGACAGAATCATTCTCAGAAACTGCTGCGTGATGTGTGCGTTCAACTCTCAGAGTTTAACTTTTCTTTTCATTCAGCGGTTTGGAAACACTGTGTTTGTAAAGTCTGCACGTGGATATTTTGACCACTTAGAGGCCTTCGTTGGAAACGGGTTGTTTTCATGTAAGGCTAGACAGAAGAATTCCCAGTAACTTCCTTGTGTTGTGTGCATTCAACTCACAGAGTTGAACGTTCCCTTAGACAGAGCAGATTTGAAACACTCTATTTGTGCAATTTGCAAGTGTAGATTTCAAGCGCTTTAAGGTCAATGGCAGAAAAGGAAATATCTTCGTTTCAAAACTAGACAGAATGATTCTCAGAAACTTCTTTGTGATGTGTGCGTTCAACTCACAGAGTTTAACCTTTCTTTTCATAGAGCAGTTAGGAAACACTCTGTTTGTAAAGTCTGCAAGTGGATATTCAGACCTCTTAGAGGCCTTCGTTGGAAACGGTATTTCTTCATACTCTAGACAGAAGAATTCTCAGTAACTTCCTTGTGTTGTGTGCTTTCAACTCACAGAGTTGAACGATCCTTTACACAGAGCAGATTAGAAACACTCTTTTTGTGGAATTTGCAAGTGGAGATTTCAGCCGCTTTGAGGTCAATGGTAGAAAAGGAAATATCTTCGTATAGAAACTAGACAGAATGATTCTCAGAAACTCCTTTGTGATGTGTGCGTTCAACTCACAGAGTTTAACCTTTCTTTTCATAGAGCAGTTAGGAAACACTCTGTTTGTAATGTCTGCAAGTGGATATTCAGACATCCTTGAGGCTTTCGTTGGAAACGGGATTTCTTCATATTCTGCTAGAAAGAAGAATTCTCAGTAACTTCCTTGTATTGTGTGTATTCAACTGACAGAGTTGAACTTTCATGTAGAGAGAGCAGATTTGAAACACTGTTTTTGTGGAATTTGCAAGTGGAGATTTCAAGCGCTTTGGGGCCAAAGGCAGAAAAGGAAATATCTTCGTATAAAACTAGACAGAATCATTCTCAGAAACTGCTGTGTGATGTGTGCGTTCAACTCTCAGAGTTTAACTTTTCTTTTCATTCAGCGGTTTGGAAACACTCTGTTTGTAAAGTTTGCACGTGGAAATTTTGACCACTTAGAGGCCTTCGTTGGAAACGGGTTTTTTTCATGTAAGGCTCGACAGAAGAATTCCCAGTAACTTCCTTGTGTTGTGTGCATTCAACTCACAGAGTTGAACGTTCCCTTAGACAGAGCAGATTTGAAACACTCTATTTGTGCAATTTGCAAGTGTAGATTTCAAGCGCTTTAAGGTCAATGACAGAAAAGGAAATATTCTTCGTTTCAAAACTAGACAGAATCATTCCCACAAACTGCGTTGTGATGTGATCGTTCAACTCACAGAGTTTAACCTTTCTGTTCATAGAGCAGTTAGGAAACACTCTGTTTGTAAAGTCTGTAAGTGGATATTCTGACATCTTGTGGCCTTCGTTGGAAACGGGATTTCTTCATATTCTGCTGGACAGAAGAATTCTCAGTAACTTCCTTGTGTTGTGTGTATTCAACTCACAGACTTGAACGATCCTTTACAGAGAGCAGACTTGAAACACTCTTTTTGTGGAATTTGCAAGTGGAGATTTCAGCCGCTTTGAGCTCAATGGTAGAATAGGAAATATCTTCCTATAGAAACTAGACAGAATGATTCTCAGAAACTCCTTTGTGATGTGTGCGTTCAACTCACAGAGTTTAACCTTTCTTTTCATAGAGCAGTTAGGAAACTCTCTGCTTGTAAAGTCTGCAAGTGGATATTCAGCCCTCTTTGAGGCCTTCGTTGGAAACGGGTTTTTTTCATATAGGGCTAGACAGAAGAATTCCCAGTAACTTCCTTGTGTTGTGTGTGTTCAACTCACAGAGTTGAACTTTGATTTACACAGAGCAGATTCGAAACACTCTTTTTGTGGAATTTGCAAGTGGAGATTTCAAGCGCTTTGAGGCCAAAGGCAGAAAAGGAAATATTCTTCGTATAAAAACTAGACAGAATCATTCTCAGAAACCGCTCTGTGATGTGTGCGTTCAACTCTCAGAGTTTAACTTTTCTTTTCATTCAGCAGTTTGGAAACACTCTGTTTGTAAAGTCTCCACGTGGATATTTTGACCACTTAGAAGCCTTCGTTGGAAACGTGTTTTTTTTCATGTAAGGCTAGACAGAAGAATTCCCAGTAACTTCCTTTTGTTGTGTGCATTCAACTCACAGAGATGAACGTTCCCTTCGACAGAGCAGATTTGAAACACTCTATTTGTGCAATTTGCAAGTGTAGATTTAAAGCGCTTTAAGGTCAATGGCAGAAAAGGAAATATCTTCGTTTCAAAACTAGACAGAATCATTCCCACAAACTGCGTTGTGATGTGTTCGTTCAACTCACAGAGTTTAACCTTTCTGTTCATAGAGCAGTGAGGAAACACTCTGTTTGTAAAGTCTGTAAGTGGATATTCTGACATCTTGTGGCCTTCGTTGGAAACGGGATTTCTTCATATTCTGCTAGACAGAAGAATTCTCAGTAACTTCTTTGTGTTGTGTGTATTCAACTCACAGAGTTGAACGATCCTTTATACAGAGCAGACTTGAAACACTCTTTTTGTGGAATTTGCAAGTGGAGATTTCAGCCGCTTTGAGGTCAATGGTAGAACAGGAAATATCTTCCTATAGAAACTAGACAGAATGATTCTCAGAAACTCCTTTGTGATGTGTGCATTCAACTCACAGAGTTTAACCTTTCTTTTCATAGAGCAGTTAGGAAACACTCTGTTTGTAAAGTCTGCAAGTGGATATTCAGAACTCCTTGAGGACTTCGTTGGAAACGGGATTTCTACATATTATGCTAGACAGAAGAATTCTCAGAAACTTCCTTGGGTTGTGTGTATTCAACTCACAGAGTTGAACGATCGTTTACACAGAGCAGACTTGAAACACTCTTTTTGTGGAATTTGCAAGTGGAGATTTCAGCCGCTTTGAGGTCAATGGTAGAAAAGGAAATATCTTTGTATAAAAACTAGACAGAATGATTCTCAGAAACTCCTTTGTGATGTGTGCGTTCAACTCACAGAGTTTAACCTTTCTTTTCATAGAGCAGTTAGGAAACACTCTGCTTGTAAAGTCTTCAAGTGGATATTCAGCCCTCTTTGAGGCCTTCGTTGGAAACGGGTTTTTTTCATATAAGGCTAGACAGAAGAATTCCCAGTAACTTCCTTGTGTTGTGTGTGTTCAACTCACAGAGTTGAACTTCCATTTACACAGAGCAGATTTGAAACACTCTTTTTGTGGAATTTGCAAGTGGAGATTTCAAGCGCTTTGAGGCCAAAGGCAGAAAAGGAAATATCTTTCGTTTCAAAACTAGACAGAATCATTCTCAGAAACTGTTCTGTGATGTGTGCGTTCAACTCTCAGAGTTTAACTTTTCTTTTCATTCAGCAGTTTGGAAACACTCTGTTTGTAAAGTCTGCACGTGGATAATTTGACCACTTAGAGGCCTTCGTTGGAAACGGGTTTTTTTCATGTAAGGCTAGACAGAAGAATTCCCGGTAACTTCCTTGTGTTGTGTGTATTCAACTCACAGAGTTGAACGTTCAGTTAGACAGAGCAGATTTGAAACACTCTTTTTGTGCAATTTGGAAGTGGAGATTTCAGCCACTTTGAGGTCAATGGCAGGAAAGGAAATATCTTCTTTTCAAAACTATACAGAATGTTTCTCAGTAAGTTCTTTGTGATGTGTGCGTTCAACTCACAGGGTTTAACCTTTCTTTTCATAGAGCAGTTAGAAAGCACTCTGTTTGTAAAGTCTTCAAGTGGATATTCAGACCTCTTTTAGGCCCTCGTTGGAAACGAGATTTCTTCATATTATGCTAGACAGAAGAATTCTCAGTAACTTCCTTGTGTTGTGTGTATTCAACACACAGAGTTGAACGATCCTTTACACAGAGCAGACTTGAAACACTCTTTTTGTGGAATTTGCAAGTGGAGATTTCAGCCGCTTTGAGGTCAATGGTAGAAAAGGAAGTATCTTCGTATAAAAACCAGACAGAATGATTCTCAGAAACTCCTTTGTGATGTGTGCGTTCAACTCACAGAGTTTAACCTTTCTTTTCATAGAGCAGTTAGAAAACACTCTGTTTGTAAAGTCTGCAAGTGGATATTCAGACCTCTTTGAGGCCTTCGTTAGAAACGGGATTTCTTCATATTCTGCTAGACAGAAGAATTCCCAGTAACTTCCTTGTGTTGTGTGTGTTCAACTCACAGAGTTGAACTTTCATTTACACAGAGCAGATTTGAAACACTCTTTTTGTGAAATTTGCAAGTGGAGATTTCAAGCGCTTTGAGGCCAAAGGCAGAAAAGGAAATATCTTCGTTTCAAAACTAGACAGAATCATTCTCAGAAACTGCTGTGTGATGTGTGCAGTTCAACTCTCAGAGTTTAACTTTTCTTTTCATTCAGCGGTTTGGAAACACTCTGTTTGTAAAGTCTGCACGTGGATATTTTGACCACTTAGAGGCCTTCGTTGGAAACGGGATTTTTTCATGTAAGGCTAGACAGAAGAATTCCCAGTAACTTCCTTGTGTTGTGTGCATTCAACTCACAGAGACGAACGTTCCCTTAGACAGAGCAGATTTGAAACACTCTATTGGTGTAATTTGCAAGTGTAGATTTCAAGCGCTTTAAGGTCAATGGCAGAAAAGGAAATATCTCCGTTTCAAAACTAGACAGAATGATTCTGAGAAACTCCTTTGTGATGTGTGCGTACAACTCACAGAGTTTAACCTTTCTTTTCATAGAGCAGATAGGAAACACTCTGTTTGTAAAGTCTGCAAGTGGATATTCAGACCTCCTTGAGGCCTTCGTTGGAAACGGCTTTTCTTCCTATTATGCTAGACAGAAGAATTCTCAGTAACTTCCTTGTGTTGTGTGTATTCAACTCACAGAGTTGAATGATCCTTTACACAGAGCAGACTTGAAACACTCTTTTTGTGGAATTTGCAAGTGGAGATTTCAGCCGCTTTGAGTTCAATGGTAGAATAGGAAAAATCTTCCTATAGAAACTAGACAGAATGATTCTCAGAAACTTCTTTGTGATGTGTGCGTTCAACTCACCGAGTTTAACCTTTCTTTTCATAGATCAGTTAGGAAACACTCTGTTTGTAAACTCTGCAAGTGGATATTCAGACCTCTTGGAGGCCTTCGTTGGAAACGGGATTTCTTCATACTATGCTAGACAGAAGAATTCTCAGAAACTTCCTTGTGTTGTGTGTATTCAACTCACAGAGTTGAACGATCCTTTACACAGAGCAGACTTGAAACACTCTTTTTGTGGAATTTGCAAGTGGAGATTTCAGCCGCTTTGTGGTCAATGGTAGAAAAGGAAATATCTTCGTATAGAAACTAGACAGAATGATTCTCAGAAACTCCTTTGTGATGTGGGCGTTGAACTCACAGAGTTTAACCTTTCTTTTCATAGAGCAGTTAGGAAACACTCTGTTTGTAAAGTCTGCACATGGATATTTTGACCACTTAGAGGCCTTCGTTGGAAACGTGTTTTTTTCATGTAAGGCTAGACAGAAGAATTCCCAGTAATTTCCTTGTGTTGTGTGCAGTCAACTCACAGAGTTCAACGTTCCCTTAGACAGAGCAGATTTGAAACACTCTATTTGTGCAATTTGCAAGTGTAGATTTCAAGCGCTTTAAGGTCAATGGCAGAAAAGGAAATATCTTCGTTTCAAAACTAGACAGAATCATTCCCACAAACTGCGTTGTGATGTGTTCGTTCAACTCACAGAGTTTAACCTTTCTTTTCATAGAGCAGTTAGGAAACACTCTGTTGTAAATTCTGTAAGTGGATATTCTGACATCTTGGGGCCTTCGTTGGAAACGGGATTTCTTCATATTCTGCTAGACAGAATAATTCTCAGTAACTTCCTTGTGTTGTGTGTATTCAACTCACAGATTTGAACGATCCTTTACAGAGAGCAGACTTGAAACACTCTTTTTGTGGAATTTGCAAGTGGAGATTTCAGCCGCTTTGAGGTCAATGTTAGAAAAGGAAATATCTTCGTATAAAGACTAGACAGAATGATTCTCAGTAAACTCCTTTGTGATGTGTGTGTTCAACTCACAGTATTTTAACCTTTCTTTTCATAGAGCAGTTAGGAAACACTCTGTTTGTAAAGTCTGCAAGTGGATACTCATACCTCTTTGAGGCCTTCGTTGGAAACGGGTTTTTTTCATATAAGGCTAGACAGAAGAATTCTCAGTAACTTCCTTGTGTTGTGTGTATTCAACTGACAGAGTTGAACTTTCATTAAGAGAGAGCAGATTTGAAACACTGTTTTTGTGGAATTTGCAAGTGGAGATTTCAAGCGCTTTGGGGCCAAAGCAGAAAAGGAAATATCTTCGTATAAAAACTAGACAGAATCGTTCTCAGAAACTGCTCTGCGATGTGTGCGTTCAACTCTCAGAGTTTAACTTTTCTTTTCATTCAGCAGTTTGGAAACACTCTGTTTGTAAAGTCTGCACGTGGATAATTTGACCACTTAGAGGCCTTCGTTGGAAACAGGTTTTTTTCATGTAAGGCTAGACAGAAGAATTCCCAGTAACTTCCTTGTGTTGTGTGCATTCAACTCACAGAGTTGAACGTTCCCTTAGACAGAGCAGATTTGAAACACTCTATTTGTGCAATTTGCAAGTGTAGATTTCAAGCGCATTAAGGTCAATGGCAGAAAAGGAAATATCTTCGTTTCAAAATTAGACAGAATCATTCCCACAAACTGCGTTGTGATGTGTTCGTTCAACTCACAGAGTTTAACCTTTCTGTTCATAGAGCAGTTAGGAAACACTCTGTTTGTAAAGTCTGCAAGTGGATATTCAGACCTCCTTGAGGCCTTCGTTGGAAGCGGGATTTCTTCATATTCTGCTAGACAGAAGAATTCCCAGTAACTTCCTTGTGTTGTGTGTGTTCAACTCACAGAGTTGAACTTTCATTTACACAGAGCAGATTTGAAACACTCTTTTTGTGGAATTTGCAAATGGAGTTTTCAGCCGCGTTGAGGTCAATGGTAGAAAAGGAAATATCTTCGTTTCAAAACTAGACAGAATGATTCTCAGAAACTCCTTTGTGATGTGTCTGTTCAACTCACAGAGTTTAACATTTCTTTTCATAGAGCAGTTAGGAAACACTCTGTTTGTAAAGTCTGCAAGTGGATATTCAGACCTCTTTGAGGCCTTCGTTGGAAACGGGTTTTTTTCATATAAGGCTAGACAGAAGAATTCTCAGTAACTTCCTTGTGTTGTGTGTATTCAACTGACAGAGATGAACTTTCATTTAGAGAGAGCAGATTTGAAACACTGTTTTTGTGGAATTTGCAAGTGGTGATTTCAAGCGCTTTGGGGCCAAAGGCAGAAAAGGAAATATCTTCGTATAAAAACTAGACAGAATCATTCTAAGAAACTGCTCTGCGATGTGTGTGTTCAACTCTCAGAGTTTAACTTTTCTTTTCCTTCAGCAGTTTGGAAACACTCTGTTTGTAAAGTCTGCACGTGGATAATTTGACCACTTAGAGGCCTTCGTTAGAAACGGGTTTTTTTCATGTAAGGCTAGACAGAAGAATTCCCGGTAACTTCTTTGTGTTGTGTGCATTCAACTCACAGAGTTGAACGTTCCTTTAGACAGAGCAGATTTGAAACACTCTTTTTGTGCAATTTGCAAGTGGAGATTTCAAGCGCTTTAAGGTCAATGGCAGAAAAGGAAATAACTTCGTTTCAAAACTAGACAGTATCATTCCCACAAACTGCGTTGTGATGTGTTCGCTCAACTCACAGAGTTTAACCTTTCTTTTCATAGAGCAGTTAGGAAACAGTCTGTTTGTAAATTCTGTAAGTGGATATTCTGACATCTTGTGGCCTTCGTTGGAAACGGGATTTCTTCATATTCTGCTAGACAGAAGAATTCTCAGTAACTTCCCTTGTGTTGTGTGTATTCAACTCACAGAGTTGAACGATCCTTTACAGAGAGCAGACTTGAAACACTCTTTTTGTGGAATTTGCAAGTGGAGATTTCAGCCGCTTTGAGGTCAATGGTAGAAAAGGAAATATCTTCCTATAAAGACTAGACAGAATGATTCTCAGAAACTCCTTTGTGATGTGTGCGTTCAACTCACAGAGTTCAACCTTTCTTTTCATAGAGCAGTTGGGAAACGCTCTGTTTGTAAAGTCTGCAAATGGATATTCAGACTTCTTTGAGGCCTTCGTTGGAAGCAGGATTTCTTCATATTCTGCTAGACAGAAGAATTCTCAGTAACTTCCTTGTTTTGTGTGTATTCAACTGACAGAGTTGAACTTTCGTTTAGAGAGAGCAGATTTGAAACACTGTTTTTGTGGAATTTGCAAGTGGAGATTTCAAGCGCTTTGGGGCCAAAGGCAGAAAAGGAAATATCTTCGTATAAAAACTAGACAGAATCATTCTCAGAAAATGCTTTGTGATGTGTGCGTTCAACTCTCAGAGTTTAACTTTTGTTTTCATTCAGCAGTTTGGAAACACTCTGTTTGTAAAGTCTGCACGTGGATATTTTGACCACTTAGAGGCCTTCGTTGGAAACGGGTTTTTTTCATGTAAGGGTAGACAGAAGAATTCCCAGTAACTTCCTTGTGTTGTGTGCATTCAACTCACAGAGTTGAACATTCCCTTAGACAGAGCAGATTTGAAACACACTATTTGTGCAATTTGCAAGTGTAGATTTCAAGCGCTTTAAGGTCAATGGCAGAAAAGGAAATATCTTCGTTTCAAAACTAGACAGAATGATTCTCAGAAACTCCTTTGTGATGTGTGCGTTCAACTCACATAGTTGAACCTTTCTTTTCATAGAGCAGTTAGGAAACACTCTGTTTGTAAAGTCTGTAAGTGGATATTCAGACATCTTTGAGGCTTTCGTTGGAAACGGGATTTCTTCATATTCTGCTATACAGAAGAATTCTCAGTAACTTCCTTGTGTTGTGTTTATTCAACTCACAGGAGTTGAATGATCCTTTACACAGCAGCAGACTTGAAACACTCTTTTTGTGGAATTTGCAAGTGGAGATTTCAGCCGCTTTGTGGTCAATGGTAGAAAAGGAAATATCTTCGTATAAAGACTAGACAGAATGATTCTCAGAAACTCCTTTGTGATGTGTGCGTTCAACTCACAGAGTTTAACCTTTCTTTTCATAGAGCAGTTAGGAAACACTCTGTTTGTAAAGTCTGCAAGTGGATATTCAGACCTCTTTGAGGCCTTCGTTGGAAACGGGATTTCTTCATATTCTGCTGGACAGAAGAATTCTCAGTAACTTTCCTTGTGTTGTGTGTATTCAACTCACAGAGTTGAACGATCCTTTACACAGAGCAGACTTCAAACACTCTTTTTGTGGAATTTGCAAGTGGAGATTTCAGCCGCTTTGAGGTCAATAGTAGAAAAGGAAATATCTTCGTAGAAAAACTAGGCAGAAATCATTCTCAGAAACTGCTCTGCGATGTGTGCGTTCAACTCTCAGGAGTTTAACTTTTCTTTTCATTCAGCAGTTTGGAAACACTCTGTTTGTAAAGTCTGCACGTGGATATTTTGACCACTTAGAGGCCTTCGTTGGAAACGGGTTTTTTTCCTGTAAGGCTAGACAGAAGAATTCCCAGTAACTTCCTTGTGTTGTGTACATTCATCTCACAGAGTTGAACGTTCCCTTAGACAGAGCAGATTTGAAACACTCTTTTTGTGCAATTGGCAAATGGAGATTTCAAGCGCTTTAAGGTCAATGGCAGAAAAGGAAATATCTTCGTTTCAAAACTAGACAGAATCATTCCCACAAACTGCGTTGTGATGTGTTCGTTCAACTAACAGAGTTTAACCTTTCTTTTCATAGAGCAGTTAGGAAACAGTCTGTTTGTAAATTCTGTATGTGGATATTCTGACATCTTGTGGCCTTCGTTGGAAACGGGATTTCTTCATATTCTGCTTGACAGAAGAATTCTCAGAATCTTCCTTGTGTTGTGTGTATTCAACTCACAGAGTTGAATGATGGTTTACACAGAGCAGATTTGAAACACTCATTTGGTGGAATTTGCAAGTGGAGATTTCAGCCGCTTTGAGGTCAATGGTAGAAAAAGAAATATCTTCGTATAACAACTAGACAGAATGATTCTCAGAAACTCCTTTGTGATGTGTGCGTTCAACTCACAGAGTTTAACCTTTCTTTTCATAGAGCAGTTAGGAAACACTCTTTCTGAAAAGTCTGCAAGTGGATATTCAGACCTCTTTGAGGCCTTCGTTGGAAACGGGATTTCTTCATATTCTGCTAGACAGAGGAATTCCCAGTAACTTCCTTGTGTTGTGTGTGTTCAACTCACAGAGTTGAACTTTCATTTACACAGAGCAGATTTGAAACACTCTTTTTGTGGAATTTGCAAGTGGAGATTTCAAGCGCTTTGAGGCCAAAGGCAGAAAAGGAAATATCTTCGTTTCAAAACTAGACAGAATCATTCTCAGAAACTGCTGCATGATGTGTGCGTTCAACTCTCAGAGTTTAACTTTTCTTTTCATTCAGCGGTTTGGAAACACTCTGTTTGTAAAGTCTGCACGTGGATATTTTGACCACTTAGAGGCCTTCGTTGGAAACAGGTTTTTTGCATGTAAGGCTAGACAGAAGAATTTCCAGTAAATTCCTTGTGTTGTGTACATTCAACTCACAGAGTTGAACGTTCCCTTAGACAGAGCAGATTTGAAACACTCTTTTTGTGCAATTGGCAAGTGGAGATTTCAAGCGCTTTAAGGTCAATGGCAGAAAAGGAAATATCTTCGTTTCAAAACTAGACAGAATCATTCCCACAAACTGCGTTGTGATGTGTTCGTTCAACTCACAGAGTTTAACCTTTCTGTTCATAGAGCAGTTAGGAAACACTCTGTTTGTAAAGTCTGCAAGTGGATATTCAGACCTCTTTGAGGCCTTCGTTGGAAACGGGATTTCTTCATATTCTGCTAGACAGAAGAATTCTCAGAATCTTCCTTGTGTTGTGTGTATTCAACTCACAGAGTTGAACGATCCTTTACACAGAGCAGACTTGATGCACTCTTTTTGTGGAATTTGCAAGTGGAGATTTCAGCCGCTTTGAGGTCCATGGTAGAAAAGGAAATATCTTCGTATAAAAACTAGACAGAATGATTCTCAGAAACTTCTTTGTGATGTGTGCGTTCAACTAACAGAGTTTAACATTTCTTTTCATAGAGCAGTTAGGAAACACTCTGTTTGTAAACTCTGCAAGTGGATATTCAGACCTCTTTGAGGCCTTCGTTGGAAACGGGATTTCTTCATACTGTGCTAGACAGAAGGATTCCCAGTAACTTCCTTGTGTTGTGTGTGTTCAACTCACAGAGTTGAACTTTCATTTACAATGAGCAGATTTGAAACACTCTTTTTGTGGAATTTGCAAGTGGAGATTTCAAGCGCTTTGAGGCCAAAGGCAGAAAAGGAAATATCTTCGTATAAAAACTAGACAGAATCATTCTCAGAAACTGCTCTGCGATGTGTGCGTTCAACTCTCAGAGTTTAACTTTTCTTTTCATTCAGCAGTTTGGAAACACTCTGTTTGTAAAGTCTGCACGTGCATAATTTGACCACTTAGAGGCCTTCGTTGGAAACAGGTTTTTTTCATGTAAGGCTAGACAGAAGATTCCCAGTAACTTCCTTGTGTTGTGTACATTCAACTCACAGAGTTGAACGTTCCCTTAGACAGAGCAGATTTGAAACACTCTTTTTGTGCAATTGGCAAATGGAGATTTCAAGCGCTTTAAGGTCAATGGCAGAAAAGGAAATATCTTCGTTTCAAAACTAGACAGAATCATTCCCACAAACTGCGTTGTGATGTGTTCGTTCAACTCACAGGGTTTAACCTTTCTATTCATAGAGCAGTTAGGAAACACTCTGTTTGTAAAGTCTGTAAGTGGATATTCTGACATCTTGTGGCCTTCGTTGGAAACGGGATTTCTTCACATTCTGCTAGACAGAAGAATTCTCAGTAACTTCCTTGTGTTGTGTTTATTCAACTCACAGAGTTGAATGATCCTTTACACAGAGCAGACTTGAAACACTGTTTTTGTGGAATTTGCAAGTGGAGATTTCAGCCGCTTTGAAGTCAATGGTAGAAAAGTAAATATCTTCGTATAAAGACTAGACAGAATGATTCTCAGAAACTTCATTGTGATGTGTGCGTTCAACTCACAGAGTTTAACCTTTCTTTTCATAGAGCAGTTAGGAAACACTCTGTTTGTAAACTCTGCAAGTGGATATTCAGACCTCTTTGAGGCCTTCGTTGGAAACGGGTTTTTTCATGTAAGGCTAGACAGAAGAATTCCCAGTAACTTCCTTGTGTTGTGTGTGTTCAACTCACAGAGTTGAACTTTCAGTTACACAGAGCAGATTTGAAACACTCTTTTTGTGGACTTTGCAAATGGAGATTTCAAGCGCTTTGAGGCCAAAGGCAGAAATGGAAATATCTTCGTATAAAAACTAGACAGAATCATTCTCAGAAACTGCTCTGCGATGTGTGCGTTCAACTCTCAGAGTTTAACTTTTCTTTTCATTCAGCAGTTTGGAAACACTCTGTTTGTAAAGTCTGCACGTGGATAACTTGACCACTTAGAGGCCTTCGTTGGAAACGGGTTTTTTTCCTGTAAGGCTAGACAGAAGAATTCCCAGTAACTTCCTTGTGTTGTGTGCATTCAACTCACAGAGTTGAACGTTCCCTTAGACAGAGCAGATTTGAAACACTCTATTTCTGCAATTTGCAAGTGTAGTTTTCAAGCACTTTAAGGTCAACGGCAGAAAAGGAAATATCTTCGTTTCAAAACTAGACAGAATCATTCCCACAAACTGCGTTGTGATGTGCTCGTTCATCTCACAGAGTTTAACCTTTCTTTTCATAGAGCAGTTTGGAAACAGTCTGTTTGTAAATTCTGTAAGTGGATATTCTGACATCTTGTGGCCTTCGTTGGAAACGGGATTTCTTCATATTCTGCTAGACAGAAGAATTCTCAGTAACTTCCTTGTGTTGTGTGTATTCAACTCACAGAGTTCAACGATCCTTTACACAGAGCAGACTTGAAACACTCTTTTTGTGGAATTTGCAAGTGGAGATTTCAGCCGCTTTGAGGTCAATGGTAGAAAAGGAAATATCTTCGTATAAAAACTAGACAGAATGATTCTCAGAAACTCCTTTGTGATGTGTGCGTTCAACTCACAGAGTTTAACCTTTCTTTTCATAGAGCAGTTGGGAAACACTCTGTTTGTAAAGTCTGCAAGTGGATATTCAGACTTCCTTTGAGGCCTTCGTTGGAAGCGGGATTTCTTCATGTTCTGCTAGACAGAAGAATTCCCAGTAACTTCCTTCTGTTGTGTGTGTTCAACTCACAGAGTTGAACTTTCATTTACACAGAGCAGATTTGAAAAACTCTTTTTGTGGAATTTGCAAGTGGAGATTTCAAGCGCTTTGAGGCCAAAGGCAGAAAAGGAAATATCTTCGTATAAAAACTAGACAGAATCATTCTTAGAAACTGCTCTGCGATGTGTGTGTTCAACTCTCAGAGTTTAACTTTTCTTTTCATTCAGCAGTTTGGAAACACTCTGTTTGTAAAGTCTGCACGTGGATATTTTCACCACTTAGAGGCCTTCGTTGGAAACGGGTTTTTTTCCTGTAAGGCTAGACAGAAGAATTCCCAGTAACTTCCTTGTGTTGTGTGCATTCAACTCACAAAGTTGAACGTTCCCTTAGACAGAGCAGATTTGAAACACTCTATTTGTGCAATTTGCAAGTGTAGATTTCAAGCGCTTTAAGGTCAACGGCAGAAAAGGAAATATCTTCGTTTCAAAACTAGACAGAATCATTCCCACAAACTGCGTTGTGATGTGCTCGTTCAACTCACAGAGTTTAACCTTTCTTTTCATAGAGTAGTTAGGAAACAGTCTGTTTGAAAATTCTGTAAGTGGATATTCTGACATCTTGTGGCCTTCGTTGGAAACGGGATTTCTTCATATTCTGCTAGACAGAAGAATTCTCAGTAACTTCCCTTGTGTTGTGTGTATTCAACTCACAGAGTTGAACGATCCTTTACACAGAGCAGACTTGAAACACTCTTTTTGTGGAATTTGCAAGAGGAGATTTCAGCCGCTTTGAGGTCAATAGTAGAAAAGGAAATATCTTCGTAGAAAAACTAGACAGAATGATTCTCAGAAACTCCTTTGTGATGTGTGCGTTCAACTCACAGAGTTTAACCTTTCTTTTCATAGAGCAGTTAGGAAACACTCTGTTTGTAAAGTCTGCAAGTGGATATTCAGACCTCTTTGAGGCCTTCGTTGGAAACGGGTTTTTGTCATATAAGGCTAGACAGAAGAATTCTCAGTAACTTCCTTGTGTTGTGTGTATTCAACTGACAGGGTTGAACTTTCATTTAGAGAGAGCAGATTTGAAACACTGTTTTTGTGGAATTTGCAAGTGGAGATTTCAGGCGCCTTGGGGCCAAAGGCAGAAAAGGAAATATCTTGGTATAAAAACTAGACAGAATCATTCTCAGAAACTGCTGCGTGATGTGTGCGTTCAACTCTCAGAGTTTAACTTTTCTTTTCATTCAGCGGTTTGGAAACACTCTGTTTGTAAAGACTGCACGTGGATATTTTGACCACTTAGAGGCCTTCGTTGGAAACGGGTTTTCTTCATGTAAGGCTAGACAGAAGAATTCTCAGTAACTTCCTTGTGTTGTGTTTATTCAACTCACAGAGTTGAATGATCCTTTACACAGAGCAGACTTGAAACACTCTTTTTGTGGAATTTGTAAGTGGAGATTTCAGCCGCTTTGAAGTCAATGGTAGAAAAGTAAATATCTTCGTATAAAGACTGGACAGAATGATTCTCAGAAACTCCTTTGTGATGTGTGCGTTCAACTCACAGAGTTTAACCTTTCTGTTCATAGAGCAGTTAGGAAACACTCTGTTTGTAAAGTCTGTAAGTGGATATTCTGACATCTTGTGGCCTTCGTTGGAAACGGGATTTCTTCATATTCTGCTAGACAGAATAATTCTCAGTAACTTCCTTGTGTTGTGTGTATTCAACTCACAGAGTTGAACGATCCTTTACAGAGAGCAGACTTGAAACACTCTTTTTGTGGAATTTGCAAGTGGAGATTTCAGCCGCTTTGAGGTCAAAGGTAGAATAGGAAATATCTTCCTATAGAAACTAGACAGAATGATTCTCATAAACTCCTTTGTGATGTGTGCGTTCAACTCACAGAGTTTAACCTTTCTTTTCATAGAGCAGTTAGGAAACACTCTGTTTGTAAAGTCTGCAAGTGGATATTCAGACCTCTTTGAGGCCTTCGTTGGAAACGGGATTTCTTCATATTCTGCTAGACGGAAGAATTCTCAGTAACTTCCTTGTGTTGTGTGTATTCAACTGACTGAATTGAACTTTCATTTAGAGAGAGCAGATTTGAAACACTGTTTTTGTGGAATTTGCAAGTGGAGATTTCAAGCGCTTTGGGGCCAAAGGCAGAAAAGGAAATATCTTCGTATAAAAACTAGACAGAATCATTCTCAGAAACTGCTCTGCGATGTGTGCGTTCAACTCTCAGAGTTTAACTTTTCTTTTCATTCAGCAGTTTGGAAACACTCTGTTTGTAAAGTCTGCACGTGGATAATTTGACCACTTAGAGGCCTTCGTTAGAAACGGGTTTTTTTCATGTAAGGCTAGACAGAAGAATTCCCAGTAACTTCCTTGTGTTGTGTGCATTCAACTCACAGAGTTGAACGTTCCCTTAGACAGAGCATATTTGAAACACTCTATTTGTGCAATTTGCAAGTGTAGATTTCAAGCGCTTTAAGGTCAATGGCAGAAAAGGAAATATCTTCGTTTCAAAACTAGACAGAATCATTCCCACAAACTGCGTTGTGATGTGTTCGCTCAACTCGCAGAGTTTAACGTTTCTTTTCATAGAGCAGTTAGGAAACAGTCTGTTTGTAAATTCTGTAAGTGGATATTCTGACATCTTGTGGCCTTAGTTGGAAACGGGATTTCTTCATATTCTGCTAGACAGAAGAATTCTCAGAAACTTCCTTGTGTTGTGTGTATTCAACTCACAGAGTTGAACGATCCTTTACACAGAGCAGACTTGAAACACACTTTTTTTGGTATTTTCAAGTGGAGATTTCAGCCAATTTGAGGTAAATGGTAGAAAAGGAAATATCTTCGTATAAAAACTAGACAGAGTGATTCTCAGAAACTCCTTTGTGATGTCTGCGTTCAACTCACAGAGTTTAACCTTTCTTTTCATAGAGCAGTTAGGAAACACTCTGTTTGTAAAGTCTGCAGGTGGATATTCAGACCTCCTTGAGGCCTTCGTTGGAAACGGGATTTCTTCATATTCTGCTATACAGAAGAATTCCCAGTAACTTCCTTGTTTTGTGTGTGTTCAACTCACAGAGTTGAACTTTCATTTACACAGAGCAGATTTGAAACACTCTTTTTGTGGAATTTGCAAATGGAGATTTCAAGCGCTTTGAGGCCAAAGGCAGAAAAGGAAATATCTTCGTATAAAAACTAGACAGAATCATTCTCAGAAACTGCTCTGCGATGTGTGCGTTCAACTCTCAGAGTTTAACTTTGCTTTTCATTCAGCAGTTTGGAAACACTCTGTTTGTAAAATCTGCACGTGGATAATTTGACCACTTAGAGGCCTTCGTTGGAAACGGGTTTTTTTCATGTAAGGCTAGACAGAAGAATTCCCAGTAACTTCCTTCTGTTGCGTACATTCAGCTCACAGAGTTGAACGTTCCCTTAGACAGAGCAGATTTGAAACACTCTTTTTGTGCAATTGGCAAGTGGAGATTTCAAGCGCTTTAAGGTCAGTGGCAGAAAAGGAAATATCTTCGTTTCAAAACTAGACAGAATGATTCTCATAAACTCCTTTGTGATGTGTGCGTTCAACTCACAGAGTTTAACCTTTCTTTTCATAGAGCAGTTAGGAAACACTCTGCTTGTAAAGTCTGCAAGTGGATATTCAGACCTCCTTGAGGCCTTCGTTGGAAACGGGATTTCTTCATATTCTGCTAGACAGAAGAATTCTCAGTAACTTCCTTGTGTTGTGTGTATTCAACTCACAGAGTTGAACGATCCTTTACACAGAGCAGACTTGAAACCCTCTTTTTGTGGAATTTGCAAGTGGAGATTTCAGCCGCTTTGAGGTCAATGGTAGAAAAGGAAACTATCTTCGTATAAAGACTAGACAGAGTGATTCTCAGAAACTCCTTTGTGATGTCTGCGTTCAACTCACAGAGCTTAACCTTTCTTTTCATAGAGCAGTTAAGAAACACTCTGTTTGTAAAGTCTGCAAGTGGATATTCAGACCTCCTTGAGGCCTTCGTTGGAAACGGGATTTCTTCATATTCTGCTATACAGAAGAATTCTCAGAAACTTCCTTGTGTTGTGTGTTTTCAACTCACAGAGTTCAACGATCCTTTACACAGAGTAGACTTGAAACACTCTTTTTGTGGAATTGGCAGGGTGGAGATTTCAGCCGCTTTGAGGTCAATGGTAGAAAAGGAAATATCTTCGTATAAAAACTAGACAGAATGATTCTCAGAAACTCCTTTGTGATGTGTGCGTTCAACTCGCATAGTTTAACCTTTCTTTTCATAGAGCAGTTAGGAAACACTCTGTTTGTAATGTCTGCACGTGGATATTTGGACTTCTTTGAGGCCTTCGTTGGAAACGGGTTTTTTCCATGTAAGGCTAGACAGAAGAATTCCCAGTAACTTCCTTGTGTTGTGTACATTCAACTCACAGAGTTGAACGTTCCCTTAGACAGAGCAGATTTGAAACACTCTTTTTGTGCAATTGGCAAGTGGAGATTTCAAGCGCTTTAAGGTCAATGGCAGAAAACGAAATATCTTCGTTTCAAAACTACACAGAATCATTCCCACAAACGGCGTTGTGATGTGTTCGTTCAACTCACAGAGTTTAACCTTTCTGTTCATAGAGCAGTTAGGAAACACTGTTTGTAAAGTCTGTAAGTGGATATTCTGACATCGTGTGGCCTTCGTTGGAAACGGGATTTCTTCATATTCTGCTAGACAGAATAATTCTCAGTAACTTCCTTGTGTTGTGTGTATTCAACTCACAGAGTTGAACGATCCTTTACACAGAGCAGACTTGAAACATTCTTTTTGTGGAATTTGCAACTGGAGATTTCAGCCGCTTTGAGGTCAATTGTAGAATAGGAAATATCTTCCTATAGAAACTAGACAGAATGATTCTAAGAAACTCCTTTGTGATGTGTGTGTTCAACTCACAGAGATTAACCTTTCTTTTCATAGAGCAGTTAGTAAACACTCTGTTTATAAAGTCTGCAAGTGGATATTCAGACCCCTTTGAGGCCTTCGTTGGAAACGGGATTTCTTCATATTATGCTAGACAGAAGAATTCTCAGTAACTTCCTTGTGTTGTGTGTATTCAACTGACAGAGTTGAACTTTCATTTAGAGAGAGCAGATTTGAAACACTGTTTTTGTGGAATTTGCAAGTGGAGATTTCAAGCGCTTTGGGGCCAAAGGCAGAAAAGGAAATATCTTCGTATGAAAACTAGACAGAATCATTCTCAGAAACTGCTCTGTGATGTGTGCGTTCCACTCTCAGAGTTTAACTTTTCTTTTCATTCAGCAGTATGGAAACACTCTGTTTGTAAAGTCTGCACGTGGATGTTTTGACCACTTAGTGGCCTTCGTTGGAAACGGGTTTTTTTCATGTAAGGCTAGACAGAAGAATTCTCAGTAACTTCCTTGTGTTGTGTGTATTCAACTCACAGAGTTGAATGATCCTTTACACAGAGCAGACTTGTAACACTATTTTTGTGGAATTTGCAAGTGGAGATTTCAGCCACTTTGAAGTCAAAGTAGAAAAGGAAATAACTTCCTATAAAAACTAGACAGAATCATTCCCACAAACTGCGTTGTGATGTGTTTGTTCAACTCTCAGAGTTTAACCTTTCTGTTCATAGAGCAGTTAGGAAACACTCTGTTTGTAAAGTCTGCAAGTGGATATTCTGACATCTTGTTGCCTTCGTTGGAAACGGGATTTCTTCATATTCTGCTAGACAGAAGAATTCTCAGAATCTTCCATGTGTTGTGTGTATTCAACTCACAGAGTTGAACGATCCTTTACACAGAGCAGACTTGAAACACTCTTTTTGTGGAATTTGCAAGTGGAGATTTCAGCCGCTTTGAGGTCCATGGTAGAAAAGGAAATATCTTCGTATAAAAACTAGACAGAATGATTCTCAGAAACTCCTTTGTGATGTGTGTCTGCAACTCACAGAGTTTAACCTTTCTTTTCATAGAGCAGTTAGTAAACACTCTGTTTATAAAGTCTGCAAGTGGATATTCAGACCCCTTTTAGGCCCTCGTTGGAAACGGGATTTCTTCATATTCTGCCAGACAGAAGAATTCCCAGTAACTTCCTTGTGTTGTGTGTGTTCAACTCACAGAGTTGAACTTTCATTTACACAGAGCAGATTTGAAACACTCTTTTTGTGGAATTTGCAAGTGGAGATTTCAAGCGCTTTGAGGCCAAATGCAGAAAAGGAAATATCTTCGTTTCAAAACTAGACAGAAATCATTCTCAGAAACTGCTGTGTGATGTGTGCGTTCAACTCTCAGAGTTTAACTTTTCTTTTCATTCAGCGGTTTGGAAACACTCTGTTTGTAAAGTCTGCACGTGGAAATTTTGACCACTTAGAGGCCTTCGTTGGAAACGGGTTTTTTTCATGTAAGGCTCGACAGAAGAATTCCCAGTAACTTCCTTGTGTTGTGTACATTCAACTCACAGAGTTGAACGTTCCCTTAGACAGAGCAGATTTGAAACACTCTTTTTGTGCAATTGGCAAGTGGTGATTTCAGCCGCTTTGAGGTCAATGGTAGAAAAGGAAATATCTTCGTATAAAAACTAGACAGAATCATTCCCACAAACTGCGTTGTGATGTGTTCGTTCAACTCACAGAGTTTAACCTTTCTTTTCATAGAGCAGTTAGGAAACACTCTGTTGGTAAATTCTGTAAGTGGATATTCTGACATCTTGTGGCCTCCGTTGGAAACGGGATTTCTTCATATTCTGCTAGACAGAAGAATTCTCAGTAACTTCCTTGTGTTGTATGTATTCAACTCACAGAGTTGAACGATCCTTTACACAGAGCAGACTTGAAACACTCTTTTTGTGGAATTTGCAAGTGGAGATTTCAGCCGCTTTGAGGTCAATGGTAGAATAGGAAATATCTTCCTATAGAAACTAGACAGAATGATTCTCAGAAACACCTTTGTGATGTGTGCGTTCAACTCACAGAGTTTAACTTTTCTTTTCATAGAGCAGTTAGGAAACACTCTGTTTGTAAAGTCTGCAAGTGGATATTCAGACCTCTTTGAGGCCTTCGTTGGAAACGGGATTTCTTCATATTCTGCTAGACAGAAGAATTCTCAGTAACTTCCTTGTGTTGTGTGTATTCAACTCACAGAGTTGAATGATCCTTTACACAGAACAGACTTGAAACACTCTTGTTGTGGAATTTGCAAGTGGAGAATTCAGGCGCTTTGAGGTCAACGGTAGAATAGGAAATATCTTCCTATAGAAACTAGACAGAATCATTCTCAGAAACTGCTCTGTGATGTGTGCGTTCAACTCTCAGAGTTTAACTTTTCTTTTCATTCAGCAGTTTGGAAACACTCTGTTTGTAAAGTCTGCACGTGGATATTTTGACCACTTAGAGGCCTTCGTTGGAAACGGGTTTTTTTCCTGTAAGGCTAGACAGAAGAATTCTCAGTAACTTCCTTGTGTTGTGTACATTCAACTCACAGAGTTGAACGTTCCCTTAGACAGAGCAGATTTGAAACACTCTTTTTGTGCAATTGGCAAATGGAGATTTCAAGCGCTTTAAGGTCAATGGCAGAAAAGGAAATATCTTCGTTTCAAAACTAGACAGAATGATTCTCAGAAACTCCTTTGTGATGTGTGCGTTCAACTCACAGAGTTTAACCTTTCTTTTCATAGAGCAGTTAGGAAACACTCTGTTTGTGAAGTCTGCAAGTGGATATTCAGACCTCTTTGAGGCCTTTGTTGGAAACGGGATTTCTTCATATTCTGCTAGACAGAAGAATTCTCAGAAACTTCCTGGTGTTGTGTGTTTTCAACTCACAGAGTTCAACGATCCTTTACACAGAGTAGACTTGAAACACTCTTTTTGTTGAATTGGCAAGTGGAGATTTCAGCCGCTTTGAGGTCAATGGTAGAAAAGGAAATATCTTCGTATAAAAACTAGACAGAGTGATTCTCAGAAACTCCTTTGTGATGTCTGCGTTCAACTCACAGAGTTTAACCTTTCTTTTCATAGAGCAGTTAGGAAACACTCCGTTTGTAAAGTCTGCAAGTGGATATTCAGACCTCCTTGAGGCCTTCATTGGAAACCGGATTTCTTCATATTTTGCTATACAGAAGAATTCTCAGTAACTTCCTTGTGTTGTGTGTATTCAACTGACAGAGTTGAACTTTCATTTAGAGAGAGCAGATTTGAAACACTGTTTTTGTGGAATTTGCAAGGGGAGATTTCAAGCGCTTTGGGGCCAAAGGCAGAAAAGGAAATATCTTCGTATAAAAACTAGACAGAATCATTCTCAGAAACTGCTCTGCGATGTGTGCGTTCAACTCTCAGAGTTTAACTTCTCTTTTCATTCAGTAGTTTGGAAAAACTCTGTTTGTAAAGTCTGCACGTGGATAACTTGACCACTTAGAGGCCTTCGTTGGAAACGGGTTTTTTTCATGTAAGGCTAGACAGAAGAATTCTCAGTAACTTCCTTGTGTTGTGTGTATTCAACTGACAGAGTTGAACGATCCTTTACACAGAGCATACTTGAAACACTCTTCTTGTGGAATTTGCAAGTGGAGATTTCAGCCGCTTTGAGGTCAATGGTAGAATAGGAAATATCTTCGTATAAAAAGTAGACAGAATGATTCTCAGAAACTCCTTTGTGATGTGTGCGTTCAAATCACAGAGTTTAACCTTTCTTTTCATAGAGCAGTTAGGGAACACTCTGTTTGTAAAGTCTGCAAGTGGATATTCAGACCTCCTTGAGGCCTTCGTTGGAAACGGGATTTCTTCATATTCTGCTAGACAGAAGAATTCTCAGTAACTTCCTTGTGTTGTGTGTATTCAACTCACAGATTTGAACGATCCTTTACACAGAGCAGACTTGAAACACTCTTTTTGTGGAATTTGCAAGTGGAGATTTCTGACGCTTTGAGGTCAATGGTAGAATAGGAAATATCTTCCTATAGAAACTAGACAGAATGATTCTGAGAAACTCCTTTGTGATGTGTGCGTTCAACTCACAGAGTTTAACCTTTCTTTTCATAGAGCAGTTAGGAAACACTCTGTTTGTAAAGTGTGCAAGTGGATATTCAGAACTCCTTGAGGCCTTCGTTGGAAACGGGATTTCTTCATATTATGCTAGACAGAAGAATTCCCAGTAACTTCCTTCTGTTGTGTGTGTTCAACTCACAGAGTTGAACTTTGATTTACACAGAGCAGATTTGAAACACTCTTTTTGTGGAATTTGCAAGTGGAGATTTCAAGCGCTTTGAGGCCAAAGGCAGAAAAGGAAATATCTTCGTATAAAAACTAGACAGAATCATTCTCAGAAACTGCTCTGCGATGTGTGCGTTCAACTCTCAGAGCTTAACTTTTCTTTTCATTCAGCAGTTTGGAAACACTCTGTTTCTAAAGTCTGCACGTGGATAACTTGACCACTTAGAGGCCTTCGTTGGAAACGGGTTTTTTTCCTGTAAGGCTAGACAGAAGAATTCCCAGTAACTTCCTTGTGTTGTGTACATTCAACACACAGAGTTGAACGTTCCCTTAGACAGAGCAGATTTGAAACACTCTTTTAGTGCAATTGGCAACTGGAGATTTCAAGCGATTTAAGGTCAATGGCAGAAAAGTAAATATCTTCGTTTCAAAACTAGACAGAATCATTGCCACAAACTGCGTTGTGATGTGTTCGTTCAACCCACAGAGTTTAACCTTTCTGTTCATAGAGCAGTTAGGAAACACTCTGTTTGTAAAGTATGAAAGTGGATATTCTGACATGTTGTGGCCTTCGTTGGAAACGGGATTTCTTCATATTCTGCTAGACAGAAGAATTCTCAGAAACTTCCTTGTGTTGTGTGTTTTCAACTCACAGAGTTGAACGATCCTTTACACAGAGCAGACTTGAAACACTCTTTTTGTGGAATTTGCAAGTGGAGATTTCAGCCGCTGTGAGGTCAATGGTAGAATAGGAAATATCTTCCTATAGAAACTAGACAGAATGATTCTCAGAAACTCCTTTGTGATGTGTGTGTTCAACTCACAGAGTTTAACCTTTCTTTTCATACAGCAGTTAGGAAACACTCTGTTTGTAAATTCTGCAAGTGGATATTTTGACCGCTTTGAGGCCTTCGTTGGAAACGGGTTTTTTTCATGTAAGGCTAGACAGAAGAATTCCCAGTAACTTCCTTGTGTTGTGTGTGTTCAACTCACAGAGTTGAACTTTCATTTACCCAGAGCAGATTTGAAACACTCTTTTTGTGGAATTTGCAAGTGGAGATTTCAAGCACTTTGAGGCCAAAGGCAGAAAAGGAAATATCTTCGTTTCAAAACTAGACAGAATCATTCTCAGAAACTGCTCTGCGATGTGTCCGTTCAACTCTCAGAGTTTAACTTTTCTTTTCATTCAGCAGTTTGGAAACACTCTGTTTGTAAAGTCTGCACGTGGATATTTTGACCACTTAGAGGCCTTCGTTGGAAACGGGTTTTTTTCCTGTAAGGCTAGACAGAAGAATTCCCAGTAACTTCCTTGTGTTGTGTACATTCAACTCACAGAGTTGAACGTTCCCTTAGACAGAGCAGATTTGAAACACTCTTTTTGTGCAATTGGCAAGTGGAGATTTCAAGCGCTTTGAGGTCAATGGCAGAAAAGGAAATATCTTCGTTTCAAAACTAGACAGAATCATTCCCACAAACTGCGTTGTGATGTGTTCGTTCTACTCACAGAGTTTAACCTTTCTTTTCATAGAGCAGTTAGGAAACAGTCTGTTTGAAAATTCTGTAAGGGGATATTCTGACATCTTGTGGCCTTCGTTGGAAACGGGATTTCTTCATATTCTGCTAGACAGAAGAACTCCCAGTAACTTCCTTGTGTTGTGTGTGTTCAACTCACAGAGTTGAACTTTCATTTACACAGAGCAGATTTGAAACACTCTTTTTGTGGAATTTGCAAATGGAGATTTCAGCCGCGTTGAGGTCAATGGTAGAAAAGGAAATATTCTTCGTTTCAAAACTAGACAGAATGATTCTCAGAAACTCCTTTGTGATGTGTGCGTTCAACTCACAGAGTTTAACCTTTCTTTTCATAGACCAGTTAGGAAACACTCTGTTTGTAAAGTCTGCAAGTGGATATTCAGACCTCCTTGAGGCCTTCGTTGGAAGCGGGATTTCTTCATGTTCTGCTAGACAGAAGAATTCTCAGAAACTTCCTTGTGTTGTGTGTTTTCAACTCACAGAGTTGAACGATCCTTTACACAGAGCAGACTTGAAACACTCTTTTTGTGGTATTTGCAAGTGGAGATTTCAGCCGCTTTGAGTTCAATGGTAGAATAGGAAATATCTTCCTATAGAAACTAGACAGAATCATTCCCACAAACTGCGTTGTGATGTGTTCGTTCAACTCACAGAGTTTAACCTTTGTTTTCAGAGAGGAGTTAGGAAACTGTCTGTTTGTAAATTCTGTAAGTGGATATTCTGAAATCTTGTGGCCTTCGTTGGAAACGGGATTTCTTCATATTCTGCTAGACAGAAGAATTCTCAGAATCTTCCTTGTGTTGTGTGTATTCAACTCACAGAGTTTAACGATGGTTTACACAGAGCGGATTTGAAACACTCTTTTTGTGGAATTTGCAAGTGGAGATTTCAGCCGCTTTGAGGTCAATGGTAGAAAAGGAAATATCTTCGTATAAAAACTAGACAGAATGATTCTCAGAAACTTCTTTGTGATGTGTGCGTTCAACTCACAGAGTTTAACCTTTCTTTTCATAGAGCAGTTAGGAAACACTCTGTTTGTAAACTCTGCAAGTGGATATTCAGACCTCTTTGAGGCCTTCTTTGGAAACGGGATTTCTTCATACTGTGCTAGACAGAAGAATTCTCAGTAACTTCCTTGTGTTGTGTGTATTCATCTCACAGAGTTGAACGATCCTTTACACAGAGCGGACTTGAAACACTCTTTTGATGGAATTTGCAAGTGGAGATTTCAGCCGCGTTGAGGTCAATGGTAGAAAAGGAAATATCTTCGTATAAAAACTAGACAGAATGATTCTCAGAAACTTCTTTGTGATGTGTGCGTTCAACTCACAGAGTTTAACCTTTCTTTTCATAGAGCAGTTAGGAAACACTCTGTTTGTAAACTCTGCAAGTGGATATTCAAACCTCTTTGAGGCCTTCGTTGGAAACGGGATTTCTTCATACTATGCTAGACAGAAGAATTCCCAGTAACTTCCTTGTGTTGTGTGTGTTCAACTCACAGAGTTGAACTTTCATTTACACAGAGCAGATTTGCAACACTCTTTTTGTGGAATTTGCAAATGGAGATTTCAAGCGCTTTGAGGCCAAAGCCAGAAAAGGAAATATCTTCGTTTCAAAACTAGACAGAATCATTCTCAGAAACTACTGCGTGATGTGTGCGTTCAACTCTCAGAGTTTAACTTTTCTTTTCATTCAGCGGTTTGGAAACACTCTGTTTGTAAAGTCTGCACGTGGATATTTTGACCACTTAGAGGCCTTCGTTGGAAACGGGTTTTTTTCATGTAAGGCTAGACAGAAGAATTCTCAGAAACTCCCTTGTGTGGTGTGTATTCAACTGACAGGGTTGAACTTTCATTTAGACAGAGCAGATTTGAAACCCTCTTTATGTGGAATTGGCAAGTGGAGATTTCAAGCGCTTTGAGACCAAAGGCAGAAAAGGAAATATCTTCGTTTCAAAACTAGACAGAATCATTCCCACAAACTGCGTTGTGATGTGTTCGTTCAACTCACAGGGTTTAACCTTTCTTTTCATAGAGCAGTTAGGAAACACTCTGTTTGTAAAGTCTGTAAGGGGATATTCTGACATCTTGTGGCCTTCGTTAGAAACGGGATTTCTTCATATTCTGCTAGACACAAGAACTCTCAGTAACTTCCTTGTGTTGTGTGTATTCAACTCACAGAGTTGAACGATCCTTTACACAGAGCAGACTTGAAACATTCTTTTCGTGGAATTTGCAACTGGAGATTTCAGCCGCTTTGAGGTCAATGGTAGAATAGGAAATATCTTCCTATAGAAACTAGACAGAACGATTCTCAGAAACTCCTTTGTGATGTGTGCGTTCAACTCACAGAGTTTAAACTTTCTTTTCATAGAGCAGTTAGGAAACACTCTGTTTGTAAAGTCTGCAAGTGGATATTCAGACCTCTTTGAGGCCTTCGTTGGAAACGGGATTTCTTCATATTCTGCTAGACAGAAGAATTCTCAGTAACTTCCTTGTGTTGTGTGTATTCAACTGACAGAGTTGAACTTTCATTTAGAGAGAGCAGATTTGAAACACTGTTTTTGTGGAATTTGCAAGTGGAGATTTCAAGCGCTTTGGGACCAAAGGCAGAAAAGGAAATATCTTCGTATAAAAACTAGACAGAATCATTCTCAGAAACTGCTCTGCGATGTGTGCGTTCAACTCTCAGAGTTTAACTTTTCTTTTCATTCAGCAGTTTGGAAACACTCTGGTTGTAAAGTCTGCACTTGGATAACTTGACCACTTAGAGGACTTCGTTGGAAACGGGTTTTTTTCCTGTAAGGCTAGACAGAAGAATTCCCAGTAACTTCCTTGTGTTGTGTGCATTCAACTCACAGACTTGAACGTTCCCTTAGACAGAGCAGATTTGAAACACTCTATTTGTGCAATTTGCAAGTGTAGATTTCAAGCGCTTTATGGTCAACGGCAGAAAAG
Organism: Homo sapiens; assembly: GCF_000001405.40. Lineage (NCBI taxonomy): Eukaryota > Metazoa > Chordata > Mammalia > Primates > Hominidae > Homo > Homo sapiens. The sequence continues at coordinate 48,768,043 of NC_000005.10, forward strand.
GAAATATCTTCGTTTCAAAACTAGACAGAATGATTCTCAGAAACTCCTTTGTGATGTGTGCGTTCAACTCACAGAGTTTAACCTTTCTTTTCATAGAGCAGTTAGGAAACACTCTGTTTGTAAAGTGTGCAAGTGGATATTCAGACCTCCTTGAGGCCTTCGTTGGAAACGGGATTTCTTCATATTATGCTAGACAGAAGAATTCTCAGTAAGTTCCTTGTGTTGTGTGTATTCAACTCACAGAGTTGAACGATCCTTTACACAGAGCAGACTTGAAACACTCTTTTTGTGGAATTTGCAAGTGGAGATTTCAGCCGCTTTGAGGTCAATGGTAGAATAGGAAATATCTTCCTATAGAAACTAGACAGAATGATTCTCAGAAACTCCTTTGTGATGTGTGCGTTCAACTCACAGAGTTTAACCTTTCTTTACATAGAGCAGTTAGGAAACACTCAGTTTGTAAAGTCTGCAAGAGGATATTCAGACATCTTTGAGGCTTTCGTTGGAAACGGGATTTCTTCATATTCTGCTAGAGAGAAAGAATTCCCAGTAACTTCCTTGTGTTGTGTGTGTTCAACTCACAGAGTTGAACTTTCATTTACACAGAGCAGATTGGAAACACTCTTTTTGTGGAATTTGCAAGTGGAGATTGCAAGCGCTTTGAGGCCAAAGGCAGAAAAGGAAATATCTTCGTATAAAAACTAGACAGAATCATTCTCAGAAACTGCTCTGCGATGTGTGCGTTCAACTCTCAGAGTTTAACTTTGCTTTTCATTCAGCAGTTTGGAAACACTCTGTTTGTAAAGTCTGCACGTGGATATTTTGACCACTTAGAGGCCTTCGTTGGAAACGGTTTTCTTTCCTGTAAGGCTAGACAGAAGAATTCCCAGTAACTTCCTTGTGTTGTGTACATTCAACTCACAGAGTTGAACGTTCCCTTAGACAGAGCAGATTTGAAACACTCTTTTTGTGCAATTGGCAAGTGGAGATTTCAAGCGCTTTAAGGTCAATGGCAGAAAAGGAAATATCTTCGTTTCAAAACTAGACAGAATCATTCCCACAAACTGCGTTGTGATGTGTTCGTTCAACTCACAGAGTTTAACCTTTCTGTTCATAGAGCAGTTAGGAAACACTCTGTTTGTAAAGTCTGTAAGTGGATATTCTGACATCTTGTGGCCTTTGTTGGAAACGGGATTTCTTCATATTCTGCTAGACAGAAGAATTCTCAGTAACTTCCTTGTGTTGTGTGTATTCAACTCATAGAGTTGAACGATCCCTTACACAGAGCAGACTTGTAACACTCTTTTTGTGGAATTTGCAAGTGGAGATTTCACCCGCTTTGACGTCAAAGGTAGAAAAGGAAATATCTTCCTATAAAAACTAGACAGAATGATTCTCAGAAACTCCTTTGTGATGTGTGCGTTCAACTCACAGAGTTTAACTTTTCTTTTCATAGAGCAGTTAGGAAACACTCTGTTTATAAAGTCTGCAAGTGGATATTCAGACCTCTTTGAGGCCTTCGTTGGAAACGGGATTTCTTCATATTATGCTAGACAGAAGAATTCCCAGTAACTTCCTTGTGTTGTGTGTGTTCAACTCACAGAGTTTAACTTTCATTTACCCAGAGCAGATTTGAAACACTCTTTTTGTGGAATTTGCAAGTGGAGATTTCAAGCGCTTTGAGGCCAAAGGCAGAAAAGGAAATATCTTCGTTTCAAAACTAGACAGAATCATTCTCAGAAACTGCTGCGTGATGTGTGCGTTCAACTCTCAGAGTTTAACTTTTCTTTTCATTCAGCGGTTTGGAAACACTCTGTTTGTAAAGTCTGCACGTGGAAATTTTGACCACTTAGAGGCCTTCGTTGGAAACGGGTTTTTTTCATGTAAGGCCAGACAGAAGAATTCCCAGTAACTTCCTTGTGTTGTGTACATTCAACTCACAGAGTTGAACGTTCCCTTAGACAGAGCAGATTTGAAACACTCTTTTTGTGCAATTGGCAAGTGGAGATTTCAAGCGCTTTAAGGTCAAAGCAGAAAAGGAAATATCTTCGTTTCAAAACTAGACAGAATCATTCCCACAAACTGCGTTGTGATGTGTTCGTTCAACTCACAGAGTTTAACCTTTCTTTTCATAGAGCAGTTAGGAAACAGTCTGTTTGTCAATTCTGTAAGTGGATATTCTGACATCTTGTGGCCTTCGTTGGAAAAGGGATTTCTTCATATTCTGCTAGACAGAAGAATTCTCAGTAACTTCCTTGTGTTGTGGGTATTCAACTCACAGAGTTGAACGATCCTTTACACAGAGCAGACTTGGAACACTCTTTTTGTGGAATTTGCAAGTGGAGATTTCAGCCGCGTTGAGGTCAATGGTAGAAAAGGAAATATCTTCGTATAAAAACTAGACAGAATGATTGTCAGAAACTCCTTGGTGCTGTGTGCGTTCAACTCACAGAGTTTAAAGTTTCTTTTCATAGAGCAGTTAGGAAACACTCTGTTTGTAATGTCTGCAGGTGGATATTCAGACATCATTGAGGCTTTTTTTGGAAACGGGATTTCTTCATATTCTGCTATATAGAAGAATTCTCAGTAACTTCCTTGTGTTGTGTGTATTCAACTCACAGAGTTGAACGATCCTTTACACAGAGCAGACTTGAAACACTCTTTTTGTGGAATTTGCAAGTGGAGATTTCAGCCGCTTTGAGGTCTATAGTAGAAAAGGAAATATCTTCGTAGAAAAACTAGACAGAATGATTCTCAGAAACTCCTTTGTGATGTGTGCGTTCAACTCACAGAGTTTAACCTTTCTTTTCATAGAGCAGTTAGGAAACACTCTGTTTGTAAAGTCTGCAGGTAGATATTCAGACATCTTTGAGGCTTTCGTTGGAAACGGGATTTCTTCATATTCTGCTAGACAGAAGAATTCCCAGTAAATTCCTTGTGTTGTGTGTGTTCAACTCACAGAGTTGAACTTTCATTTACACAGAGCAGATTTGAAACACTCTTTTTGTGGAATTTGCAAGTGGAGATTTCAAGCGCTTTGAGGCCAAAGGCAGAAAAGGAAATATCTTCGTTTCAAAACTAGACAGAATCATTCTCAGAAACTGCTGCGTGATGTGTGCGTTCAACTCTCAGAGTTTAACTTTTCTTTTCATTCAGCGGTTTGGAAACACTCTGTTTGTAAAGTCTGCACGTGGAAATTTTGACCACTTAGAGGCCTTCGTTGGAAACGGGTTTTTTTCATGTAAGGCTTGACAGAAGAATTCCCAGTAACTTCCTTGTGTTGTGTGCATTCAACTCACAGAGTTGAACGTTCCCTTAGACAGAGCAGATTTGAAACACTCTATTTGTGCAATTTGCAAGTGTAGATTTCAAGCGCTTTAAGGTCAACGGCAGAAAAGGAAATATCTTCGTTTCAAAACTAGACAGAATGATTCTCAGAAACTTCATTGTGATGTGTGCGTTCAACTCACAGAGTTTAACCTTTCTTTTCATAGAGCAGTTGGGAAACAGTCTGTTTGTAAATTCTGTAAGTGGATATTCTGACATCTTGTGGCCTTCGTTGGAAACGGGATTTCTTCATATTCTGCTAGACAGAAGAATTCTCAGTAACTTCCTTGTGTTGTGTGTATTCAACTCACAGAGTTGAAAGATCCTTTACACAGAGCAGACTTGAAACACTCTTTTTGTGGAATTTGCAAGTGGAGATTTCAGCCGCTTTGAGGTCAATGGTAGAAAAGGAAATATCTTCGTATAAAAACTAGACAGAATGATTCTCAGAAACTCCTTTGTGATGTGTGCGTTCAACTCACAGAGTTCAACCTTTCTTTTCATAGAGCAGTTGGGAAACACTCTGTTTGTAAAGTCTGCAAGTGGATATTCAGACCTCTTTGAGGCCTTCGTTGGAAGCGGGATTTCTTCATATTCTGCTAGACAGAAGAATTCCCAATAACTTCCTTGTGTTGTGTGTGTTCAACTCACAGAGTTGAACTTTCATTTACACAGAGCAGATTGGAAACACTCTTTTTGTGGAATTTGCAAGTGGAGATTTCAAGTGCTTTGAGGCCAAAGGCAGAAAAGGAAATATCTTCTTATAAAAACTAGACAGAATCATTCTCAGAAACTGCTGCATGATGTGTGCGATCAACTCTCAGAGTTTAACTTTTCTTTTCATTCAGCGGTTTGGAAACACTCTGTTTGTAAAGTCTGCACGTGGAAATTTTGACAACTTAGAGACCTTCGTTGGAAACGGGATTTTTTCATGTAAGGCTAGACAGAAGAATTCTCAGTAACTTCCTTGTGTTGTGTTTATTCAACTCACAGAGTTGAATGATCCTTTACACAGAGCAGACTTGAAACACTCTTTTTGTGGAATTTGCAAGTGGAGATTTCAGCCGCTTTGAGGTCAATGGTAGAATAGGAAATATCTTACTATAGAAACTAGACAGAATGATTCTCAGAAACTCCTTTGTGATGTGTGCATTCAACTCACAGAGTTTAACCTTTCTTTTCATAGAGCAGTTAGGAAACACTCTGTTTGTAAAGTCTGCAAGTGGATATTCAGACCTCTTTGAGGCCTTCGTTGGAAACGGGTTTTCTTCATATTCTGCTAGACAGAAGAATTCTCAGTAACTTCCTTGTGTTGTGTGTATTCAACTCACAGAGTTGAACGATCCTTTACACAGAGCAGAGTTGTAACACTCTTTTTGTGGAATTTGCAAGTGGAGAATTCAGCCGCTTTGAAGTCAAAGGTAGAAAAGGAAATATCTTCCTATAAAAACTAGACAGAATGATTCTCAGAAACTCCTTTGTGATGTGTGCGTTCAACTCACAGAGTTTAACCTTTCTTTTCATAGAGCAGTTAGGAAACACTCTGTTGGTAAAGTCTGCAAGTGGATATTCAGACCTCCTTGAGGCCTTCGTTGGAAACGGGATTTCTTCATATTATGCTAGACAGAACTATTCTCAGTAACTTCCTTGTGTTGTGTGTATTCAACTGACAGAGTTGAAATTTCATTTAGAGAGAGCAGATTTGAAACACTGTTTTTGTGGAATTTGCAAGTGGAGATTTCAAGCGCTTTGGGGCCAAAGGCAGAAAAGGAAATATCTTCGTATAAAAACTAGACAGAATAATTCTCAGAAACTGCTGCGTGATGCGTGCGTTCAACTCTCAGAGTTTAACTTTTCTTTTCATTCAGCGGTTTGGAAACACTCTGTTTGTAAAGTCTGCAAGTGGATATTCAGACCTCTTTGAGGCCTTCGTTGGAAACGGGATTTCTTCCTATTATGCTAGACAGAAGAATTCCCAATAACTTCCTTGTGTTGTGTACATTCAACTCACAGAGTTGAACGTTCCCTTAGACAGAGCAGATTTGAAACACTCTTTTTGTGCAATTGGCAAGCGGAGATTTCAAGCGCTTTAAGGTCAATGGCAGAAAAGGAAATATCTTCGTTTCAAAACTAGACAGAATCATTCCCACAAACTGCGTTGTGATGTGTTCGTTCAACTCACAGAGTTTAACCTTTCTTTTCATAGAGCAGTTAGGAAACAGTCTGTTTGTCAATTCTGTAAGTGGATATTCTGACATCTTGTGGCCTTCGATGGAAACGGGATTTCTTCATATTCTGCTAGACAGAAGAATTCTCAGTAACTTCCTTGTGTTGTGTGTATTCAACTCACAGAGTGGAACGATCCTTTACACAGAGCAGACTTGAGACACTCTTTTTGTGGAATTTGCAAGTGGAGATTTCAGCCGCTTTGAGGTCAATAGTGGAAAAGGAAATATCTTCATAGAAAAACTAGACAGAATGATTCTCAGAAACTCCTTTGTGATGTGTGCGTTCAACACACAGAGTTAAACTTTTCTTTTCATAGAGCAGTTAGGAAACACTCTGTTTGTAAAGTCTGCAAGTGGATATTCAGACCTCTTTGAGGCCTTCGTTGGAAACAAGATTTCTTCATATTATGCTAGACAGAAGAATTCTCAGTAACTTCCTTGTGTTGTGTGTATTCAACTGACAGAGTTGAACTTTCATTTAGAGAGAGCAGATTTGAAACACTGTTTTTGTGGAATTTGCAAGTGGAGATTTCAAGCGCTTTCGGGCCAAAGGCAGAAAAGGAAATATCTTCGTATAAAAACTAGACAGAATCATTCTCAGAAACTGCTGCGTGATGTGTGCGTTCAACTCTCAGTGTTTAACTTTTCTTTTCATTCAGCGGTTTGGAAACACTCTGTTTGTAAAGTCTGCACGTGGATATTTTGACCACTTAGAGGCCTTCGTTGGAAACGGGTTTATTTCATGTAAGGCTAGACAGAAGAATTCCCAGTAACTTCTTTGTGTTGTGTGCATTCAACTCACACAGTTGAACGTTCCCTTAGACAGAGCAGATTTGAAACACTCTATTTGTGCAATTTGCAAGTGTAGATTTCAAGCGCTTTAAGGTCAATGGCAGAAAAGGAAATATCTTCGTTTCAAAACTAGACAGAATCATTCCCACAAACTGCGTTGTGATGTGTTTGTTCAACTCACAGAGTTTAACCTTTCTTTTCATAGAGCAGTTAGGAAACAGTCTGTTTGTTAATTCTGTAAGTGGATATTCTGACATCTTGTGGCCTTCGTTGGAAACGGGATTTCTTCATATTCTGCTAGACAGAAGAATTCTCAGAAACTTCCTTGTGTTGTGTGTTTTCAACTCACAGAGTTGAACGATCCTTTACACAGAGTAGACTTGAAACACTCTTTTTGTGTAATTTGCAAGTGGAGATTTCAGCCGCTTTGAGGTCAATGGTAGAAAAGGAAATATCTTCGTATAAAAACTAGACAGAGTGATTCTCAGAAACTCCTTTGTGATGTCTGCGTTCAACTCACAGAGTTGAACCTTTCTTTTCATAGAGCAGTTAGGAAACACTCTGTTTGTAAAGTCTGCAAGTGGATATTCAGACATCTTTGAGGCCTTCGTTGGAAACGGGATTTCTTCATATAATGCTAGAGAGAAGAATTCTCAGTAACTTACCTTGTGTTGTGTGTATTCAACTGACAGAGTTGAACTTTCATTTAGAGAGAGCAGATTTGAAACACTGTTTTTGTGGAATTTGCAAGTGGAGATTTCAAGCACTTTGGGGCCAAAGGCAGAAAAGGAAATATCTTCGTATAAAAACTAGACAGAATCATTCTCAGAAACTGCTCTGCGATGTGTGCGTTCAACTCTCAGAGTTTAACTTTTCTTTTCATTCAGCAGTTTGGAAACACTCTGTTTGTAAAGTCTGCACGTGCATAATTTGACCACTTAGAGGCCTTCGTTGGAAACGGGTTTTTTTCATGTAAGGCTAGACAGAAGAATTCTCAGTAACTTCCTTGTGTTGTGTGTATTCAACTCACAGAGTTGAACGATCCTTTACACAGAGCAGACTTGAAACGCTCGTTTTGTGGAATTTGCAAGTGGAGATTTCAGCCGCTTTGAGGTCAATGGTAGAAAAGGAAATATCTTCGTATAAAAACTAGACAGAATGATTCTCAGAAACTCCTTTGTGATGTGTGCGTTCAACTCACAGAGTTTACCCTTTCTTTTCATAGAGCAGTTAGGAAACACTCTGTTTGTAAAGTCTGCAAGTGGATATTCAGACATCCTTGAGGCTTTCGTTGGAAACGGGATTTCTTCATATTCTGCTAGACAGAAGAATTCTCAGTAACTTCCTTGTGTTGTGTGTATTCAACTCACAGAGTTGAACGATCCTTTACACAGAGCGGAGTTGAAACACTCTTTTTGTGGAATTTGCAAGTGGAGATTTCAGCCGCTTTGAGGTCAATGGTAGAAAAGGAAATATCTTCTTATACAGACTATACAGAATGATTCTCAGAAACTCCTTTGTGATGTGTGCGTTCAACTCACAGAGTTTAACCTTTCTGTTCATAGAGCAGTTAGGAAACACTCTGTTTGTAAAGTCTGCAAGTGGATATTCAGACCTCCTTGAGGCCTTCGTTGGAAACGGGATTTCTTCCTATTCTGCTAGACAGAAGAATTCTCAGTAACTTCCTTGTGTTGTGTGTATTCAACTCACAGAGTTGAACGATCCTTTACACAGAGCAGACTTGAAACACTCTTTTTGTGGAATTTGCAAGTGGAGATTTCAGCCGCGTTGAGGTCAATAGTAGAAAAGGAAATATCTTCGTAGAAAAACTAGACAGAATGATTCTCAGAAACTGCTCTGCGATGTGTGCGTTCAACTCTCAGAGTTTAACTTTTCTTTTCATTCAGCAGTTTGGAAACACTCTGTTTGTAAAGTCTGCACGTGGATATTTTGACCACTTAGAGGCCTTCGTTGGAAACGGGTTTTTTTTCCTGTAAGGCTAGACAGAAGAATTCCCAGTAACTTGCTTGTGTTGTGTACATTCAACTCACAGAGTTGAACGTTCCCTTAGACAGAGCAGATTTGAAACACTCTTTTTGTGCAATTGGCAAGTGGAGATTTCAAGCGCTTTAAGGTCAATGGCAGAAAAGGAAATATGTTCGTTTCAAAACTAGACAGAATCATTCCCACAAACTGCGTTGTGATGTGTTCGTTCACCTCACAGAGTTTAACCTTTCTGTTCATAGAGCAGTTAGGAAACACTCTGTTTGTAAAGTCTGCAAGTGGATATTCAGACCTCTTTGAGGCCTTCGTTGGAAACGGGATTTCTTCATATTCTGCTAGACAGAAGAATTCTCAGTAACTTCCTTGTGTTGTGTGTATTCAACTCACAGAGTTGAACGATCCTTTACACAGAGCAGACTTGAAACACTCTTTTTGTGGAATTTGCAATTGGAGATTTCAGCCGCTTTGAGGTCAATAGTAGAAAAGGAAATATCGTCGTAGAAAAACTAGACAGAATGATTCTCAGAAACTCCTTTGTGATGTGTGTGTTCAACTCACAGAGTTTAACCTTTCTTTTCATAGAGCAGTTAGGAATCACTCTGTTTGTAAAGTCTGCAAGTGGATATTCAGACCTGTTTGAGGCCTTCGTTGGAAACGGGTTTTTTTCATATAAGGCTAGACAGAAGAATTCTCAGTAACTTCCTTGTGTTGTGTGTATTCAACTGACAGAATTGAACTTTCATTTAGAGAGAGCAGATTTGAAACACTGTTTTTGTGGAATTTGCAAGTGGAGATTTCAAGCGCTTTGGGGCCAAAGGCAGAAAAGGAAATATCTTCGTATAAAAAGTAGACAGAATGATTCTCAGAAACTCCTTTGTGATGTGTACGTTCAACACACAGAGTATAACTTTTCTTTTCATAGAGCAGTTAGGAAACACTCTGTTTGTAAAGTCTGCAAGTGGATATTCAGACCTCCTTTGAGGCCTTCGTTGGAAACGGGATTTCTTCATATTATGCTAGACAGAAGAATTCCCAGTAACTTCCTTGTGTTGTGTACATTCAACTCACAGAGTTGAACGTTCCCTTAGACAGAGCAGATTTGAAACACTCTTTTTGTGCAATTGGCAAGTGGAGATTTCAAGCGCTTTAAGGTCAATGGCAGAAAAGGAAATATCTTCGTTTCAAAACTAGACAGAATGATTCTCAGAAACTCCTTTGTGATGTGTGCCGTTCAACTCAGAGAGTTTAACCTTTCTTTTCATAGAGCAGTTAGGAAACACGCTGTTTATAAAGTCTGCAAGTGGATATTCAGACCCCTTTGAGGCCTTCGTTGGAAACGGGATTTCTTCATATTATGCTAGACAGAAGAATTCTCAGTAACTTCCTTGTGTTGTGTGTATTCAACTCACAGAGTTGAACGATCCTTTACACAGGAGCAGACTTGAAACACTCTTTTTGTGGAATTTGCAAGTGGAGATTTCAGCCGCTTTGAGGTCAATGGTAGAATAGGAAATATCTTCCTATAGAAAATAGACAGAATGATTCTCAGAAACTCCTTTGTGATGTGTGCGTTCAACTCACAGAGTTTAACCTTTCTTTTCATAGAGCAGTTAGGAAACACTCTGTTTGTAAAGTCTGCAAGTGGATGTTCAGACCTCTTTGAGGCCTTCGTTGGAAACGGGTTTTTTTCATATAAGGCTAGACAGAAGAATTCCCACTAACATCCTTGTGTTGTGTGTGTTCAACTCACAGAGTTGAACTTTCATTTACACAGAGCAGATTTGAAAGACTCTTTTTGTGGAATTTGCAAATGGAGATTTCAAGCGCTTTGAGGCCAAAGACAGAAAAGGAAATATCTTCGTTTCAAAACTAGACAGAATCATTCTCAGAAACTGCTGCGTGATGTGTGCGTTCAACTCTCAGAGTTTAACTTTTCTTTTCATTCAGCGGTTTGGAAACACTCTGTTTGTAAAAACTGCACGTGGATATTTTGACCACTTAGAGGCCTTCGTTGGAAACGGGTTTTTTTTCATGTAAGGCTAGACAGAAGAATTCCCAGTAACTTCCTTGTGTTGTGTGCATTCAACTCACAGAGTTGAACGTTCCCTTAGACAGAGCAGATTTGAAACACTCTATTTGCGCAATTTGCAAGTGTAGATTTCAAGCGCTTTCAGGTCAATGGCAGAAAAGGAAATATCTTCGTTTCAAAACTAGACAGAATGATTCTCAGAAACTCCTTTGTGATGTGTGTGTTCAACTCACAGAGTTTAACCTTTCTTTTCATAGAGCAGTTAGGAAACACTCTGTTTGTAAAGTCTGCAAGTGGATATTCAGACCTCGTTGAGGCCTTCGTTGGAAACTGGATTTCTTCATATTCTGCTAGACAGAAGAATTCTCACAATCTTCCTTGTGTTGTGTGTATTCAACTCACAGAGTTGAACGATGGTTTACACAGAGCAGATTTGAAACACTCTTTTTGTGGAATTTGCAAGTGGAGATTTCAGCCGCTTTGAGGTCAATGGTAGAAAAGGAAATATCTTCATATAAAAACTAGACAGAATGATTCTCATAAACTCCTTTGTGATGTGTGCGTTCAACTCACAGAGTTTAACTTTTCTTTTCATAGAGCAGTTAGGAAACACTCTGTTTGTAAAGTCTGCAAGTGGATATTCAGACCTCTTTGAGGCCTTCGTTGGAAACGGGATTTCTTCATATTATGCTACACAGAAGAATTTTCAGTAACTTCCTTGTGTTGTGTGTATTCAACTCACAGAGTTGAACTTTCATTTAGAGAGAGCAGATTTGAAACACTGTTTTTGTGGAATTTGCAAGTGGAGATTTCAAGCGCTTTGGGGCCAAAGGCAGAAAAGGAAATATCTTCGTATAAAAACTAGACAGAATCATTCTCAGAAACTGCTGCGTGATGTGTGCGTTCAACTCTCAGAGTTTAACTTTTCTTTTCATTCAGCGGTTTGGAAACACTCTGTAAAGTCTGCACGTGGATATTTTGACCACTTAGAGGCCTTCGTTGGAAACGGTTTTTTTTTATGTAAGGCTAGACAGAAGAATTCCCAGTAACTTCCTTGTGTTGTGTGCATTCAACTCACAGAGTTGAACGTTCCCTTAGACAGAGCAGATTTGAAACACTCTATTTGTGCAATTTGCAAGTGTAGTTTTCAAGCTCTTTAAGGTCAACGGCAGAAAAGGAAATATCTTCGTTTCAAAACTAGACAGAATCATTCCCACAAACTGCGTTGTGATGTGTTCGTTCAACTCACAGAGTTTAACCTTTCTGTTCATAGAGCAGTTAGGAAACACTCTGTTTGTAAAGTCTGTAAGTGGATATTCTGACATCTTGTGGCCTTCGTGGGAATCGGGATTTCTTCATATTCTGTTAGACAGAAGAATTCTCAGAATCTTCCTTGTGTTGTGTGTATTCAACTCACAGAGTTGAACGATGGTTTACACGAGCAGATTTGAAACACTCTTTTTGTGGAATTTGCAAGTGGAGATTTCAGCCGCTTTGAGGTCAATGGTAGAAAAGGAAATATCTTCGTATAAAAACTAGACAGAATGATTCTCAGAAACTTCATTGTGATGTGTGCGTTCAACTCACAGAGTTTAACCTTTCTTTTCATAGAGCGGTTAGGAAACACTCTGTTTGTAAACTCTGCAAGTGGATATTCAGACCTCTTTGAGGCCTTCGTTGGAAACGGGATTTCTTCATACTGTGCTAGACAGAAGAATTCTCAGTAACTTCCTTGTGTTGTGTGTATTCAACTGACAGAGTTGAACTTTCATTTAGAGAGAGCAGATTTGAAACACTGTTTTTGTGGAATTTGCAAATGGAGATTTCAAGCGCTTTGGGGCCAAAGGCAGAAAAGAAATATCTTCGTATAAAAACTAGACAGAATCATTCTCAGAAACTGCTCTACGATGTGTGCGTTCAACTCTCAGAGTTTAACTTTTCTTTTCATTCAGCAGTTTGGAAACACTCTGTTTGTAAAGTCTGCACGTGGATAATTTGACCACTTAGAGGCCTTCGTTGGAAACGGGTTTTTTTCATGTAAGGCTAGACAGAAGAATTCTCAGTAACTTCCTTGTGTTGTGTGTATTCAACTCACACAGTTGAACGATCCTTTACACAGAGCAGACTTGTAACACTCTTTTTGTGGAATTTGCAAGTGGAGATTTCAGCCGCTTTGAAGTCAAAGGTAGAAAAGGAAATATCTTCCTATTAAAACTAGACAGAATGATTCTCAGAAACTCCTTTGTGATGTGTGCGTTCAACTCACAGAGTTTAACCTTTCTTTTCATAGAGCAGTTAGGAAACACTCTGTTTGTAAAGTCTGCAAGTGGATATTCAGACATCCTTGAGGCCTTCGCTGGAAAAGGGATTTCTTCATATTATGCTGGACAGAAGAATTCTCAGTAACTTCCTTGTGTTGTGTTTATTCAACTCACAGAGTTGAATGATCCTTTACAAAGAGCAGACTTGAAACACTCTTTTTGTGGAATTTGCAAGTGGAGATTTCAGCCGCTTTGAGGTCAACGGTAGAAAAGTAAATATCTTCGTATAAAGACTAGACAGAATGATTCTCAGAAACTTCATTGTGATGTGTGCAGTTCAACTCACAGAGTTTAACCTTTCTTTTCATAGAGCAGTTAGGAAACACTCTGTTTGTGAACTCTGCAAGTGGATATTCAGACGTCTTTGAGGCCTTCGTTGGAAATGGGATTTCTTCATACTGTGCTAGACAGAAGAATTCTCAGTAACTTCCTTGTGTTGTGTGTATTCAACTGACAGAGTTGAACTTTCATTTGGAGAGAGCAGATTTGAAACACTGTTTTTGTGGAATTTGCAAGTGGAGATTTCAAGCGCTTTGCGGCCAAAGGCTGAAAAGGAAATATCCTCGTATAAAAACAAGACAGAATCATTCTCAGAAACTGCTCTGCGATGTGTGCGTTCAACTCTCAGAGTTTAACTTTTCTTTTCATTCAGCAGTTTGGAAACACTCTGTTTGTAAAGTCTGCACGTGGATATTTTGACCACTTAGAGGCCTTCGTTGGAGACGGGTTTTTTTCCTGTAAGGCTAGACAGAAGAATTCCCAGTAACTTCCTTGTGTTGTGTACATTCAACTCACAGAGTTGAACGTTCCCTTAGACAGAGCAGATTTGAAACACACTTTTTGTGCAATTGGCAAGTGGAGATTTCAAGCGCTTTAAGGTCAATGGCAGAAAAGCAAATATCTTCGTTTCAAAACTAGACAGAATCATTCCCACAAACTGCGTTGTGATGTGTTCGTTCAACTCACAGAGTTTAACCTTTCTGTTCATAGAGCAGTTAGGAAACACTCTGTTTGTAAAGTCTGCAAGTGGATATTCTGACATCTTGTGGCCTTCGTTGGAAACGGGATTTCTTCATATTCTGCTAGACAGAAGAATTCTCAGTAACTTCCTTGTGTTGTGTGTATTCAACTCACAGAGTTGAACGATCCTTTACACAGAGCAGACTTGTAACACTCTTTTTGTAGAATTTGGAAGTGGAGATTTCAGCCGCTTTGAAGTCAAAGGTAGAAAAGGAAATATCTTCCTATAAAAACTAGACAGAATGATTCTCAGAAATTCCTTTCTGATGTGTGCGTTCAACTCACAGAGTTCAACCTTTCTTTTCATAGAGCAGTTGGGAAACACTCTGTTTGTAAAGTCTGCAAGTGGATATTCAGACTTCTTTGAGGCCTTCGTTGGAAGCGGGATTTCTTCATGTTCTGCTTGACAGAAGAATTCCCAGTAACTTCCTTGTGTTGTGTGTGTTCAACTCACAGAGTTGAACTTTCATTTACACAGAGCAGATTTGAAACACTCTTTTTGTGGAATTTGCAGGTGGAGATTTCAAGCGCTTTGAGGCCAAAGGCAGAAAAGGAAATATCTTCCTATAAAAACTAGACAGAATGATTCTCAGAAACTCCTTTGTGATGTGGGCGTTCAACTCACAGAGTTTAACCTTTCTTTTCATAGAGCAGTTAGGAAACACTCTGTTTGTAACGTCTGCACGTGGATATTTGGACTTCTTTGAGGTCTTCGTTGGAAACGGGTTTTTTTCATGTAAGGCTAGACAGAAGAATTCCCAGTAACTTCCTTGTGTTGTGTGCATTCAACTCACAGAATTGAACGTTCCCTTAGACAGAGCAGATTTTAAACACTCTATTTGTGCAATTTGCAAGTGTAGATTTCAAGCGCTTTAAGGTCAACGGCAGAAAAGAAAATATCTTCGTTTCAAAACTAGACAGAATCATTCCCACAAACTGCGTTGTGATGTGCTCGTTCAACTCACAGAGTTTAACCTTTCTTTTCATAGAGCAGTTAGGAAACACTCTGTTTGTAAAGTCTGTAAGTGGATATTCTGACATCTTGTGGCCTTCGTTGGAAACGGGATTTCTTCATATTATGCTAGACAGAAGAATTCTCAGAATCTTCCTTGTGTTGTGTGTATTCAACTCACACAGTTGAACGATTGTTTACACAGAGCAGATTTGAAACACTCTTTCTGTGGAATTTGCAAGTGGAGATTTCAGCCGCTTTGAGGTCCATGGTAGAAAAGGAAATATCTTCGTATAACAACTAGACAGAATGATTCTGAGAAACTCCTTTGTCATGTGTGCGTTCAACTCACATAGTTTAACCTTTCTTTTCATAGAGCAGTTAGGAAACACTCTGTTTGTAAAGTCTGCAAGTGGATATTCAGACCTCCTTGAGGCATTCGTTGGAAACGGGATTTCTTCATATTATGCTAGACAGAAGAATTCCCAGTAACTTCCTTGTGTTGTGTGTGTTCAACTCACAGAGTTGAACTTTCATGTACACAGAGCAGATTTGAAACACTCTTTTCGTGGAATTTGCAAATGGAGATTTCAAGCGCTTTGAGGCCAAAGGCAGAAAAGGAAATATCTTCGTATAAAAACTAGACAGAATCATTCTCAGAAACTGCTGCGTGATGTGTGCGTTCAACTCTCAGAGTTTAACTTTTCTTTTCATTCAGCGGTTTGGAAACACTCTGTTTGTAAAGTCTGCACGTGGATATTTTGACCACTTAGAGGCCTTCATTGGAAACGGGTTTTTTTCATGTAAGGCTAGACAGAAGAATTCCCAGTAACTTCCTTGTGTTGTGTGCATTCAACTCACAGAGTTGAACGTTCCCTTAGACAGAGCAGATTTGAAACACTCTATTTGTGCAATTTGCAAGTGTAGATTTCAAGCGCTTTAAGGTCAATGGCAGAAAAGGAAATATCTTCGTTTCAAAACTACACAGAACGATTGTCAGAAACTCCTTTATGATGTGTGCGTTCAACTCACAGAGTTTAACCTTTCTTTTCATAGAGCAGTTAGGAAACACTCTGTTTGTAAATTCTGCAAGTGGATAATGAGACCTCTTTGAGGCCTTCGTTGGAAACGGGATTTCTTCATATTCTGCTAGACAGAAGAATTCTCAGTAACTTCCTCGTGTTGTGTGTATTCAACTCACAGAGTTGAACGATCCTTTACACAGAGCAGACTTGAAACACTCTTTTTGTGGAATTTGCATATGGAGATTTCAGCCGCTTTGAGGTCAATGGTTGAAAAGGAAATATCTTCATATAAAAATTAGACAGAATGATTCTCAGAAACTCCTTTGTGATGTGTGCGTTCAACTCACAGAGTTTAACCTTTCTTTTCATAGAGCAGTTAGGAAACACTCTGTTTGTAAAGGCTGCACGTGGATATTTGGACTTCTTTGAGGCCTTCATTGGAAACGGGTTTTTTTCATGTAAGGCTAGACAGAAGAATTCTCAGTAACTTCCTTGTGTTGTGTGTATTCAACTGACAGAGTTGAACTTTCATTTATAGAGAGCAGATTTGAAACACTGTTTTTGTGGAATTTGCAAGTGGAGATTTCAAGCGCTGTGGGGCCAAAGGCAGAAAAGGAAATATCTTCGTATAAAAACAAGACAGAATCATTCTCAGAAACTGCTCTGTGATGTGTGCGTTCAACTCTCAGAGTTTAACTTTTCTTTTCATTCAGCAGTTTGGAAACACTCTGTTTGTAAAGTCTGCACGTGGATATTTTGAACACTTCGAGGCCTTCGTTGGAAACGGGTTTTTTTCATGTAAGGCTAGACAGAAGAATTCCCAGTAACTTCCTTGTGTTGTGTGCATTCAACTCACAGAGTTGAACGTTCCCTTAGACAGAGCAGATTTGAAACACTCTATTTGTCCAATTTGCAAGTGTAGATTTCAAGCGCTTTAAGGTCAACGGCAGAAAAGGAAATATCTTCGTTTCAAAACTAGACAGAATGATTCTCAGAAACTCCTTTGTGATGTGTGCATTCAACTCACAGAGTTTAACCTTTCTTTTCATAGAGCAGTTAGGAAACACTCTGTTTGTAAAGTCTGCAAGTGGATATTCAGACCTCCTTGAGGCCTACGTTGGAAACGGGATTTCTTCATATTATGCTAGACAGAAGAATTCTCAGTAACTTCCTTGTGTTGTGTGTATTCAACTCACAGAGTTGAACGATCCTTTACACAGAGCAGACTTGAAACACTCTTTTTGTGGAATTTGCAAGTGGAGATTTCAGCCGATTTGAGGTCAATGGTAGAATAGGAAATATCTTCCTTTAGAAACTAGACAGAATGATTCTCAGAATCTTCTTTGTGATGTGTGCGTTCAACTCACAGAGTTTAACCTTTCTTTTCATAGAGCAGGTAGGAAACACTCTGTTTGTAAACTCTGCAAGTGGATATTCAGACCTCATTGAGGCCTTCGTTGGAAACGGGATTTCTTCATACTATGCTAGACAGAAGAATTCCCAGTAACTTCCTTGTGTTGTGTGTGTTCAACTCACAGAGTTGAGCTTTCATTTACACAGAGCAGATTTGAAACACTCTTTTTGTGGAATTTGCAAGTGGAGATTTCAAGCGCTTTGAGGCCAAAGGCAGAAAAGGAAATATCTTCGTATAAAAACTAGACAGAATCATTCTCAGAAACTGCTGCGTGATGTGTGCGTTCAACTCTCAGAGTTTAACTTTTGTTTTCATTCAGCGGTTTGGAAACACTCTGTTTGTAAAGTCTGCACGTGGATATTTTGACCACTTAGAGGCCTTCGTTGGAAACGGGTTTTTTTTCATGTAAGGCTACACAGAAGAATTCCCATTAACTTCCTTGTGTTGTGTGCATTCAACTCACAGAGTTGAACGTTCCCTTAGACAGAGCAGATTTGAAACACTCTATTTGTGCAATTTGCAAGTGTAGATTTCAAGCGCTTTAAGGTCAACGGCAGAAAAGGAAATATCTTCGTTTCAAAACTAGACAGAATGATTATCATAAACTCCTTTGTGATGTGTGCCTTCAACTCACAGAGTTTAACCTTTCTTTTCATAGAGCAGTTAGGAAACACTCTGTTTGTAAAGTCTGCAAGTGGATATTCAGACCTCCTTGAGGCCTTCGTTGGAAACGGGATTTCTTCATATTCTGCTAGACAGAAGAATTCTCAGTAACTTCCTTGTGTTGTGTGTATTCAACTCACAGAGTTGAACGATCCTTTACACAGAGCAGACTTGAAACACTCTTTTTGTGGAATTTGCAAGTGGAGATTTCAGCCGCTTTGAGGTCAATGGTAGAAAAGGAAACTATCTTCGTATAAAGACTAGACAGAACGATTCTCAGAAACTCCTTTGTGATGTGTGCGTTCAACTCACAGAGTTTAACCTTTCTTTTCATAGAGCAGTTAGGAAACACTCTGTTTGTAAAGTCTGCAAGTGGATATTCAGACCTCCTTGAGGCCTTCGTTGGAAACGGGATTTCTTCATATTCTGCTAGACAGAAGAATTCTCAGTAACTTCCTTGTGTTGTGTGTATGCAACTCACAGAGTTGAACGATCCTTTACACAGAGCAGACTTGAAACACTCTTTTTGTGGAATTTGCAAGTGGAGATTTCAGCCGCTTTGAGGTCAATAGTAGAAAAGGAAATATCTTCGTAGAAAAACTACACAGAATCATTCTCAGAAACTGCTGTGTGATGTGTGCGTTCAACTCTCAGAGTTTAACTTTTCTTTTCATTCAGCGGTTTGGAAACACTCTGTTTGTAAAGTCTGCACGTGGATATTTTGACCACTTAGAGGCCTTCGTTGGAAACGGGTTTTTTTCATGTAAGGCTAGACAGAAGAATTCTCAGTAACTTCCTTGTGTTGTGTGTATTCAACTCACAGAGTTGAACGATCCTTTACACAGAGCAGACTTGAAACACTCTTTTTGTGGAATTTGCAAGTGGAGATTTCAGCCGCTTTGAGGTCAATGGTAGAAAAGAAAATATCTTCGTAGAAAAACTAGACAGAATGATTCTCAGAAACTCCTTTGTGATGTGTGTGTTCAACTCACAGAGTTTAACCTTTCTTTTCATACAGCAGTTAGTAAACACTCTGTTTATAAAGTCTGCATGTGGATATTCAGAACCCTTTGAGGCCTTCGTTGGAAACGGGATTTCTTCATATTATGCTAGACAGAAGAATTCTCAGTAACTTCCTTGTGTTGTGTGTATTCAACTCACAGAAGTTGAACGATCCTTTACACAGAGCAGACTTGAAACATTCTTTTTGTGGAATTTGCAAGTGGAGATTTCAGCCGCTTAGAGGTCAATGGTAGAATAGGAAATATCTTCCTATAGAAACTAGACAGAATGATTCTCAGAAACTCCTTTGTGATGTGTGCGTTCAACTCACAGAGTTTAACCTTTCTGTTCATAGAGCAGTTAGGAAACACTCTGTTTGTAAAGTCTGCAAGTGGATATTCAGACCTCCTTGAGGCCTTCTTTGGAAACGGGATTTCTTCATATTCTGCTAGACAGAAGAATTCCCAGTAACTTCCTTGTGTTGTGTGTGTTCAACTCACAGAGTTGAACTTTCATTTACACAGAGCAGATTTGAAACACTCTTTTTGTGGAATTTGAAAGTGGAGATTTCAAGCGCTTTGAGGCCAAAGGCAGAAAAGGAAATATCTTCGTATAAAAACTAGACAGAATGATTCTCAGAAACTGCTCTGCGATGTGTGCGTTCAACTCTCAGAGTTTAACTTTTCTTTTCATTCAGCAGTTTGGAAACACTCTGTTTGTAAAGTCTGCACGTGGATATTTTGACCACTTAGAGGCCTTCGTTGGAAACGGGTTTTTTTCCTTTAAGGCTAGACAGAAGAATTCCCAGTAACTTCCTTGTGTTGTGTACATTCAACTCACAGAGTTGAACGTTCCCTCAGACAGAGCAGATTTGAAACACTCTTTTTGTGCAATTGGCAAGTGGTGATTTCAGCCGCTTTGAGGTCAATGGTAGAAAAGGAAATATCTTCGTATAAAAACTAGACAGAATGATTCTAAGAAAATATTTTGTGATGTGTGCGTTCAACTCACAGAGTTTAACTTTTCTTCTCATAGAGCAGTTAGGAAACACTCTGTTTGTAAAGTGTGCAAGTGGATATTCAGACCTCTTTGAGGCCTTCGTTGGAAAAGGGATTTCTTCATATTATGCTAGACAGAATAATTCTCAGTAACTTGCCTTGTGTTGTGTGTATTCAACTCACAGAGTTGAAAGACCCTTTACAGAGAGCAGGCTTGAAACACTCTTTTTGTCGAATTTGCAAGTGGAGATTTCAGCCGCTTTGAGGTCAATGGTAGAATAGGAAATATCTTCTTATAGAAACTAGACAGAATCATTCTCAGAAACTCCTTTGTGATGTGTGTGTTCAACTCACAGAGTTTAACCTTTCTTTTCATAGAGCAGTTAGTAAACACTCTGTTTATAAAGTCTGCAAGTGGATATTCAGACCCCTTTGAGGCCTTCGTTGGAAACGGGGATTTCTTCATATTATGCTAGACAGAAGAATTCTCAGTAACTTCCTTGTGTTGTGTGTATTCAACTGACAGAGTTGAACTTTCATTTAGAGAGAGCAGATTTGAAACACTGTTTTTGTGGAATTTGCAAGAGGAGATTTCAAGCGCTTTGGGGCCAAAGGCAGAAAAGGAAATATCTTCGTATAAAAACTAGACAGAATCATTCTCAGAAACTGCTGCGTGATGTGTGCGTTCAACTCTCAGAGTTTAACTTTTCTTTTCATTCAGCGGTTTGGAAACACTCTGTTTGTAAAGACTGCACGTGGATATTTTGACCACTTAGAGGCCTTCGTTGGAAAGGGGTTTTTTTTCATGTAAGGCTAGACAGAAGAATTCCCAGTAACTTCCTTGTGTTGTGTGCATTCAACTCACAGAGTTGAACGTTCCCTTAGACAGAGCAGATTTGAAACACTCTATTTGTGCAATTTGCAAGTGTAGATTTCAAGCGCTTTAAGGTCAATGGCAGAAAAGGAAATATCTTCGTTTGAAAACTAGACAGAATGATTCTCAGAAACTCCTTTGTGATGTGTGCGCTCAACTCACAGAGTTTAACCTTTCTTTTCATAGAGCAGTTAGGAAACACTCTGTTTGTAAAGTCTGTAAGTGGATATTCTGACATCTTGTGGCCTTCGTTGGAAACGGGATTTCTTCATATTCTGCTAGACAGAAGAATTCTCAGTAACTTCCTTGTGTTGTGTGTATTGAACTCACAGAGTTGAACGATCCTTTACACAGAGCAGACTTGAAACACTCTTTTTGTGGAATTTGCAAGTGGAGATTTCAGCCGCTTTGAGGTCAACAGTAGAAAAGGAAATATCTTCGTAGAAAAACTAGACAGATTGATTCTCATAAACTCCTTTGTGATGTGTGCGTTCAACTCACAGAGTTTAACCTTTCTTTTCATAGAGCAGTTAGGAAACACTCTGTTTGTAAAGTCTGCAAGTGGATATTCAGACCTCTTTGAGGCCTTCGTTGGAAACGGGATTTCTTCATATTCTGCTAGACAGAAGAATTCCCAGTAACTTCCTTGTGTTGTGTGTGTTCAACTCACAGAGTTGAACTTTCATTTACACAGAGCAGATTTGAAACACTCTTTTTGTGGAATTTGCAAATGGAGATTTCAAGCACTTTGAGGCCAAAGGCAGAAAAGGAAATGTCTTCGTTTCAAAACTAGACAGAATCATTCTCAGAAACTGCTGCGTGATGTGTGCGTTCAACTCTCAGAGTTTAACTTTTCTTTTCATTCAGCGGTTTGGAAACACTCTGTTTGTAAAGTCTGCACGTGGATATTTTGACCACTTAGAGGTCTTCGTTGGAAACGGGTTTTTTTTAATGTAAGGCTAGACAGAAGAATTCCCAGTAACTTCCTTGTGTTGTGTGTATTCAACTCACAGAGTTGAACGTTCCCTTAGACAGAGCAGATTTGAAACACTCTATTTGTGCAATTTGCAAGTGTAGATTTCAAGCGCTTTAAGGTCAATGGCAGAAAAGGAAATATCTTCGTTTGAAAACTAGACAGAATCATTCCCACAAACTGCGTTGTGATGTGTTCGTTCAACTCACAGAGTTTAACCTTTCTTTTCATAGAGCAGTTAGGAAACAGTCTGTTTGTCAATTCTGTAAGTGGATATTCTGACATCTTGTGGCCTTAGTTGGAAACGGGATTTCTTCATATTCTGCTAGACAGAAGTATTCTCTTTAACTTCCTTGTGTTGTGTGTATTCAACTCACAGAGTTGAACGATCCTTTACACAGAGCAGACTTGAAACACTCTTTTTGTGGAATTTGCAAGTGGAGATTTCAGCCGCTTTGAGGTCAATGTTAGAATAGGAAATATCTTCCTATAGAAACTAGACAGAATGATTCTCAGAAACTCCTTTGTGATGTGTGCGTTCAACTCACAGAGTTTAACCTTTCTTTTCATAGAGCAGTTAGGAAACACTCTGTTTGTAAAGTCTGCAAGTGGATATTCAGACCTCTTTGAGGCCTTCGCTGGAAACGGGTTTTTTTCATATAAGGCTAGACAGAAGAATTCCCAGTAACTTCCTTGTGTTGTGTGTGTTCAACTCACAGAGTTGAACTTTCATTTACACAGAGCAGATTTGAAACACTCTTTTTGTGGAATTTGCAGGTGGAGATTTCAAGCGCTTTGAGGCCAAAGGCAGAAAAGGAAATATCTTCGTTTCAAAACTAGACAGAATCATTCTCAGAAACTGCTGCGTGATGTGTGCGTTCAACTGTCAGAGTTTAACTTTTCTTTTCATTCAGCGGTTTGGAAACACTCTGCAAAGTCTGCACGTGGATATTTTGACCACTTAGAGGCCTTCGTTGGAAACGGGTTTTTTTTATGTAAGGCTAGACCGAAGAATTCCCCGTAACTTCCTTGTGTTGTGTGCATTCAACTCACAGAGTTGAACGTTCCCTTAGACAGAGCAGATTTGAAACACTCTATTTGTGCAATTTGCAAGTGTAGTTTTCAAGCTCTTTAAGGTCAACGGCAGAAAAGGAAATATCTTCGTTTCAAAACTAGACAGAATCATTCCCACAAACTGCGTTGTGATGTGTTCGTTCAACTCACAGAGTTTAACCTTTCTTTTCATAGAGCAGTTAGGAAACAGTCTGTTTGTCAATTCTGTAAGTGGATATTCTGACATCTTGTGGCCTTAGTTGGAAACGGGATTTCTTCATATTCTGCTAGACAGAAGAATTCCCAGTAATTTCCTTGTGTTGTGTGGATTCAACTCACAGAGTTGAACGATACTTTAAACAGAGCAGATTAGAAACACTCTTTTTGTGGAATTTGCAAGTGGAGATTTCAGCCGCTTTGAGGTCAATGGTAGAAAAGGGAATATCTTCGTATAAAAACTAGACAGAATGATTCTCAGAAACTCCTTTGTAATGTGTGTGTTCAACTCACAGAGTTTAACCTTTCTGTTCATAGAGCAGTTAGGAAACACTCTGTTTGTAAAGTCTGCAAGTGGATATTCAGACCTCTTTGAGGCCTTCGTTGGAAACGGGATTTCTTCATATTCTGCTAGACAGAAGAATTCTCAGAAACTTCCTTGTGTTGTGTGTTTTCAACTCACAGAGTTGAACGATGCTTTACACAGAGTAGACTTGAAACACTCTTTTTGTGTAATTTGCAAGTGGAGATTTCAGCCGCTTTGAGGTCAATGGTAGAAAAGGAAATATCTTCGTATAAAAACTAGACAGAATGATTCTCAGAAACTCCTTTGTGATGTGTGCGTTCAACTCACAGAGTTTATCCTTTCTTTTCATAGAGCAGTTAGGAAACACTCTGTTTGTAAAGTCTGCAAGAGAATATTCAGACATCTTTGAGACTTTCGTTGGAAACGGGATTTCATCATATTCTGCTAGACAGAAGAATTCTCAGTAACTTCCTTGTGTTGTGTGTATTCAACTGACAGAGTTGAACTTTCATTTAGAGAGAGCAGATTTGAAACACTGTTTTTGTGGAATTTGCAAGTGGAGATTTCAAACGCTTTGGGGCCAAAGGCAGAAAAGGAAATATCTTCGTATAAAAACTAGACAGACTCATTCTCAGAAACTGCTCTGCGATGTGTGCGTTCAACTCTCAGAGTTTAACTTTTCTTTTCATTCAGCAGTTTGGAAACACTCTGTTTGTAAAATCTGCACGTGGATATTTTGACCACTTAGAGGCCTTCGTTGGAAACGGGTTTCTTTCCTGTAAGGCTAGACAGAAGAATTCCCAGTAACTTCCTTGTGTTGTGTACATTCAACTCACAGAGTTGAACGTTCCCTTAGACAGAGCAGATTTGAAACACTCTTTTTGTGCAATTGGCAAGTGGAGATTTCAAGCGCTTTAAGGTCAATGGCAGAAAAGGAAATATCTTCGTTTCAAAACTAGACAGAATCATTCCCAAAAACTGCGTTGTGATGTGTTCGTTCATCTCACAGAGTTTAACCTTTCTTTTCATAGAGCAGTTAGGAAACAGTCTGTTTGTAAATTCTGTAAGTGGATATTCTGACATCTTGTGGCCTTCGTTGGAAACGGGATTTCTTCATATTCTGCTAGACAGAAGAATTCTCAGTAACTGCCTTGTGTTGTGTGTATTCAACTCACAGAGTTGAACGATCCTTTACACAGAACAGACTTGAAACACTCTTTTTGTGGAATTTGCAAGTGGAGATTTCAGCCGCTTTGAGGTCAATGGTAGAATAGGAAATATCTTCCTGTAGAAACTAGACAGAATGATTCTCAGAAACTCCTTTGTGATGTGTGCGTTGAACTCACAGAGTTTAACCTTTCTTTTCATAGAGCAGTTAGGAAACACTCTGTTTGTAAAGTCTGCAAGTGGATATTCAGACCTCCTTGAGACCTTCGTTGGAAACGGGATTTCTTCATATTATGCTAGACAGAAGAATTCTCAGTAACTTCCTTGTGTTGTGTGTATTCAACTGACAGAGTTGAACTTTCATTTAGAGAGAGCAGATTTGAAACACTCTTTTTGTGGAATTTGCAAGTGGAGATTTCAAGCGCTTTGTGGCCAAAGGCAGAAAACGAAATATCTTCGTATAAAAACTAGACAGAATCATTCTCAGAAACTGCTGAGTGATGTGTGCGTTCAACTCTCAGAGTTTAACTTTTCTTTTCATTCAGCGGTTTGGAAACACTCTGTTTGTAAAGTCTGCACGTGGACATTTTGACCACTTAGAGGCCTTCGTTGGAAACGGGTTTTTTTCATGTAAGGCTAGACAGAAGAATTCCCAGTAACTTCCTTGTGTTGTGTGCATTCAACTCACAGAGTTGGACGTTCCCTTAGAAAGAGCAGATTTGAAACACTCTATTTGTGCAATTTGCAAGTGTAGATTTCAAGCTCTTTAAGGTCAATGGCAGAAAAGGAAATATCTTCGTTTCAAAACTAGACAGAATCATTCCCACAAACTGCGTTGTGAGGTGTTCGTTCAACTAACAGAGTTTAACCTTTCTGTTCATAAAGCAGTTAGGAAATACTCTGTTTGTAAAGTCTGAAAGTGGATATTCTGACATCTTGTGGCCTTCGTTGGAAACGGGATTTCTTCATATTCTGCTAGACAGAAGAATTCTCAGAAACTTCCTTGTGTTGTGTGTATTCAACTCACACAGTTGAACGATGGTTTACACAGAGCAGATTTGAAACACTCTTTTTGTGGAATTTGCAAGTGGAGATTTCAGCCGCTTTGAGGTCAATGGTAGAAAAGGAAATATCTTCGTATAAAAACTAGACAGAATGATTCTCAGAAACTCCTTTGTGATGTGTGCGTTCAACTCACAGAGTTTAACCTTTCTGTTCATAGAGCCGTTAGGAAACACTCTGTTTGTAAAGTCTGCAAGTGGATATTCAGACCTCTTTGAGGCCTTCGTTGGAAACGGGATTTCTTCATATTCTGCTAGACAGAAGAATTCCCAGTAACTTCCTTGTGTTGTGTGTGTTCAACTCACAGAGTTGAACTTTCATTTACACAGAGCAGATTTGAAACACTCTTTTTGTGGAATTTGCAAGTGGAGATTTCAAGCGCTTTGAGGCCAAAGCAGAAAAGGAAATATCTTCGTATAAAAACTAGACAGAATCATTCTTAGAAACTGCTCTGCGATGTGTGCGTTCAACTCTCAGAGTTTAACTTTTCTTTTCATTCAGCAGTTTGGAAACACTCTGTTTGTAAAGTCTGCACGTGGATAACTTGACCACTTAGAGGCCTTCGTTGGAAACGGGTTTTTTTCATGTAAGGCTAGACAGAATTCCCAGTAACTTCCTTGTGTTGTGTACATTCAACTCACAGAGTTGAACGTTCCCTTAGACAGAGCAGATTTGAAACACTCTTTTTGTGCAATTGGCAAGTGGAGATTTCAAGCGCTTTAAGGTCAATGGCAGAAAAGGAAATATCTTCGTTTCAAAACTAGACAGAATCATTCCCACAAACTGCGTTGTGATGTGTTCGTTCATCTCACAGAGTTTAACCTTTCTTTTCATAGAGCAGTTAGGAAACAGTCTGTTTGTAAATTCTGTAAGTGGATATTCTGACATCTTGTGGCCTTCGTTGGAAACGGGATTTCTTCATATTCTGCTAGACGGAAGAATTCTCAGTAACTTCCTTGTGTTGTGTGTATTCAACTCACAGAGTTGAACGATCCTTTACACAGAGCAGACTTGAAACACTCTTTTTGTGGAATTTGCAAGTGCAGATTTCAGCCGCTTTGAGGTCAATGGTAGAAAAGGAAACTATCTTCATATAAAGACTAGACAGAATGATTCTCAGAAACTCCTTTGTGATGTGTGTGTTCAACTCACAGAGTTTAACCTTTCTTTTCATAGAGCAGTTAGTAAACACTCTGTTTATAAAGTCTGCAAGTGGATATTCAGACCCCTTTGTGGCCTTCGTTGGAAACGGGATTTCTTCATATTATGCTAGACAGAAGAATTCCCAGTAACTTCCTTGTGTTGTGTGTGTTCAACTCACAGAGTTGAACTTTCATTTACACAGAGCAGGTTTGAGACACTCTTTTTGTGGAATTTGCTAATGGAGATTTCAAGCGCTTTGAGGCCAAAGGCAGAAAAGGAAATATCTTCGTATAAAAACTAGACAGAATCATTCTCAGAAACTGCTCTGCGATGTGTGCGTTCAACTCTCAGAGTTTAACTTTTCTTTTCATTCAGCAGTTTGGAAACACTCTGTTTGTAAAGTCTGCACGTAGATAATTTGACCACTTAGAGGCCTTCATTGGAAACGGGTTTTTTTCCTGTAAGGCTAGACAGAAGAATTCCCAGTAACTTCCTTGTGTTGTGTACATTCAACTCACAGAGTTGAACGTTCCCTTAGACAGAGCAGATTTGAAACACTCTTTTTGTGCAATTGGCAAGTGGAGATTTCAAGCGCTTTGAGGTCAATGGCAGAAAAGGAAATATCTTCGTTTCAAAACTAGACAGAATCATTCCCACAAACTGCGTTGTGATGTGTTCGTTCAACTCACAGAGTTTAACCTTTCTGTTCACAGAGCAGTTAGGAAACACTCTGTTTCTAAAGTCTGTAAGTGGATATTCTGACATCTTGTGGCCTTCGTTGGAAACGGGATTTCTTCATATTCTGCTAGACAGAAGAATTCTCACTAACTTCCTTGTGTTGTGTGTATTCAACTCACAGAGTTGAACGATCCTTTACAGAGAGCAGACTTGAAACACTCTTTTTGTGGAATTTGCAAGTGGAGATTTCAGCCGCTTTGAGGTCAATGGTAGAAAAGGAAATATCTTCGTATAAAGACTAGACAGAATGATTCTCAGAAACTCCTTTGTGATGTGTACGTTCAACTCACAGAGTTTAACCTTTCTTTTCTTAGAGCAGTTAGGAAACACTCTGTTTGTAAAGTCTGCAAGTGGATATTCAGACCTCCTTGAGGCCTTCGTTGGAAACGGGTTTTTTTCATATAAGGCTAGACAGAAGAATTCCCAGTAACTTCCTTGTGTTGTGTGTGTTCAACTCACAGAGTTGAACTTTCATTTACACAGAGCAGATTTGAAACACTCTTTTTGTGGAATTTGAAAGTGGAGATTTCAAGCGCTTTGAGGCCAAAGGCAGAAAAGGAAATATCTTCGTTTCAAAACTAGACAGAATCATTCTCAGAAACTGCTGCGTGATGTGTGCGTTCAACTCTCAGAGTTTAACTTTTCTTTTCATTCAGCGGTTTGGAAACACTCTGTTTGTAAAGTCTGCACGTGGATATTTTGACCACTTAGAGGCCTTCATTGGAAACGGGTTTATTTCATGTAAGGCTAGACAGAAGAATTCTCAGTAACTTCCTTTTGTTGTGTACATTCAACTCACAGAGTTGAACGTTCCCTTACACAGAGCAGATTTGAAACACTCTTTTTGTGCAATTGGCAAGTGGAGATTTCAAGCGCTTTGAGGCCAAAGGCAGAAAAGGAAATATCTTCGTATAAAAACTAGACAGAATCATTCCCACAAACTGCGTTGTAATGTGTGCGTTCAACTCACAGAGTTTAACCTTTCTTTTCATAGAACAGTTAGGAAACACTCTGTTTGTAAAGTCTGCAAGTGGATATTCAGACCTCTTTGAGGCCTTCGTTGGAAACGGGATTTCTTCATATTCTGCTAGACAGAAGAATTCTCAGTAACTTCCTTGTGTTGTGTGTATTCAACTCCCAGAGTTGAACGTTCCCTTAGACAGAGCAGATTTGAAACACTCTTTTTGTGCAATTGGCAAGTGGTGATTTCAGCCGCTTTGGGGTCAATGGTAGAAAAGGTAATATCTTCGTATAAAAACTAGACAGAATGATTCTCAGAAACTTCATTGTGACGTGTGCGTTCAACTCAGAGAGTTTAACCTTTCTTTTCATAGAGCAGTTAAGAAACACTCTGTTTGTAAAGTCTGCAAGTGGATATTCAGACCTCTTTGAGGCCTTCGTTGGAAACGGGATTTCTTCATACTGTGCTAGACAGAAGAATTCCGAGTAACTTCCTTGTGTTGTGTGTGTTCAACTCACAGAGTTGAACTTTCATTTACACAGAGCAGATTTGAAACACTCTTTTTGTGGAATTTGCAAGTGGAGATTTCAAGCGCTTTGAGGCCAAAGGCAGAAAAGGAAATATCTTCGTTTCAAAACTAGACAGAATCATTCTCAGAAACTGCTCTGTTATGTGTGCGTTCAACTCTCAGAGTTTAACTTTTCTTTTCATTCAGCAGTTTGGAAACACTCAGTTTGTAAAGTCTGCACGTGGATATTTTGACCACTTAGAGGTCTTCGTTGGAAACGGGTTTTTTTCATGAAAGGCTAGACAGAAGAATTCCCAGTAACTTCCTTGTGTTGTGTACATTCAACTCACAGAGTTGAACGTTCCCTTAGACAGAGCAGATTTGAAACACTCTTTTTGTGCAATTGGCAAATGGAGATTTCAAGTGCTTTAAGGTCAATGGCAGAAAAGGAAATATCTTCGTTTCAAAACTAGACAGATTGATTCTCAGAAACTCCTTTGTGATGTGTGCGTTCAACTCACAGAGTTTAACCTTTCTTTTCATAGAGCAGTTAGGAAACACTCTGTTTGTAAAGTCTGCAAGTGGATATTCAGACCTCTTTGAGGCCTTCGTTGGAAACGGGATTTCTTCCTATTATGCTAGACAGAAGAATTCTCAGTAACTTCCTTGTGTTGTGTGTATTCAAATCACAGAGTTGAACGATCCTTTACACAGAGCAGACTTCAAACACTCTTTTTGTGGAATTTGCAAGTGGAGATTTCAGCCGCTTTGAGGTCAATAGTAGAAAAGGAAATATCTTCGTAGAAAAACTAGACAGAATGATTCTCAGAAACTCCTTTGTGATGTGTGCGTTCAACTCACAGAGTTTAACCTTTCTGTTCATAGAGCTGTTAGGAAACACTCTGTTTGTAAAGTCTGCAAGTGGATATTCAGACCTCCTTCAGGCCTTCGTTGGAAACGGGATTTCTTCATATTCTGCTAGACAGAAGAATTCTCAGTAACTTCCTTGTGTTGTGTGTGTTCAACTCACAGAGTTGAACTTTCATTTACACAGAGCAGATTTGAAACACTCTTTTTGTGGAATTTGCAAGTGGAGATTTCAAGCGCTTTGAGGCCAAAGGCAGAAAAGGAAATATCTTCGTTTCAAAACTAGACAGAATCATTCTCAGAAACTGCTCTGCGATGTGTGCGTTTAACTCTCAGAGTTTAACTTTTCTTTTCATTCAGCAGTTTGGAAACACTCTGTTTGTAAAGTCTGCACGTGGATAATTTGACTACTTAGAGGCCTTCGTTGGAAACGGGTTTTTTTCATGTAAGGCTAGACAGAAGAATTCCCAGTAACTTCCTTGTGTTGTGTACATTCAACTCACAGAGTTGAACGTTCCCTTAAACAGAGCAGATTTGAAACACTCTTTTTGTGCAATTGGCAAGTGGAGATTTCAAGCGCTTTGAAGTCAATGGCAGAAAAGGAAATATCTTCGTTTCAAAACTAGATAGAATCATTCCCACAAACTGCGTTGTGATGTGTTCGTTCAACTCACAGAGTTTAACCTTTCTTTTCATAGAGCAGTTAGGAAACAGTCTGTTTGTAAATTCTGTAAGTGGATATTCTGACAGCTTGTGGCCTTCGTTGGAAACGGGATTTCTTCATACTATGCTAGACAGAAGAATTCTCAGTAACTTCCTTGTGTTGTGTGTATTCAACTCACAGTGTTGAACGATCCTTTACACAGAGCATACTTGAAACACTCTTGTTGTGGAATTTGCAAGTGGAGAATTCAGCCGCTTTGAGGTCAATGGTAGAATAGGAAATATCTTCCTATAGAAACTAGACAGAATGATTCTCAGAAACTTCATTGTGATGTGTGCGTTCAACTCACAGTTTAACCTTTCTTTTCATAGAGCAGTTAGGAAACACTCTGTTTGTAAACTCTGCAAGTGGATATTCAGACCTCTTTGAGGCCTTCGTTGGAAACGGGTTTTTTTCATATAAGGCTAGACAGAAGAATTCCCAGTAACTTCCTTGTGTTGTGTGTGTTCAACTCACAGAGTTGTACTTTCATTTACACAGAGCAGATTTGAAACACTCTTTTTGTGGAATTTGCAAATGGAGATTTCAAGCGCTTTGAGGCCAAAGGCAGAAAAGGAAATATCTTCGTATAAAAACTAGACAGAATCATTCTCAGAAACTGCTCTGCGATGTGTGCGTTCAACTCTCAGAGTTTAACTTTTCTTTTCATTCAGCAGTTTGGAAACACACTGTTTGTAAAGTCTGCACGTGGATACTTTGACCACTTAGAGGCCTTCGTTGGAAACGGGTTTTTTTCCTGTAAGGCTAGACAGAATAATTCCCAGTAACTTCCTTGTGTTGTGTACATTCAACTCACAGAGTTGAACGTTCCCTTGGACAGAGCAGATTTGAAACACTCTTTTTGTGCAATTGGCAAGTGGAGATTTCAAGCGCTTAAGGTCAATGGCAGAAAAGGAAATATCTTCGTTTCAAAACTAGACAGAATCATTCCCACAAACTGCGTTGTGATGTGTTCGTTCAACTCACAGAGTTTAACCATTCTTTTCATAGAGCAGTTAGGAAACACTCTGTTTGTAAATTCTGTAAGTGGATATTCTGACATCTTTTGGCCTTCGTTGGAAACGGGATTTCTTCATATTCTGCTAGACAGAAGAATTCTCAGTAACTTCCTTGTGTTGTGTGTATTCAACTCACAGAGTTGAACGATCCTTTACACAGAGCGGACTTGAAACACTCGTTTTGTGGAATTTGCAAGTGGAGATTTCAGCCGTGTTGAGGTAAATAGTAGAAAAGGAAATATCTTCGTATAAAAACTAGACAGAATGATTCTCATAAACTCCTTTGTGATGTGTGCGTTCAACTCACAGAGTTTAACCTTTCTTTTCATAGAGCAGTTAGGAAACACTCTGTTTGTAAAGTCTGCAAGTGGATATTCAGACCTCTTTGAGGCCTTCGTTGGAAACGGGATTTCTTCCTATTCTGCTAGACAGAAGAATTTCCAGTAACTTCCTTTTGTTGTGTGTGTTCAACTCACAGAGTTGAACTTTCATTTACACAGAGCAGATTTGAAACACTCTTTTTGTGGAATTTGCAAGTGGAGATTTCAAGCGCTTTGAGGCCAAAGGCAGAAAAGGAAATATCTTCGTATAAAAACTAGACAGAATCATTCTCAGAAACTGCTGCGTGATGTGTGCGTTCAACTATCAGAGTTTAACTTTTCTTTTCATTCAGCGGTTTGGAAACACTCTGTTTGTAAAGTCTGCACGTGGATATTTTGACCACTTAGAGGCCTTCGTTGGAAACGGGTTTTTTGCATGTAAGGCTAAACAGAAGAATTCCCAGTAACTTCCTTGTGTTGTGTACATTCAACTCACAGAGTTGAACGTTCCCTTAGACAGAGCAGATTTGAAACACTCTTTTTGTGCAATTGGCAAGTGGTTATTTCAGCCGCTTTGAGGTCAATGGTAGAAAAGGAAATATCTTCGTATAAAAACTAGACAGAATGATTCTCAGAAACTTCATTGTGATGTGTGCGTTCAACTCACAGAGTTTAACCTTTCTTTTTATAGAGCAGTTAGGAAACACTCTGTTTGTAAACTCTGCAAGTGGATATTCAGACCTCTTTGAGGCCTTCGTTGGAAACGGGTTTTCTTCATACTGTGCTAGACAGAAGAATTCTCAGTAACTTCCTTGTGTTGTGTGTATTCAACTCACAGAGCTGAACGATCCTTTACACAGGGCGGACTTGAAACACTCTTTTTGTGGAATTTGCAAGTGGAGATTTCAGCCGCTTTGAGGTCAATGTTAGAAAAGGAAATATCTTCGTATAAAAACTAGACAGAATGATTCTCAGAAACTCCTTTGTGATGTGTGCGTTCAACTCATAGAGTTTAACTTTTCTTTTCATAGAGCAGTTAGGAAACACTCTGTTTGTAAAGTCTTCAAGTGGATATTCAGACCTCTTTGAGGCCTTCGTTGGAAACGGGATTTCTTCATATTCTGCTAGACAGAAGAATTCTCAGTAACTTCCTTGTGTTGTGTGTATTCAACTCACAGAGTTGAACTTTCATTTAGAGAGAGCAGATTTGAAACACTGTTTTTGTGGAATTTGCAAGTGGAGATTTCAAGCGCTTTGGGGCCAAAGGCAGAAAAGGAAATATCTTCGTATAAAAACTAGACAGAATCATTCTCAGAAACTGCTGCATGATGTGTGCGTTCAACTCTCAGAGTTTAACTTTTCTTTTCATTCAGCGGTTTGGAAACACTCTGTTTGTAAAGTCTGCACGTGGATATTTTGACCACTTAGAGGCCTTCGTTAGAAACGGGTTTTTTTCATGTAAGGCTAGACAGAAGAATTCCCAGTAACTTCCTTGTGTTGTGTGCATTCAACTCACAGAGTTGAACGTTCCCTTAGACAGAGCAGATTTGAAACACTCTATTTGTGCAATTTACAAGTGTAGATTTCAAGCGCTTTAAGGTCAACGGCAGAAAAGGAAATATCTTCGTTTCAAACCTAGACAGAATCATTCCCACAAACTGCGTTGTGATGTGTTCGTTCAACTCACAGAGTTTAACCTTTCTGTTCATAGAGCAGTTAGGAAACACTCTGTTTGTAAAGTCTGCAAGTGGATATTCAGACCTCCTAGAGGCCTTCGTTGGAAACGGGATTTCTCCATATTCTGCTAGACAGAAGAATTGTCAGAAACTTCGTTGTGTTGTGTGTTTTCAACTCACAGAGTTGAACGATCCTTTACACAGAATAGACTTGAAACACTCTTTTTGTGGAATTTGCAAGTGGAGATTTCAGCCGCTTTGAGGTCAATGGTAGAAAAGGAAATATCTTCGTATAAAAACTAGACAGAATGATTCTGAGAAACTCCTTTGTGATGTGTGCGTTCAACACACAGAGTTTAACCTTTCTTTTCATAGAGCAGTTAGGAAACACTCTGTTTGTAAAGTCTGCAAGTGGATATTCAGACCTCCTTGAGGCCTTCGTTGGAAACGCGATTTCTTCATATTATGCTAGACAGAAGAATTCTCAGTAACTTCCTTGTGTTGTGTGTATTCAACTGACAGAGTTGAACTTTCATTTGGAGAGAGCAGATTTGAAACACTGTTTTTGTGGAATTTGCAAGTGGAGATTTCAAGCGCTTTGGGGCCAAAGGCAGAAAAGGAAATATCTTCGTAGAAAAACTAGACAGAATCATTCTCAGAAACTGCTGCGTGATGTGTGCGTTGAACTCTCAGAGTTTAACTTTTCTTTTCATTCAGCGGTTTGGAAACACTCTGTTTGTAAAGTCTGCACGTGGATATTTTGACCACTTAGAGGCCTTCGTTGGAAACGGGTTTTTTTCATGTAAGGCTAGACAGAAGAATTCCCAGTAACTTCCCTTGTGTTGGGTGCATTAAACTCACAGAGTTGAACGTTCCCTTAGACAGAGCAGATTTGAAACACTCTATTTGTGCAATTTGCAAGTGTAGATTTCAAGCGCTTTAAGGTCAATGGCAGAAAAGGAAATATCTTCGTTTCAAAACTAGACAGAATCATTCCCACAAACTGCGTTGCGATGTGTTCGTTCAACTCACACAGTTTAACATTTCTTTTCATAGAGCACTTAGGAAACAGACTGTTTGTAAATTCTGTAAGTGGATATTCTGACATCTTGTGGCCTTCGTTGGAAACAGGATTTCTTCATATTCTGCTAGACAGAATAATTCTCAGTAACTTCCTTGTGTTGTGTGTATTCAACTCACAGAGTTGAATGATCCTTTACACAGAGCAGACTTGAAACACTCTTTTTGTGGAATTTGCAAGTGGAGATTTCAGCCGCTTTGAGGTCAATGGTAGAAAAGGAAACTATCTTCATATAAAGACTAGACAGAATGATTCTGAGAAACTCCTTTGTGATGTGTGCATTCAACTCACAAAGTTTAACCTTTCTTTTCATAGAGCAGTTAGGAAACACTCTGTTTGTAAAGTCTGCAAGTGGATATTCAGACCTCCTTGAGGCCTTCGTTGGAAACGGGATTTCTTCATATTATGCTAGACAGAAGAATTGTCAGTAACTTCCTTGTGTTGTGTGTATTCAACTCACAGAGTTGAACGATCCTTTACACAGAGCAGACTTGAAACACTCTTTTTGTGGAATTTGCAAGTGGAGATTTCAGCCGCTTTGAGTTCAAGGGTAGAATAGGAAATATCTTCCTATAGAAACTAGACAGAATCATTCTCAGAAACTGCTCTGCGATGTGTGCGTTCAACTCTCAGAGTTTAACTTTTCTTTTCATTCAGCAGTTTGGAAACACTCTGTTTGTAAAGTCTGCACGTGGATATTTTGACCACTTAGAGGCCTTCGTTGGAAACGGGTTTCTTTCTTGTAAGGCTAGACAGAAGAATTCCCAGTAACTTTCCTTGTGTTGTGTGCGTTCAACTCACAGAGTTGAACTTTCATTTACACAGAGCAGATTTGAAACACTCTTTTTGTGGAATTTGCAAATGGAGATTTCAAGCGCTTTGAGGCCAAAGGCAGAAAAGGAAATGTACTTCGTTTCAAAACTAGACAGAATCATTCCCACAAACTGCGTTGTGATGTGTTCGTTCAACTCACAGAGTTTAACCTTTCGGTTCATAGAGCAGTTAGGAAACACTCTGTTTGTAAAGTCTGTAAGTGGATATTCTGACGTCTTGTGGCCTTCGTTTGAAAAGGGATTTCTTCATATTCTGCTAGACAGAAGAATTCTCGGTAACTTCCTTGTGTTGTGTGTATTCAACTCACAGAGTTGAACGATCCTTTACACAGAGCAGACTTGAAACACTCTTTTTGTGGAATTTGCAAGTGGAGATTTCAGCCGCTTTGAGGTCAATGTTAGAATAGGAAATATCTTCATATAGAAACTAGACAGAATGATTCTCAGAAACTCCTTTGTGATGTGTGCGTTCAACTCACAGAGTTTAACCTTTCTTTTCATAGAGCAGTTAGGAAACACTGTGTTTGTAAAGTCTGCAAGTGGATATTCAGACCTCCTTGAGGCATTCGTTGGAAACGGGATTTCTTCATATTATGCTAGACAGAAGAATTCCCAGTAACTTCCTTGTGTTGTGTGTGTTCTACTCACAGAGTTGAACTTTGATTTACACAGAGCAGATTTGAAACACTCTTTTTGTGGAATTTGCAAGTGGAGATTTCAAGCGCTTTGAGGCCAAAGGCAGAAAAGGAAATATCTTCGTATAAAAACTAGACAGAATCATTCTCAGAATCTGCTGCGTGATGTGTGCGTTCAACTCTCAGAGTTTAACTTTTCTTTTCATTCAGCGGTTTGGAAACACTCTGTTTGTACAGTCTGCACGTGGATATTTTGACCACTTAGAGGCCTTCGTTGGAAACGGGTTTTTTTCATGTAAGGCTAGACAGAAGAATTCCCAGTAACTTCCTTGTGTTGTGTGCATTCAACTCACAGAGTTGAACGTTCCCTTAGACAGAGCAGATTTGAAACACTCTATTTGTGCAATTTGCAAGTGTAGTTTTCAAGCTCTTTAAGGTCAACGGCAGAAAAGGAAATATCTTGGTTTCAAAACTAGACAGAATCATTCCCACAAACAGCGTTGTGATGTGTTCGCTCAACTCACAGAGTTTAACCTTTCTTTTCATAGAGCAGTTAGGAAACAGTCTGTTTGTCAATTCTGTAAGTGGATATTCTGACATCTTGTGGCCTTCGTTGGAAACGGGATTTCTTCATATTCTGCTAGACAGAAGAATTCTCAGTAACTTCCTTGTGTTGTCTGTATTCAACTCACAGAGTTGAACGATCCTTTACACAGAGCAGACTTGAAACACTCTTTTTGTGGAATTTGCAAGTGGAGATTTCAGCCGCTTTGAGGTCAATAGTAGAAAAGGAAATATCTTCGTATAAAGACTAGACAGAATGATTCTCAGAAACTCCTTTGTGATGTGTGCGTTCAACTCACAGAGTTTAACCTTTCTTTTCATAGAGCAGTTGGGAAACACTCTGTTTGTAAAGTCTGCAAGTGGATATTCAGACATCCTTGAGGCTTTCGTTGGAAACGGGATTTCTTCATATTCTGCTAGAAGGAAGAATTCTCAGTAACTTCCTTGTGTTGTGTGTATACAACTCACAGAGTTGAACGATCCTTTACACAGAGCGGACTTGAAACACACTTTTTGTGGAATTTGCAAGTGGAGATTTCAAGCGCTTTGAGGCCAAAGGCAGAAAAGGAAATATCTTCGTATAAAAACTAGACAGAATCATTCTCAGAAACTGCTGTGTGATGTGTGCCTTCAACTCTCACAGTTTAACTTTTCTTTTCATTCAGCGGTTTGGAAACACTCTGTTTGTAAAGTCTGCACGTGGATATTTTGACCACTTAGAGGCCTTCGTTGGAAACGGGTTTTTTTCATGTAAGGCTAGACAGAAGAATTCTCAGTAACTTCCTTGTGTTGTGTGTATTCAACTCACACAGTTGAACGATCCTTTACACAGAGCAGACTTGTAACACTCTTTTTGTGGAATTTGCAAGTGGAGATTTCAGCCGCTTTGAAGTCAAATGTAGAAAAGGAAATATCTTCCTATAAAAACTAGACAGATGATTCTGAGAAACTCCTTTGTGATGTGTGCGTTCAACTCACAGAGTTCAACCTTTCTTTTCATAGAGCAGTTAGGAAACACTCTGTTTGTAAAGTCTGCAAGTGGATATTCAGACATCTTTGAGGCTTTCGTTGGAAACAGGATTTCTTCATATTCTGCTAGACAGAAGATTCTCAGTAACTTCCTTGTGTTGTGTGTATTCAACTCACAGAGTTGAACGATCCTTTACACAGAGCAGACTTGAAACACTCTTTTTGTGGAATTTGCAAGTGGAGATTTCAGCCGCTTTGAGGTCAATGGTAGAATAGGAAATATCTTCCTATAGAAACTAGACAGAATGATTCTCAGAAACTCCTTTGTGATGTGTGTGTTCAACTCACAGAGTTTAACCTTTCTTTTCATAGAGCAGTTAGGAAACACTCTGTTTGTAAAGTCTGCAAGTGGATATTCAGACCTCTTTGAGGCCTTCGTTGGAAACGGGATTTTTTCGTATAAGGCTAGACAGAAGAATTCCCAGTAACATCCTTGTGTTGTGTGTGTTCAACTCACAGAGTTGAACTTTCATTTACACAGAGCAGATTTGAAACACTCTTTTTGTGGAATTTGCAAATGGAGATTTCAAGCGCTTTGAGGCCAAAGGCAGAAAAGGAAATATCTTCGTATAAAAACTAGACAGAATCATTCTCAGAAACTGCTCTGCGATGTGTGCGTTCAACTCTCAGAGTTTAACTTTTCTTTTCATTCAGCAGTTTGGAAACACTCTGTTTGTAAAGTCTGCACGTGGATATTTTGACCACTTAGAGGCCTTCGTTGGAAACGGGTTTTTTTCCTGTAACGCTAGACAGAAGAATTCCCAGTAACTTCCTTGTGTTGTGTACATTCAACTCACAGAGTTGAACGTTCCCTTAGACAGAGCAGATTTGAAACACTCTTTTTGTGCAATTGGCAAGTGGAGATTTCAAGCGCTTTGAGGTCAATGGCAGAAAAGGAAATATCTTCGTTTCAAAACTAGACAGAGTGATTCTCAGAAACTCCTTTGTGATGTCTGCGTTCAACTGACAGAGTTTAACCTTTCTTTTCATAGAGCAGTTAGGAAACACTCTGTTTGTAAAGTCTGCAATTGGATATTGAGACCTCCTTGAGGCCTTCGTTGGAAACGGGATTTCTTCATATTCTGCTATACAGAAGAATTCTCAGAAACTTCCTTGTGTTGTGTGTATTCAACTCACAGAGTTGAACGATCCTTTACACAGAGCAGACTTGAAACACTCTTTTTGTGGAATTGGCAAGTGGAGATTTCAGCCGCTTTGAGGTCAATGGCAGAAAAGGAAATATCTTCGTATAAAAACTAGACAGAATGATTCTCAGAAACTTCATTGTGATGTGTGCGTTCAACTCACAGAGCTTAACCTTTCTTTTCATAGAGCAGTTAGGAAACACTCTGTTTGTAAACTCTGCAAGTGGATATTCAGACCTCTTTGAGGCCTTCGTTGGAAACGGGATTTCTTCATACTGTGCTAGACAGAAGAATTCCCAGTAACTTCCTTGTGTAGTGTGTGTTCGACTCACAGAGTTGAACTTTCCTTTACACAGAGCAGATTTGAAACACTCTTTTTGTGGAATTTGCAAGTGGAGATTTCAAGCGCTTTGAGGCCAAAGGCAGAAAAGGAAATATCTTCGTTTCAAAACTAGACAGAATCATTCTCAGAAACTGCTGCGTGATGTGTGCGTTCAACTCTCAGAGTTTAACTTTTCTTTTCATTCAGCGGTTTGGAAACACTGTGTTTGTAAAGTCTGCACGTGGATATTTTGACCACTTAGAGGCCTTCGTTGGAAACGGGTTTCTTTCATGTAAGGCTAGACAGAAGAATTCCCAGTAACTTCCTTGTGTTGTGTGCACTCAACTCACAGAGTTGAACGTTCCCTTAGACAGAGCAGATTTGAAACACTCTATTTGTGCAATTTGCAAGTGTAGATTTCAAGCGCTTTAAGGTCAATGGCAGAAAAGGAAATATCTTCGTTTCAAAACTAGACAGAATCATTCCCACAAACTGCGTTGTGATGTGTTCGTTCAACTCACAGAGTTTAACCTTTCTGTTCATAGAGCAGTTAGGAAACACTGTGTTTGTAAAGTCTGTAAGTGGATATTCTGACATCTTCTGGCCTTCGTTGGAAACGGGATTTCTTCATATTCTGCTAGACAGAAGAATTCTCAGAATCTTCCTTGTGTTGTGTGTATTCAACTCACAGAGTTGAACGATGGTTTACACAGAACAGATTTGAAACACTCTTTTTGTGGAATTTGCAAGTGGAGATTTCAGCCGCTTTGAGGTCCGTGGTAGAAAAGGAAATATCTTCGTATAAAAACTAGACAGAATGATTCTCAGAAACTCCTTTGTGATGTGTGCGTTCAACTCACAGAGTTTAACCTTTCTTTTCATAGAGCAGTTAGGAAACACTCTGTTGGTAAAGTCTGCAAGTGGATATTCAGACCTCTTTGAGGCCTTCGTTGGAAACGGGTTTTTTTCATATAAGGCTAGACAGAAGAATTCCCAGTAACTTCCTTGTGTTGTGTGTGTTCAACTCACAGAGTTGAACTTTCATTTACACAGAGCAGATTTGAAACACTCTTTTTGTGGAATTTGCAAGTGGAGATTTCAGGCGCTTTGAGGCCAAAGGCAGAAAAGGAAATATCTTCGTATAAAAACTAGACAGAATCATTCTCAGAAACTGCTGTGTGATGTGTACGTTCAACTCTCAGAGTTCAACTTTTCTTTTCATTCAGCGGTTTGGAAACACTCTGTTTGTAAAGTCTGCACGTGGATATTTTGACCACTTAGAGGCCTTCGTTGGAAACGGTTTTTTTTCATGTAAGGCTAGACAGAAGAATTCCCAGTAACTTCCTTGTGTTGTGTGTGTTCAACTCACAGAGTTGAACTTTCATTTACACAGAGCAGATTTGAAACACTCTTTTTGTGGAATTTGCAAATGGAGATTTCAAGCGCTTTGAGGCCAAAGGCAGAAAAGGAAATATCTTCGTTTCAAAACTAGACAGAATCATTCTCAGAAACTTCTTTGTGATGTGTGCGTTCAACTCACAGAGTTTAACCTTTCTTTTCATAGAGCAGTTAGGAAACACTCTGTTTGTAAAGTCTGCAAGTGGATATTCATACCTCTTTGAGGCCTTCGTTGGAAACGGGATTTCTTCATACTATGCTAGACAGAAGAATTCTCAGTAACTTCCTTGTGTTGTGTGTATTCAACTCACAGTAGTTGAACGATCCTTTACACAGAGCAGTCTTGAAACACTCTTTTTGTGGAATTTGCAAGTGGAGATTTCTGCCGCTTTGAGGTCAATGGTAGAATAGGAAATATCTTCCTATAGAAACTAGACAGAATGATTCTCAGAAAATCTTTTGTGATGTGTGCGTTCAACTCACAGAGTTTCACTTTTCTTCTCATGGAGCAGTTAGGAAACACTCTGTTTGTAAAGTCTGCAAGTGGATATTCAGACCCCTTTGAGGCCTTCGTTGGAAACGGGATTTCTTCATATTCTGCTAGACAGAAGAATTCTCAGTAACTTCCTTGTGTTGTGTGTATTCAACTGACAGAGTTGAACTTTCGTTTAGAGAGAGCAGATTTGAAACACTGTTTTTGTGGAATTTGCAAGTGGAGATTTCAAGCGCTTTGGGGCCAAAGGCAAAAAACGAAATATCTTCGTATAAAAACTAGACAGAATCATTCTCAGAAACTGCTGCGTGATGTGTGCGTTCAACTCTCAGAGTTTAACTTTTCTTTTCATTCAGCGGTTTGGAAACACTCTGTTTGTAAAGTCTGCACGTGGACATTTTGACCACTTAGAGGCCTTCGTTGGAAACGGGTTTTTTTCATGTAAGGCTAGACAGAAGAATTCCCAGTAACTTCCTTGTGTTGTGTACATTCAACTCACAGAGTTGAACGTTCCCTTAGACAGAGCAGATTTGAAACACTCTTTTTGTGCAATTGGCAAGTGGAGATTTCAAGCGCTTTAAGGTCAATGGCAGAAAAGGAAATATCTTCGTTTCAAAACTAGACAGAATCATTCCCACAAACTGCGTTGTGATGTGTTCGTTCATCTCACAGAGTTTAACCTTTCTTTTCATAGAGCAGTTAGGAAACACTCTGTTTGTAAATTCTGTAAGTGGATATTCTGACATCGTGTGGCCTTCGTTGGAAACGGGATTTCTTCATATTCTGCTAGACAGAAGAATTCTCAGTAACTTCCTTGTGTTGTGTGTATTCAACTCACAGAGTTGAACGATCCTTTACACAGAGCAGACTTGAAACACTCTTTTTGTGGAATTTGCAAGTGGAGAATTCAGCCGCTTTGAGGTCAATGGTAGAAAAGGAAACTATCTTCGTATAAAGAATAGACAGAATGATTCTCAGAAACTCCTTTGTGATGTGTGCGTTCAACTCACAGAGTTTAACCTTTCTTGTTCATAGAGCAGTTAGGAAACACTCTGTTTGTAAAGTCTGCAAGTGGATATTCAGACATCCTTGAGGCTTTCGTTGGAAACGGGATTTCTTCATATTCTGCTAGACAAGATAATTCTCAGTAACTTCCTTGTGTTGTGTGTATTCAACTGACAGAGTTGAACGTTCATTTAGAGAGAGCAGATTTGAAACACTGTTTTTGTGGAATTTGCAATTGGAGATTTCAAGCGCTTTGGGGCCAAAGGCAGAAAAGGAAATATCTTCGTATAAAAACTAGACAGAATCATTCTCAGAAACTGCTGCGTGATGTTTGCGTTCAACTCTCAGAGTTTAACTTTTCTTTTCATTCAGCGGTTTGGAAACACTCTGTTTGTAAAGTCTGCACGTGGAAATTTTGACCACTTAGAGGCCTTCGTTGGAAAAGGGTTTTTTTCATGTAAGGCTAGACAGAAGAATTCTCAGTAACTTCCTTGTGTTGTGTGTATTCAAGTGTCACAGTTGAACTTTCATTTAGGCCAAGCAGATTTGAAACACTCTTTTTGTGCAATTGGCAAGTGCAGATTTCAAGCGCTTTAAGGTCAATGGCAGAAAAGGAAATATCTTCGTTTCAAAACTAGACAGAATCATTCCCACAAACTGCGTTGTGAGGTGTTCGTTCAACTCACAGAGTTTAACCTTTCTTTTCATAGAGCAGTTAGGAAACAGTCTGTTTGTAAATTCTGTAAGTGGATATTCTGACATCTTGTGGCCTTCGTTGGAAACGGGATTTCTTCATATTCTGCTAGACAGAATAATTCTCAGTAACTTCCTTGTGTTGTGTGTATTCAACTCACAGAGTTGAAGGATCCTTTACAGAGAGCAGGCTTGAAACACTCTTTTTGTGGAATTTGCAAGTGGAGATTTCAGCCGCTTTGAGGTCAATGGTAGAATAGGAAATATCTTCCTATAGAAACTAGACAGAATGATTCTCAGAAACTCCTTTGTGATGTGTGCGTTCAACTCACAGAGTTTAACCTTTCTTTTCATAGAGCAGTTAGGAAACACTCTGTTTGTAAAGTCTGCAAATGGATATTCAGACCTCTTTGAGGCCTTCGTTGGAAACGGGATTTCTTCATATTCTGCTAGACAGAAGAATTCTCAGTAACTTCCTTGTGTTGTGTGTATTCAACTGACAGAGTTGAACTTTCATTTAGAGAGAGCAGATTTGAAACACTGTTTTTGTGGAATTTGCAAGTGGAGATTTCAAGCGCTTTGGGGCCAAGGGCAGAAAAGGAAATATCTTCGTATAAAAACTAGACAGAAGCATTCTCAGAAACTGCTGCGTGATGTGTGCGTTCAACTCTCAGAGTTTAACTTTTCTTTTCATTCAGCGGTTTGGAAACACTCTGTTTGTAAAGTCTGCACGTGGATATTTTGACCACTTAGAGGCCTTCGTTGGAAACGGGTTTTTTGCAAGTAAGGCTAGACAGAAGAATTCTCAGTAAATTCCTTGTGTTGTGTGTATTCAACTCACAGAGTTGAACGATCCTTTACACAGAGCAGACTTGAAACACTCTTTTTGTGGAATTTGCAAGTGGAGATTTCAGCCGCTTTGAGGTCAATGGCAGAAAAGGAAATATCTTCGTATAAAGACTAGACAGAATTATTCTCAGAAACTCCTTTGTGATATGTGCGTTCAACTCACAGAGTTTAACCTTTCTTTTCATAGAGCAGTTAGGAAACACTCTGTTTGTAAAGTCTGCAAGTGGATATTCAGACCTCTTTGAGGCCTTCGTTGGAAACGGGATTTCTTCATATTCTGCTAGAGAGAAGAATTCTCAGTAACTTCCTTGTGTTGTGTGTATTCAACTCACAGAGTTCAACGATCCTTTACACAGAGCAGACTTGAAGCACTCTTTTTGTGGAATTTGCGAGTGGAGATTTCAGCCGCTTTGAGGTCAATGGTAGAATAGGAAATATCTTCCTATAGAAACTAGACAGAGTGATTCTCAGAAACTCCTTTGTGATGTTTGCGTTCAACTCACAGAGTTTAACCTTTCTTTTCATAGAGCAGTTAGGAAACACTCTGTTTGTAAAGTCTGCAAGTGGATATTCAGACCTCCTTGTGGCCTTCGTTGGAAACGGGATTTCTTCATATTCTGCTATACAGAAGAATTCTCAGTAACTTCCTTGTGTTGTGTGTATTCAACTGACAGAGTTGAAC
The DNA here is from genome assembly GCF_000001405.40 of Homo sapiens. Taxonomy (NCBI): domain Eukaryota; kingdom Metazoa; phylum Chordata; class Mammalia; order Primates; family Hominidae; genus Homo; species Homo sapiens. Next base: position 48,812,134 of record NC_000005.10, read on the forward strand.
TATCATTTAGAGAGAGCAGATTTGAAACACTGTTTTTGTGGAATTTGCAAGTGGAGATTTCAAGCGCTTTGGGGCCAAAGGCAGAAAAGGAAATATCTTCGTATAAAAACTAGACAGAATCATTCTCAGAAACTGCTGCGTGATGTGTGCGTTCAACTCTCATAGTTTAACCTTTCTTTTCATTCAGCGGTTTGGAAACACTCTGTTTGTAAAGTCTGCACGTGGATATTTTGACCACTTAGAGGCCTTCGTTGGAAACGGGTTTTTTTCATGTAAGGCTAGACAGAAGAATTCCCAGTAACTTCCTTGTGTTGTGTGCATTCAACTCACAGAGATGAACATTCCCTTAGACACAGCAGATTTGAAACACTGTATTTGTGTAATTTGCAAGTGTAGATTAAAAGCGCTTTAAGGTCAATGGCAGAAAAGGAAATATCTTCGTTTCAAAACTAGACAGAATCATTCCCACAAACTGCGTTGTGATGTGTTCGTTCAACTCACAGAGTTTAACCTTTCTGCTCATAGAGCAGTTAGGAAACACTCTGTTTGTAAAGTCTGTAAGTGGATATTCTGACCTCTTGTGGCCTTCGTTGGAAACGGGATTTCTTCATATTCTGCTAGACAGAATAATTCTCAGTAACTTCCTTGTGTTGCGTGTATTCAACTCACAGAGTTGAACGATCCTTTACAGAGAGCAGACTTGAAACACTCTTTTTGTGGAATTTGCAAGTGGAGATTTCAGCCGCTTTGAGGTCAATGATAGAATAAGAAATATCTTCCTATAGAAACTAGACAGAATGATTCTCAGAAACTCCTTTGTGATGTGTGCGTTCAACTCACAGAGTTCAAACTTTCTTTTCATAGAGCAGTTGGGAAACACTCTGTTTGTAAAGTCTGCAAGTGGATATTCAGACTTCTTTGAGGCCTTCGTTGGAAGCGGGATTTCTTCATATTCTGCTAGACAGAAGAATTCTCAGTAACTTCCTTGTGTTGTGTGTATTCAACTGACAGAGCTGAACTTTCATTTAGAGAGAGCAGATTTGAAACACTGTTTTTGTGGAATTTGCAAGTGGAGATTTCAAGCGCTTTGGGGCCAAAGGCAGAAAAGGAAATATCTTCGTATAAAAACTAGACAGAATCATTCTCAGAAACTGCTCTGCGATGTGTGCGTTCAACTCTCAGAGTTTAACTTTTCTTTTCATTCAGCAGTTTGGAAACACTGTGTTTGTAAAGTCTGCACGTGGATATTTTGACCACTTAGAGGCCTTCGTTGGAAACGGGTTTTTTTCCTGTAAGGCTAGAGAGAAGAATTCCCAGTAACTTCCTTGTGTTGTGTACATTCAACTCACAGAGTTGAACGTTCCCTTAGACAGAGCAGATTTGAAACACTCTTTTTGTGCAATTGGCAAGTGCTGATTTCAGCCGCTTTGAAGTCAATGGTAGAAAAGGAAATATCTTCGTATAAAAACTAGACAGAATCATTCCCACAAACTGCGTTGTGATGTGTTCGTTCAACTCACAGCAGTTTAACCTTTCTGTTCATAGAGCAGTTAGGAAACACTCTGTTTGTAAAGTCTGTAAGTGGATATTCTGACATCTTGTGGCCTTCGTTGGAAACGGGATTTCTTCATTTTCTGCTAGACAGAAGAATTCTCAGAAACTTCCTTGTGTTGTGTGTTCTCAACTCACAGAGTTGAACGATGCTTTACACAGAGTAGACTTGAAACACTCTTTTTGTGTAATTTGCAAGTGGAGATTTCAGCCGCTTTGAGGTCAATGGTAGAAAAGGAAATATCTTCGTATAAAAACTAGACAGAATGATTCTCAGAAACTCCTTTGTGATGTGTGCATTCAACTCACAGAGTTTAACTTTTCTTTTCATAGAGCAGTTAGGAAACACTCTGTTTGTAAAGTCTGCAAGAGGATATTCAGACCTCTTTGAGGCCTTCGTTGGAAACGGGTTTTTTTCATATAAGGCTAGACAGAAGAATTCCCAGTAACTTCCTTGTGTTGTGTGTGTTCAACTCACAGAGTTGAACTTTCATTTACACAGAGCAGATTTGAAACACTCTTTTTGTGGAATTTGCAAATGGAGGTTTGAAGCGCTTTGAGGCCAAAGGCAGAAAAGGAAATATCTTCGTATAAAAACTAGACAGAATCATTCTCAGAAACTGCTCTGCGATGTGTGCGTTCAACTCTCAGAGTTTAACTTTTCTTTACATTCAGCAGTTTGGGAACACTCTGTTTGTAAAGTCTGCACGTGGATATTTTGACCACTTAGAGGCCTTCGTTGGAAACGGGTTTTTTTCCTGTAAGGCTAGACAGAAGAATTCTCAGTAACTTCCTTGTGTTGTGTGTATTCAACTCACAGAGTTGAACGATCCTTTACAGAGAGCAGACTTGAAACACTCTTTTTGTGGAATTTGCAAGTGGAGATTTCAGCCGCTTTGAGGTCAATAGTAGAAAAGGAAATATCTTCGTATAAAGACTAGACAGAATGATTCTCAGAAACTCCTTTGTGATGTGTGCGTTCAACACACAGATTTTAACTTTTCTTTTCATACAGCAGTTAGGAAACACTCTGTTTGTAAAGTCTGCAAGTGGATATTCAGACCTCTTTGAGGCCTTCGTTGGAAACGGGATTTCTTAATATTATGCTAGACAGAATAATTCTCAGTAAATTCCTTGTGCTGTGTGTATTCAACTCACAGAGTTGAACGATCCTTTACAGAGAGCAGACTTGAAACACTCTTTTTGTGGAATTTGCAAGTGGAGATTTCAGCCTCTTGGAGGTCAATGGTAGAATAGGAAATATCTTCCTATAGAAACTAGACAGAATGATTCTCAGAAACTCCTTTGTGATGTGTGCGTTCAACTCACAGAGTTTAACCTTTCTTTTCATAGAGCAGTTCAGGAAACACTCTGTTTGTAAAGTCTGCAAGTGGATATTCAGACTTCTTTGAGGCCTTCGTTGGAAACGGGATTTCTTCATATTCTGCTAGACAGAAGAATTCTCAGTAACTTCCTTGTGTTGTGTGTATTCAACTCACGGAGTTGAATGATCCTTTACACAGAGCAGACTTGAAACACTCTTTTTGTGGAATTTGCAAGTGGAGATTTCAGCCGCTTTGAGGTCAATAGTAGAAAAGGAAATATCTTCGTAGAAAAACTAGACAGAATCATTCTCAGAAACTGCTCTGCGATGTGTGCGTTCAACTCTCAGAGTTTAACTTTGTTTTTCATTCAGCAGTTTGGAAACACTCTGTTTGTAAAGTCTGCACGTGGATAATTTGACCACTTAGAGGCCTTCGTTGGAAACGGGTTTTTTTCATGTAAGGCTAGACAGAAGAATTCCCAGTAACTTCCTTGTGTTGTGTGCATTCAACTCACAGAGTTGAACGTTCCCTTAGACAGAGCAGATTTGAAACACTCTATTTGTGCAATTTGCAAGTGTAGTTTTCAAGCTCTTTAAGGTCAACGGCAGAAAAGGAAATATCTTCGTTTCAAAACTAGACAGAATCATTCCCAAAAACTGCGTTGTGATGTGTTGGTTCAACTCACAGAGTTTAACCTTTCTGTTCATAGAGCAGTTAGGAAACACTCTGTTTGTAAAGTCTGTAAGTGGATATTCTGACATCCTGTGGCCTTCGTTGGAAACGGGATTTCTTCATATTCTGCTAGACAGAAGAATTCTCAGTAACTTCCTTGTGTTGTGTGTATTCAACTCACAGAGTTGAACGATCCTTTACACAGAGCGGACTTGAAACACTCTTTTTGTGGAATTTGCAAGTGGAGATTTTAGCCGATTTGAGGTCAATGGTAGAATAGGAAATATCTTCCTATAGAAACTAGACAGAATGATTCTCATAAACTCCTTTGTGATGTGTGCGTTCAACTCACAGAGTTTAACTTTTCTTTTCATAGAGCAGTTAGGAAACACTCTGTTTGTAAAGTCTGCAAGTGGATATTCAGACCTCTTTGAGGCCTTCGTTGGAAACGGGATTTCTTCATATTATGGTAGACAGAATAATTCTCAGTAACTTCCTTGTGTTGTGTGTATTCCACTCACAGAGTTGAACGATCCTTTACAGAGAGCAGACTTGAAACACTCTTTTTGTGGAATTTGCAAGTGGAGATTTCAGCCGCTTTGAGGTCAATGGTAGAAAAGGAAATATCTTCGTATAAAGACTAGACAGAATCATTCTCAGAAACTGCTCTGCAATGTGTGCGTTCAACTCTCAGAGTTTAACTTTTCTTTTCATTCAGCAGTTTGGAAACACTCTGTTTGTAAAGTCTGCACGTGGATATTTTGACCACTTAGAAGCCTTGGTTGGAAACGGGTTTTTTTCCTGTAAGGCTAGACAGAAGAATTCCCAGTAACTTCCTTGTGTTGTGTACATTCAACTCACAGAGTTGAACGTTCCCTTAGACAGAGCAGATTTGAAACACTCTTTTTGTGCAATTGGCAAATGGAGATTTCAAGCGCTTTAAGGTCAATGGCAGAAAAGGAAATATCTCCGTTTCAAAACTAGACAGAATCATTCCCACAAACTGCGTTGTGATGTGTTCGTTCAACTCACAGAGTTTAACCTTTCTTTTCATAGAGCAGTTAGGAAACAGTCTGTTTGTCAATTCTGTAAGTGGATATTCTGACATCTTGTGGCCTTCGTTGGAAACGGGATTTCTTCATATTCTCCTAGACAGAAGAATTCTCAGTAACTTCCTTGTGTTGTGTGTATTCAACTCACAGAGTTGAACGACCCTTTACACAGAGCAGATTACAAACACTCTTTTTGTGGAATTTGCAAGTGGAGATTTCAGCCGCTTTGAGGTCAATGGTAGAAAAGGAAATATCTTCGTACAAAAACTAGACAGAATGTTTCTCAGAAACTTCTTTGTGATGTGTGCGTTCAACTCACAGAGTTTCACCTTTCTTTTCATAGAGCAGTTAGGAAACACTCTGTTTGTAAACTCTGCAAGTGGATATTCAGACCTCTTTGAGGCCTTCGTTGGTAACGGGATTTCTTCATACTGTGCTACACAGAAGAATTCTCAGTAACTTCCTTGTGTTGTGTGTATTCAACTGACAGAGTTGAACTTTCATTTAGAGAGAGCAGATTTGAAGCACTGTTTTTGTGGAATTTGCAAGTGGAGACTTCAAGCGCTTTGGGGCCAAAGGCAGAAAAGGAAATACCTTCGTATAAAAACTAGACAGAATCATTCTCAGAAACTGCTCTGCGATGTGTGCGTTCAACTCTCAGAGTTTAACTTTTCTTTTCATTCAGCAGTTTGGAAACACTCTGTTTGTAAAGTCTGCACGTGGATAATTTGACCACTTAGAGGCCTTCGTTGGAAACGGTTTTTTTTCATGTAAGGCTAGACAGAAGAATTCCCAGTAACTTCCTTGTGTTGTGTGCATTCAACTCACAGAGATGAACGTTCCCTTAGACAGAGCAGATGTGAAACACTCAATTTGTGCAATTTGCAAGTGTAGATTTCAAGCACTTTAAGGTCAATGGCATAAAAGGAAATATCTTCGTTTCAAAACTAGACAGAATGATTCTCATGAACTCCTTTGTGATGTGTGCGTTGAACTCACAGAGTTTAACCTTTCTTTTCATAGAGCAGTTAGGAAACACTCTGTTTGTAAAGTCTGCAAGTGGATATTCAGACCTCCTTGAGGCCTTCGTTGGAAACGGGCTTTCTTCATATTCTGCTAGACAGAAGAATTCTCAGTAACTTCCTTGTGTTGTGTTTATTCAACTCACAGATTTGAATGATCCTTTACACAGAGCAGACTTGAAACACTCTTTTTGTGTAATTTGCAAGTGGAGATTTCAGCCGATTTGAAGTCAATGGTAGAAAAGTAAATATCTTCGTATAAAGACTAGACAGAATGATTCTCAGAAACTTCTTTGTGATGTGTGTGTTCAACTCACAGAGTTTAACCTTTCTTTTCATAGAGCAGTTAGGAAACACTGTGTTTTTAAACTCTGCAAGTGGATATTCAGACCTCTTTGAGGCCTTCGTTGGAAACGGGATTTCTTCATACTGTGCTAGACAGAAGAATTCTCAGTAACTTCCTTGTGTTGTGTGTATTCAACTCACAGAGTTGAACGATCCTTTACACAGAGCAGACTTGAAACACTCTTTTTGTGGAATTTGCAAGTGGAGATTTCAGCCGCCTTGAGGTCAATGGTAGAAAAGGAAATATCTTCGTATAAAAACTAGACAGAATCATTCTCAGAAACTGCTCTGCGATGTGTGCGTTCAATTCTCAGAGTTTAACTTTTCTTTTCATTCAACAGTTTGGAAACACTCTGTTTGTAAAGTCTGCACGTGGATATTTTGACCACTTAGAGGCCTTCGTTGGAAACGGGTTTCTTTCCTGTAAGGCTAGACAGAATAATTCTCAGTAACTTCCTTGTGTTGTGTGTATTCAACTCACAGAGTTGAAGGATCCTTTACAGAGAGCAGGCTTGAAACACTCTTTTTGTCGAATTTGCAAGTGGAGGTTTCAGCCGCTTTGAGGTCAATGGTAGAATAGGAAATATCTTCTTATAGAAACTAGACAAAATGATTCTCATGAACTCCTTTGTGATGTGTGCGTTCAACTCACAGAGTTTAACCTTTCTTTTCATAGAGCAGTTAGGAAACACTCTGTTTGTAAAGTCTGCAAGTGGATATTTAGACCTCCTTGAGGCCTTCGTTGGAAACGGGATTTCTTCATATTCTGCTAGACAGAAGAATTCTCAGTAACTTCCTTGTGTTGTGTTTATTCAACTCACAGAGTTGAATGATCCTTTACACAGAGCAGACTTCAAACACTCTTTTTGTGGAATTTGCAAGTGGAGATTTCAGCCGCTTTGAGGTCAATGGTAGAAAAGTAAATATCTTCGTATAAAGACTAGACAGAATGATTCTCAGAAACTCCTTTGTGATGTGTGCGTTCAACTCACAGAGTTTAACCTTTCTTTTCATAGAGCAGTTGGGAAACACTCTGTTTGTAAAGTCTGCAAGTGGATATTCAGACTTCTTTGAGGCCTTCGTTGGAAGCGGGATTTCTTCATATTCTGCTAGACAGAAGAATTCTCAGTAACTTCCTTGCGTTGTGTGTATTCAACTCACAGAGTTGAACGATCCTTTACACAGAGCAGACTTGAAACACTCTTTTTGTGGAATTTGCAAGTGGAGATTTCAGCCGCTTTGAGGTCAATGGTAGAATAGGAAATATCTTCCTATAGAAACTAGACAGAATCATTCTCAGAAACTGCTGCGTGATGTGTGCGTTCAACTCTCAGAGTTTAACTTTTCTTTTCATTCAGCGCTTTGGAAACACTCTGTTTGTAAAGTCTGCACGTGGATATTTTGACCACTTAGAGGCCTTCGTTGGAAACGGGTTTTTTTCATGTAAGGCTAGACAGAAAAATTCCCAGTAACTTCCTTGTGTTGTGTGCATTCAACTCACAGAGTTGAACGTTCCCTTAGACAGAGCAGATTTGAAACACTCTATTTGTGCAATTTGCAAGTGTAGATTTCAAGCGCTTTAAGGTCAACGGCAGAAAAGGAAATATCTTCGTTTTAAAACTAGACAGAATCATTCCCACAAACTGTGTTGTGATGTGTTCGTTCAACTCACAGAGTTTAACCTTTCTTTTCATAGAGCAGTTAGGAAACAGTCTGTTTGTCAATTCTGTAAGTGGATATTCTGACATCTTGTGGCCTTCGTTGGAAACGGGATTTCTTCATATTCTGCTAGACAGAAGAATTCTCAGTAACTTCCTTGTGTTGTGTGTATTCAACTCACAGAGTTGAACGATCCTTTAAACAGAGCAGACTTGAAACACTCTTTTTCTGGAATTTGCAAGTGGAGATTTCAGCCGCTTTGAGGTCAATGTTAGAATAGGAAATATCTTCCTATAGAAACTAGACAGAATGATTCTCAGAAACTCCTTTGTGATGTGTGCGTTCAACTCACAGAGTTCAAACTTTCTTTTCATAGAGCAGTTGGGAAAAACTCTGTTTGTAAAGTCTGCAAGTGGATATTCAGACTTCTTTGAGGCCTTCGTTGGAAGCGGGGTTTCTTCATATTCTGCTAGACAGAAGAATTCTCAGTAACTTCCCTTGTGTTGTGTGTATTCAACTGACAGAGTTGAACTTTCATTTAGAGAGAGCAGATTTGAAACACTGTTTTTGTGGAATTTGCAAGTGGAGATTTCAAACGCTTTGGGGCCAAAGGCAGAAAAGGAAATATCTTCGTATAAAAACTAGACAGAATCATTCTCAGAAACTGCTCTGCGATGTGTGCATTCAACTCTCAGAGTTTAACTTTTCTTTTCATTCAGCAGTTTGGAAACACTCTGTTTGTAAAGTCTGCACGTGGATAACTTGACCACTTAGAGGCCTTCGTTGGAAACGGGTTTTTTTCATGTAAGGCTAGACAGAAGAATTCCCAGTAACTTCCTTGTGTTGTGTGCATTCAACTCACAGAGTTGAACGTTCCCTTAGACAGAGCAGATTTGAAACACTCTATTTGTGCAATTTCCAAGTGTAGATTTCAAGCGCTTTAAGGTCAACGGCAGAAAAGGAAATATCTTCGTTTCAAAACTAGACAGAATGATTCTGAGAAACTCCTTTGTGATGTGTGCGTTCAACTCCCACAGTTTAACCTTTCTTTTCATAGAGCAGTTAGGAAACACTCTGTTTGTAAAGTCTGCAAGTGGATATTCAGGACCTCCTTGAGGCCTTCGTTGGAAACGGGATTTCTTCATATTATGCTAGACAGAAGAATTCTCAGTAACTTCCTTGTGTTGTGTGTATTCAACTCACAGAGTTGAACGATCCTTTACACAGAGCAGACTTGAAACACTCTTTCTGTGGAATTTGCAAGTGGAGATTTCAGGCGCTTTGAGGTCAATAGTAGAAAAGGAAATATCTTCGTAGAAAAACTAGACAGAATGATTCTCAGAAACTCCTTTGTGATGTGTGTGTTCAACTCACAGAGTTTAACCTTTCTTTTCATAGAGCAGTTAGTAAACAGTCTGTTTATAAAGTCTGCAAGTGGATATTCAGACCCCTTTGAGGCCTTCGTTGGAAACGGGATTTCTTCATATTATGCTAGACAGAAGAATTCTCAGTAACTTCCTTGTGTTGTGTGTATTCAACTGACGGAGTTGAACTATCATTTAGAGAGAGCAGATTTGAAACACTGTTTTTGTGGAATTTGCAAGTGGAGATTTCAAGCGCTTTGGGGCCAAAGGCAGAAAAGGAAATATCTTCGTATAAAAACTAGACAGAATCATTCTCAGAAACTGCTCTGCGATGTGTGCGTTCAACTCTCAGAGTTTAACTTTTCTTTTCATTCAGCAGTTTGGAAACACTCTGTTTGTAAAGTCTGCATGTGGATATTTTGACCACTTAGAGGCCTTCGTTGGAAACGGGTTTTTTTCCTGTAAGGCTAGACAGAAGAATTCCCAGTAACTTCCTTGTGTTGTGTACATTCAACTCACAGAGTTGAACGTTCCCTTAGACAGAGCAGATTTGAAACACTCTTTTTGTGCAATTGGCAAATGGAGATTTCAAGCGCTTGAAGGTCAATGGCAGAAAAGGAAATATCTTCGTTTCAAAACTAGACAGAATCATTCCCACAAACTGCGTTGTGATGTGTGCGTTCAACTCAAAGAGTTTAACCTTTCTTTTCATAGAGCAGTTAGGAAACACTCTGTTTGTAAAGTCTGCAAGTGGATATTCAGACCTCCTTGAGGCCTTCGTTGGAAACGGGATTTCTTCATATTCTGCTAGACAGAATAATTCTCAGTAACTTCATTGTGTTGTGTGTATTCAACTCACAGAGTTGAAGGATCCTTTACAGAGAGCAGGCTTGAAACACTCTTTTTGTCGAATTTGCAAGTGGAGATTTCAGCCGCTTTGAGGTCAATGGTAGAATAGGAAATATCTTCTTATAGAAACTAGACAGAATGATTCTCAGAAACTCCTTTGTGATGTGTGTGTTCAACTCACAGAGTTTAACCTTTCTTTTCATAGAGCAGTTAGTAAACACTCTGTTTATAAAGTCTGCAAGTGGATATTCAGACCCCTTTGAGGCCTTCGTTGGAAACGGGATTTCGTCATATTATGCTAGACAGAAGAATTCTCAGTAACTTCCTTGTGTTGTGTGTATTCAACTCACAGAGTTGAACGATCCTTTACACAGAGCAGATTAGAAACACTCTTTTTGTGGAATTTGCAGGTGGAGATTTCAGCCGCTTTGAGGTCAATAGTAGAAAAGGGAATATCTTCGTATAAAAACTAGACAGAAATCATTCTCAGAAACTGCTCTGCGATGTGTGCGTTCAACTCTCAGGAGTTTAACTTTTCTTTTCATTCAGCAGTTTGGAAACACTCTGTTTGTAAAGTCTGCACGTGGATATTTTGACCACTTAGAGGCCTTCGTTGGAAACGGGTTTTTTTCCTGTAAGGCTAGACAGAAGAATTCCCAGTAACTTCCTTGTGTTGTGTACATTCAACTCACAGAGTTGAACGTTCCCTTAGACAGAGCAGATTTGAAACACTCTTTTTGTGCAATTGGCAAATGGAGATTTCAAGCGCTTTAAGTTCAATGGCAGAAAAGGAAATATCTTCGTTTCAAAAGTAGACAGAATGATTCTCAGAAACTCCTTTGTGATGTGTGCGTGCAACTCACAGAGTTTAACTTTTCTTTTCATAGAGCAGTTAGGAAACACTCTGTTTGTAAAGTCTGTAAGTGGATATTCTGACATCTTGTGGCCTTCGTTGGAAACGGGATTTCTTCATATTCTGCTAGACAGAAGAGTTCTCAGTAACTTCCTTGTGTTGTGTGTATTCAACTCACAGAGTTGAACGATCCTTTACACAGAGCAGACTTGAAACACTCTTTTTGTGGAATTTGCAAGTGGAGATTTCAGCCGCTTTGAGGTCAATAGTAGAAAAGGAAATATCTTCGTAGAAAAACTAGACAGAGTGATTCTCAGAAACTCCTTTGTGATGTCTGCGTTCAACTCACAGAGTTTAACGTTTCTTTTCATAGAGCAGTTAGGAAACACTCTGATTGTAAAGTCTGCAAGTGGATATTCAGACCTCCTTGAGGCCTTCGTTGGATACGGGATTTCTTCATATTCTGCTATACAGAAGAATTCTCAGTAACTTCCTTGTGTTGTGTGTATTCAACTGACATAGCTGAACTTTCATTTAGAGAGAGCAGATTTGAAACACTGTTTTTGTGGAATTTGCAAGTGGAGATTTCAAGCGCTTTGGGGCCAAAGGCAGAAAAGGAAATATCTTCGTATAAAAACTAGACAGAATCATTCTCAGAAACTGCTGCGTGATGTGTGCGTTCAACTCTCAGAGTTTAACTTTTCTTTTCATTCAGCGGTTTGGAAACACTCTGTTTGTAAAGTCTGCACGTGGGTATTTTGACCACTTAGAGGCCTTCGTTGGAAACGGGTTTTTTTCATGTAAGGATAGACAGAAGAATTCCCAGTAACTTCCTTGTGTTGTGTGCATTCAACTCACAGAGTTGAACGTTCCCTTAGACAGAGCAGATTTGAAACACTCTATTTGTGCAATTTGCAAGTGTAGATTTCAAGCGCTTTAAGGTCAACGGCAGAAAAGGAAATATCTTCGTTTCAAAACTAGACAGAATCATTCCCACAAACTGCGTTGTGATCTGTTCGTTCAACTCACAGAGTTTAACCTTTCTGTTCATAGAGCAGTTAGGAAACACTCTGTTTGTAAAGTCTGTAAGTGGATATTCTGACATCTTGTGGCCTTCGTTGGAAACGGGATTTCTTCATATTCTGCTAGACAGAAGAATTCTCAGAAACTTCCTTGTGTTGTGTGTTTTCAACTCACAGAGTTGAACGATGCTTTACACAGAGCAGACTTGAAACACTCATTTTGTGGAATTTGCAAGGGGAGATTTCAGCCGCTTTGAGGTCAATGGTAGAATAGGAAATATCTTCCTATAGAAACTAGCCAGAATGATTCTCAGAAACTCCTTTGTGATGTGTGCGTTCAACTCACGGAGTTTAACCTTTCTTTTCATAGAGCAGTTAGGAAACACTCTGTTTGTAAAGTCTGCAAGTGGATATTCAGACATCCTTGAGGCTTTCGTTGGAAACGGGATTTCTTCATATTCTGCTAGAAAGAAGAATTCCCAGTAACTTCCTTGTGTTGTGTGTGTTCAACTCACAGAGTTGAACTTTCATTTACACAGAGCAGATTTGAAACACTCTTTTTGTGGAATTTGCAAGTGGAGATTTCAAGCGCTTTGAGACCAAAGGCAGAAAAGGAAATATCTTCGTTTCAAAACAAGACAGAATCATTCTCAGAAACTGCTGCGTGATGTGTGCGTTCAACTCTCAGAGTTTAACTTTTCTTTTCATTCAGCGGTTTGGAAACACTCTGTTTGTAAAGTCTGCACGTGGAAATTTTGACCACTTAGAGGCCTTCGTTGGAAACGGGATTTTTTCATGTAAGGCTAGACAGAAGAATTCCCAGTAACTTCCTTGTGTTGTGTGCATTCAACTCACAGAGTTGAACGTTCCTTAGACACAGCAGATTTGAAACACTCTATTTGTGCAATTTGCAAGTGTAGATTTCAAGCGCTTTAAGGTCAATGGCAGAAAAGGAAATATCTTCGTTTCAAAACTAGACAGAATCATTCCCACAAACTGCGTTGTGATGTGTTCGTTCAACTCACAGAGTTTAACCTTTCTTTTCATAGAGCAGTGAGGAAACAGTCTGTTTGTCAATTCTGTAAGTGGATATTCTGACATCTTGTGGCCTTCGTTGGAAACTGGATTTCTTCATATTCTGCTAGACAGAATAATTCTCAGTAACTTCCTTGTGTTGTGTGTATTCAACTCACAGAGTTGAACGATCCTTTACACAGAGCAGACTTGAAACACTCTTTTTGTGGGATTTGCAAGTGGAGATTTCAGCCGCTTTGAGGTCAATGGTAGAATAGGAAATATCTTCCTATAGAAACTAGACAGAATGATTCTCAGAAACTCCTTTGTGATGTGTGTGTTCAACTCACAGAGTTTAACCTTTCTTTTCATAGAGCAGTTAGGAAACACTCTGTTTGTAAAGTCTGCAAGTGGATATTCAGACCTCGTTGAGGCCTTCGTTGGAAACGGGATTTCTTCATATTCTGCTAGACAGAAGAATTCCCAGCTAACTTCCATGTGTTGTGTGTGTTCAACTCACAGAGTTGAACTTTCATTTACACAGAGCAGATTTGAAACACTCTTTTTGTGGAATTTGCAAATGGAGATTTCAAGCGCTTTGAGGCCAAAGGCAGAAAAGGAAATATCTTCGTATAAAAACTAGACAGAAATCATTCTCAGTAAACTGCTGCGTGATGTGTGCGTTCAACTCTCAGAGTTTAACTTTTCTTTTCATTCAGCGGTTTGGAAACACTCTGTTTGTAAAGTCTGCACGTGGAAATTTTGACCACTTAGAGGCCTTCGTTGGAAACGGGTTTTTTTCATGTAAGGCTAGACAGAAGAATTCTCAGTAACTTCCTTGTGTTGTGTGTATTCAACTCACAGAGTTGAACGATCCTTTACACAGAGCAGACTTGAAACACTCTTTTTGTGGAATTTGCAAGTGGAGATTTCAGCCGCTTTGAGGTCAATGGTAGAAAAGGAAATATCCTCGTATAGAAACAAGACAGAATGATTCTCAGAAACTCCTTTGTGATGTTTGCGTTCAACTCACAGAGTTTAACCTTTCTTTTCATAGAGCAGTTAGGAAACACACTGTTTATAAAGTCTGCAAGTGGATATTCAGACCTCCTTGAGGCCTTCGTTGGAAACGGGATTTCTTCATATTCTGCTAGACAGAAGAATTCCCAGTAACTTCCTTGTGTTGTGTGTATTCAACTCACAGAGTTGAACGATCCTTTACACAGAGCAGACTTGAAACACTCTTTTTGTTGAATTTGCAAGTGGAGATTTCAGCCGCTTTGAGGTCAATGGTAGAATAGGAAATATCTTCCTATAGAAACTAGACAGAATGATTCTCAGAAACTCGTTTGTGATGTGTGTGTTCAACTCACAGAGTTTAACCTTTCTTTTCATAGAGCCGTTAGTAAACACTCTGTTTATAAAGTCTGCATGTGGATATTCAGACCCCTTTGAGGCCTTCGTTGGAAACGGGATTTCTTCATATTATGCTAGACAGAAGATTTCTAAGTAACTTCCTTGTGTTGTGTGTATTCAACTGACAGAGTTTAACTTTCATTTAGAGAGAGCAGATTTGAAACACTGTTTTCGTGGAATTTGCAATTGGAGATTTCAAGCGCTTTGGGGCCAAAGGCAGAAAAGGAAATATCTTCGTATAAAAACTAGACAGAATCATTCTCAGAAACTGCTCTGCGATGTGTGCGTTCAACTCTCAGAGTTTAACTTTTCTTTTCATTCAGCAGTTTGGAAACACTCTGTTTCTAAAGTCTGCACGTGGATAATTTGACCACTTAGAGGCCTTCGTTGGAAACGGGTTTTTTTCATGTAAGGCTAGACAGAAGAATTCCCAGTAACTTCCTTGTGTTGTGTGCATTCAACTCACAGAGATGAACATTCCCTTAGACAGAGCAGATTTGAAACACTCTATTTGTGTAATTTGCAAGTGTAGATTTCAAGCGATTTAAGGTCAATGGCCGAAAAGGAGATATCTTCGTTTCAAAACTAGACAGAATGATTCTCTGAAACTCCTTTGTGATGTGTGCGTTCAACTCACAGAGTTTAACCTTTCTTTTCATAGAGCAGTTAGGAAACACTCTGTTTGAAAAGTCTGCAAGTGGATATTCAGACCTCTTTGAGGCCTTCGTTGGAAACGGGATTTCTTCATATTATGCTAGACAGAAGAATTCTCAGTAACTTCCTTGTGTTGTGTGTATTCAACTCACAGAGTTGAACGATCCTTTACACAGAGCAGACTTGAAACACTCTTTTTGTGGAATTTGCAATTTGAGATTACAGCCGCTTTGAGGTCAATAGTAGAAAAGGAAATATCTTCGTAGAAAAACTAGACAGAATGATTCTCAGAAACTCCTTTATGATGTGTGTGTTCAACTCACAGAGTTTAACCTTTCTTTTCATAGAGCAGTTAGTAAACACTCTGTTTATAAAGTCTGCAAGTGGATATTCAGATCCCTTTGTGGCCTTCGTTGGAAACGGGATTTCTTCATATTATGCTAGACAGAAGAATTCCCAGTAACTTCCCTTGTGTTGTGTGTGTTCAACTCACAGAGTTGAACTTTGATTTACACAGAGCAGATTTGAAACACTCTTTTTGTGGAATTTGCAAGTGGAGATTTCAAGCGCTTTGAGGCCAAAGGCAGAAAAGGAAATATCTTCGTATAAAAACTAGACAGAATCATTCTCAGAAACTGCTGCGTGATGTGTGCGTTCAACTCTCAGAGTTTAACTTTTCTTTTCATTCAGCGGTTTGGAAACACTCTGTTTGTAAAGTCTGCAAGTGGATATTTTGACCACTTAGAGGCCTTCGTTGGAAACGGGTTTTTTTCACGTAAGGCTAGACAGAAGAATTCCCAGTAACTTCCTTGTGTTGTGTGCATTCAACTCACAGAGTTGAACGTTCCCTTAGACAGAGCAGATTTGAAACACTCTATTTGTGCAATTGGCAAGTGTAGATTTCAAGCGCTTTAAGGTCAATGGCAGAAAAGGAAATATCGTCGTTACAAAACTAGACAGAATGATTCTCAGAAACTTCTTTGTGATGTGTGCGTTCAACTCACAGAGTTTAACCTTTCTTTTCATAGAGCAGTTAGGAAACAGTCTGTTTGTCAATTCTGTAAGTGGATATTCTGACATCTTGTGGCCTTCGTTGGAAACGGGATTTCTTCATATTCTGCTAGACAGAAGAATTCTCAGTAACTTCCTTGTGTTGTGTGTATTCAACTCACAGGAGTTGAACGATCCTTTACACAGAGCAGACTTGAAACACTCTTTTTGTGGAATTTGCAAGTGGAGATTTCAGCCGCTTTGAGGTCAATGGTAGAAAAGGAAATATCTTCGTATAAAAACTAGACAGAATGATTCTCAGAAACTCCTTTGTGATGTGTGTGTTCAACTCACAGAGTTTAACCTTTCTTTTCATAGAGCAGTTAGTAAACACTCTGTTTATAAAGTCTGCAAGTGGATATTCAAACCCCTTTGAGGCCTTCGTTGGAAACGGGATTTCTTCATATTCTGCTAGACAGAAGGATTCCCAGTAACTTCCTTGTGTTGTGTGTGTTCAACTCACAGAGTTGAACTTTCATTTACAAAGAGCAGATTTGAAACACTCTTTTTGTGGAATTTGCAAGTGGAGATTTCAAGCGCTTTGAGGCCAAAGGCAGAAAAGGAAATATCTTCGTATAAAAACTAGACAGAATCATTCTCAGAAACTGCTCTGCGATGTGTGCGTTCAACTCTCAGATTTTAACTTTTCTATTCATTCAGCAGTTTGGAAACACTCTGTTTGTAACGTCTGCACGTGGATAATTTGACCACTTAGAGGCCTTCGTTGGAAACGGGTTTTTTTCATGTAAGGCTAGACAGAAGAATTCTCAGTAACTTCCTTGTGTTGTGTGCATTCAACTCAAAGAGTTGAACGTTCCCTTAGACAGAGCAGATTTGAAACACTCTACTTGTGCAATTTGCAAGTGTAGATTTCAAGCGCTTTAAGGTCAATGACAGAAAAGGAAATATCTTCGTTTCAAAACTAGACAGAATCATTCCCAGAAACTGCGTTGTCATGTGTTCGTTCAACTCACAGAGTTTAACCTTTCTGTTCATAGAGCAGTTAGGAAACACTCTGTAAAGTTTGTAAGTGGATATTCTGACATCTTGTGGCCTTCGTTGGAAACGGGATTTCTTCATATTCTGCTAGACAGAAGAATTCTCAGTAACTTCCTTGTGTTGTGTGTATTCAACTCACAGAGTTGAACGATCCTTTTCACAGAGCAGACTTGAAACACTCTTTTTGTGGAATTTGCAAGTGGAGATTTCAGCCGCTTTGAGGTCAATGGTAGAAAAGGAAATATCTTCGTATAAAGACTAGACTGAAAGATTCTCAGAAACTCCTTTGTGATGTGTGTGTTCAACTCACAGAGTTTAACATTTCTTTTCGTAGTGCAGTTAGTAAACACTCTGTTTATAAAGTCTGCAAGTGGATATTCAGACCCCTTTGAGGCCTTCGTTGGAAACGGGATTTCTTCATATTCTGCTAGACAGAAGAATTCTCAGTAACTTCCTTGTGTTGGGTGTATTCAACTGACAGAGTTGAACTTTCATTTAGAGAGAGCAGATTTGAAACACTGTTTTTGTGGAATTTGCAAGTGGAGATTTCAAGCGCTTTGGGGCCAAAGGCAGAAAAGGAAATATCTTCGTATAAAAACTAGACAGAATCATTCTCAGAAACTGCTGCGTGATGTGTGCGTTCAACTCTCAGAGTTTAACTTTTCTTTTCATTCAGCGGTTTGGAAACACTCTGTTTGTAAAGTCTGCACGTTGATATTTTGACCACTTAGAGGCCTTCGTTGGAAACGGGTTTTTTTCATATAAGGCTAGATAGAAGAATTCCCAGTAACTTCCTTGTGTTGTGTGCATTCAACTCACAGAGTTGAACGTTCCCTTAGACAGAGCAGATTTGAAACACTCTATTTGTGCAATTTGCAAGTGTAGATTTCAAGTGTTTAAGGTCAATGGCAGAAAAGGAAATATCTTCGTTTCAAAACTAGACAGAATCATTCCCACAAACTGCGTTGTGATGTGTTCTTTCAACTCACAGAGTTTAACCTTTCTGTTCATAGAGCAGTTAGGAAACACTCTGTTTGTAAAGTCTGTAAGTGGATATTCTGACATCTTGTGGCCTTCGTTGGAAACGGGATTTCTTCATATTCTGCTAGACAGAAGAATTCTCAGTAACTTCCTTGTGTTGTGTGTATTCAACTCACAGAGTTGAACGACCCTTTACACAGAGCAGACTTGTAACACTCTTTTTGTGGAATTTGCAAGTGGAGATTTCAGCCACTTTGAAGTCAAAGGTAGAAAAGGAAATAACTTCCTATAAAAACTAGACAGAATGATTCTCAGAAACTCCTTTGTGATGTGTGCGTTCAACTCACAGAGTTTAACCTTTCTTTTCATAGAGCAGTTAGGAAACACTCTGTTTGTAAAGTCTGCAAGTGGATATTCAGACCTCTTTGAGGCCTTCGTTGGAAATGGGTTTTTTTCATATAAGGCTAGACAGAAGAATTCCCAGTAACTTCCCTTGTGTTGTGTGTGTTCAACTCACAGAGTTGAACTTTCATTTACACAGAGCAGATTTGAAACACTCTTTTTGTGGAATTTGCAAATGGAGATTTCAAGCGCTTTGAGGCCAAAGGCAGAAAAGGAAATATCTTCGTATAAAAACTAGACAGAATCGTTCTCAGAAACTGCTCTGCGATGTGTGCGTTCAACTCTCAGAGTTTAACTTTTCTTTTCATTCAGCAGTTTGGAAACACTCTGTTTGTAAAGTCTGCATGTGGATAATTTGACCACTTAGAGGCCTTCGTTGGAAACGGGTTTTTTTCATGTAAGGCTAGACAGAAGAATTCCCAATAACTTCCTTGTGTTGTGTGCATTCAACTCACAGAGTTGAACGTTCTTTTAGACAGAGCAGATCGGAAACAATCTTTTTGTGCAATTTGCAGGTGGAGATTTCAAGCGCTTTAAGGTCAATGGCAGAAAAAGATATATATCTTCATTTCAAAACTAGACAGAATCATTCCCACAAACTGCGTTCTGATGTGTTCGTTCAACTCACAGAGTTTAACCTTTCTTTTCATAGAGCAGTTAGGAAACAGTCTGTTTGTCAATTCTGTAAGTGGATATTCTGACATCTTGTGGCCTTCGTTGGAAACGGGATTTCTTCATATTCTGCTAGACAGAAGAATTCTCAGTAACTTCCGCGTGTTGTGTGTATTCAACTCACAGAGTTGAACGATCCTTTACACAGAGCAGAGTTGAAACACTCTTTTTGTGGAATTTGCAAGTGGAGATTTCAGCCGCTTTGAGGTCAATGGTAGAAAAGGAAATATCTTCGTATAAAAACTAGACAGAGATGATTCTCAGAACTCCTTTGTGATGTGTGCGTTCAACTCACAGAGTTTAACCTTTCTTTTCATAGAGCAGTTAGGAAACACTCTGTTTGTAAAGTCTGCAAGTGGATATTCAGACCTCTTTGAGGCCTTCGTTGGAAACGGGTTTTTTTCCTATAAGGCTAGACAGAGAATTCTCAGTAACTTCCTTGTGTTGTGTGTATTCAACTGACAGAGTTGAACTTTCATTTAGAGAGAGCTGATTTGAAACACTGTTTTTGTGGAATTTGCAAGTGGAGATATCAAGCGCTTTGGGGCCAAAGGCAGAAAAGGAAATATCTTCGTATAAAAACTAGACAGAATCATTCTCAGAAACTGCTGCGTGATGTGTGCGTTCAACTCTCAGAGTTTAACTTTTCTTTTCATTCAGCGGTTTGGAAACACTCTGTTTGTAAAGACTGCACGTGGATATTTTGACCACTTAGAGGCCTTCGTTGGAAACGGGTTTTTTTTCATGTAAGGCTAGACAGAAGAATTCCCAGTAACTTCCTTGTGTTGTGTGCATTCAACTCACAGAGTTGAACGTTCCCTTAGACAGAGCAGATTTGAAACACTCTATTTGTGCAATTTGCAAGTGTAGTTTTCAAGCTCTTTAAGGTCAACGGCAGAAAAGGAAATATCTTCGTTTCAAAACTAGACAGAATCATTCCCAGAAACTGCGTTGTGATGTGTTCGTTCAACTCACAGAGTTTAACCTTTCTTTTCATAGAGCAGTTAGGAAACAGTCTGTTTGTCAATTCTGTAAGTGGATATTCTGACATCTTGTGGCCTTCGTTGGAAACGGGATTTCTTCATATTCTGCTAGACAGAAGAATTCTCAGTAACTTCCTTGTGTTGTGTGTATTCTACTCACAGAGTTGAACGATCCTTTACACAGAGCAGACTTGAAACACTCTTTTTGTGGAATTTGCAAGTGGAGATTTCAGCCGCTTTGAGGTCAATGGTAGAATAGGAAATATCTTCCTATAGAAACTAGACAGAACGATTCTCAGAAACTCCTTTGTGATGTGTGCGTTCAACTCACAGAGTTTAACTTTTCTTTTCATAGAGCAGTTAGGAAACACTCTGTTTGTAAAGTCTGCAAGTGGATATTCAGACCTCTTTGAGGCCTTCGTTGGAAACGGGATTTCTTCATATTCTGCTAGACAGAAGAATTCTCAGTAACTTCCTTGTGTTGTGTGTATTCAACTGACAGAGTTGAACTTTCATTTAGAGAGAGCAGATTTGAAACACTGTTTTTGTGGAATTTGCAAGTGGTGACTTCAAGCGCTTTGGGGCCAAACGCAGAAAAGGAAATATCTTCGTATAAAAACTAGACAGAATCATTCTCAGAAACTGCTGCGTGATGTGTGCGTTCAACTCTCAGACTTTAACTTTTCTTTTCATTCAGCGGTTTGGAAACACTCTGTTTGTAAAGTCTGCACGTGGATATTTTGACCACTTAGAGGCCTTCGTTGGAAACGGGTTTTTTTCATATAAGGCTAGACAGAAGAATTCCCAGGAACTTCCTTGTGTTGTGCACATTCAACTCACAGAGTTGAACGTTCCCTTAGACAGAGCAGATTTGAAACACTCTTTTTGTGCAATTGGCAAGTGGTGATTTCAGCCGCTTTGAGGTCAATGGTAGAAAAGGAAATATCTTCGTATAAAAACTAGACAGAATCATTCCCACAAACTGCGTTGTGATGTGTTCGTTCAACTCACAGAGTTTAACCTTTCTTTTCATAGAGCAGTTAGGAAACACTCTGTTTGTAAATTCTGTAAGTGGATATTCTGACATCTTTTGGCCTTCGTTGGAAACGGGATTTCTTCATATTCTGCTAGACAGAAGAATTCTCAGAATCTTCCTTGTGTTGTGTGTCTTCAACTCACAGAGTTGAACGTTGGTTTACACAGAGCAGATTTGAAACACTCTTTTTGTGGAATTTGCAAGTGGAGATTTCAGCCGCTTTGAGGTCAATGGTAGAAAAGGAAATGTCTTCGTATAAAAACTAGACAGAATGATTCTCAGAAACTCCTTTGTGATGTGTGCGTTCAACTCACAGAGTTTAACCTTTCTTTTCATAGAGCAGTTAGGAAACACTGTGTTTGTAAAGTCTGCAAGTGGATATTCAGACCTCTTTGAGGCCTTCGTTGGAAACGGGATTTTTTCATATAAGGCTAGACAGAAGAATTCCCAGTAACTTCCTTGTGTTGTGTTTGTTCAACTCACAGAGTTGAACTTTCATTTACCCAGAGCAGATTTGAAACACTCTTTTTGTGGAATTTGCAAGTGGAGATTTCAAGCGCTTTGAGGCCAAAGGCAGAAAAGGAAATATCTTCGTTTCAAAACTAGACAGAATCATTCTCAGAAACTGCTCTGCGATGTGTGCGTTCAACTCTCAGAGTTTAACTTTTCTTTTCATTCAGCAGTTTGGAAACACTCTGTAAAGTCTGCACGTGGATATTTTGACCATTTAGAGGCTTTCGTTGGAAACGGGTTTTTTTCTTGTAAGGCTAGACAGAAGAATTCCCAGTAACTTCCTTGTGTTGTGTGCATTCAACTCACAGAGTTGAACGTTCCCTTAGACAGAGCAGATTTGAAACACTCTATTTGTGCAATTTGCAAGTGTAGATTTCAAGCGCTTTAAGGTCAATGGCAGAAAAGGAAATTTCTTCGTTTTAAAACTAGACAGAATGATTCTCAGAAAATCTTTTGTGATGTGTGCGTTCAACTCACAGAGTGTAACTTTTCTTCTCATAGAGCAGTTAGGAAACACTCTGTTTGTAAAGTCTGCAAGTGGATATTCAGACCTCTTTGAGGTCTTCGTTGGAAACGGGATTTCTTCATATTATGCTAGACAGAAGAATTCTCAGTAACTTCCTTGTGTTGTGTGTATTCAACTCACCGAGTTGAACGATCCTTTACACAGAGCAGACTTGAAAGACTCTTTTTGTGGAATTTGCAAGTGGAGATTTCAGCCGCTTTGAGGTCAATGGCAGAAAAGGAAATATCTTCCTATAGAAACTAGACAGAATGATTCTCAGAAACTTCTTTGTGATGTGTGCGTTCAACTCACAGAGTTTAACCTTTCTTTTCATGGAGCAGTTAGGAAACACTCTGTTTGTAAACTCTGCAAGTGGATATTCAGACCTCTTTGAGGCCTTCGTTGGAAACGGGATTTCTTCATACTGTGCTAGACAGAAGAATTCCCAGTAACTTCCTTGTGTTGTGTGTGTTCAACTCACAGAGTTGAACTTTCATTTACAGAGAGCAGATTTGAAACACTCTTTTTGTGGAATTTGCAAGTGGAGATTTCAAGCGCTTTGAGGCCAAAGGCAGAAAAGGAAATATCTTCGTATAAAAACTAGACAGAATCATTCTCAGAAACTGCTGCGTGATGTGTGCGTTCAACTCTCAGAGTTTAACTTTTCTTTTCATTCAGCGGTTTGGAAACACTCTGTTTGTAAAGTCTGCACGTGGAAATTTTGACCACTTAGAGGCCTTCGTTGGAAACGGGTTTTTTTCATGTAAGGCTAGACAGAAGAATTCCCAGTAACTTCGTTGTGTTGTGTACATTCAACTCACAGAGTTGAACGTTCCCTTAGACAGAGCAGATTTGAAACACTCTTTTTGTGCAATTGGCAAGTGGAGATTTCAAGCGCTTTAAGGTCAATGGCAGAAAAGGAAATATCTTCGTTTCAAAACTAGACAGAATCATTCCCACAAACTGCGTTGTGATGTGTTCGTTCAACTCACAGAGTTTAACCTTTCTTTTCATAGAGCAGTTAGGAAACACTCTGTTGGTAAATTCTGTAAGTGGATATTCTGACATCTTGTGGCCTTCGTTGGAAACGGGATTTCTACATATTCTGCTAGACAGAAGAATTCTCAGAAACTTCCTTGTGTTGTGTGTTTTCAACTCACAGATTTGAACGATGCTTTACAAAGAGTAGACTTGAAACACTCTTTTTGTGGAATTTGCAAGTGGAGATTTCAGCCGCTTTGAGGTCAATGGTAGAATAGGAAATATCTTCCTATAGAAACTAGACAGAATGATTCTCAGAAAATCCTTTGTGATGCGTGCGTTCAACTCACAGAGTTTAACTTTTCTTTTCATAGAGCAGTTAGGAAACACTCTGTAAAGTCTGCAAGTGGATATTGAGACCCCTTTGAGGCCCTCGTTGGAAACGTGATTTCTTCATATTCTGCTAGACAGAAGAATTCCCAGTAACTTCCTTGTGTTGTGTGTGTTCAACTCACAGAGTTGAACGTTCCCTTAGACAGAGGAGATTTGAAACACTCTTTTTGTGGAATTTGCAAGTGGAGATTTCAAGCGCTTTGAGGCCAAAGGCAGAAAAGGAAATATCTTCGTATAAAAACTAGACAGAATCATTCTCAGAAACTGCTCTGTGATGTGTGCGTTCAACTCTCAGAGTTTAACTTTTCTTTTCATTCAGCAGTTTGGAAACACTCTGTTTGTAAAGTCTGCACGTGGATAATTTGACCACTTAGAGGCCTTCGTTGGAAACGGGTTTTTTTCATGTAAGGCTATACAGAAGAATTCCCAGTAACTTCCTTGTGTTGTGTACATTCAACTCACAGAGTTGAACGTTCCCTTAGACAGAACAGATTTGAAACACTCTTTTTGTGCAATTGGCAAGTGGTGATTTCAGCCGCTTTGAGGTCAATGGTAGAAAAGGAAATATCTTCGTATAAAAACTAGACAGAATGATTCTCAGACACTCCTTTGTGATGTGTGCGTTCAACTCACAGAGTTTAACCTTTCTTTTCATAGAGCAGTTAGGAAACACTCTGTTTGTAAAGTCTGCAAGTGGATATTCAGACCTCTTTGAGGCCTTCGTTGGAAACGGGATTTCTTCATATTATGCTAGACAGAAGAATTCTCAGTAACTTCCTTTTGTTGTGTGTATTCAACTCACAGAGTTGAACGATCCTTTACACAGAGCAGACTTGAAACACTCTTTTTGTGGAAATTGCAAGTGGAGATTTCAGCCGCTTTGAGGTCAATGGTAAAAAAGGAAATATCTTCGTATAAAAACTAGACAGAATGATTCTCAGAAACTCCTTTGTGATTTGTGTGTTCAACCCACAGAGTTTAACATTTCTTTTCATAGAGCAGTTAGGAAACACTCTGTTTGTAAAGTCTGCAAGTGGATATTCAGACCTCTTTGAGGCCTTCGTTGGAAACGGGTTTTTTTCATATAAGGCTAGACAGAAGAATTCCCAGTAACTTCCTTGTGTTGTGTGTGTTCAACTCACAGAGTTGAACTTTCATTTACACAGAGCAGATTTGAAACACTCTTTTTGTGGAATTTGCAAGTGGAGATTTCAAGCGCTTTGAGGCCAAAGGCAGAAAAGGAAATATCTTCGTTTCCAAACTAGACAGAATCATTCTCAGAAACTGCTCTGTGATGTGTGCGTTCAACTCTCAGAGTTTAACTTTTCTTTTCATTCAGCAGTTTGGAAACACTCTGTTTCTAAAGTCTGCACGTGGATAATTTGACCACTTAGAGGCCTTCGTTGGAAACGGGTTTTTTTCATGTAAGGCTAGACAGAAGAATTCCCAGTAACTTCCTTGTGTTGTGTGCATTCAACTCACAGAGTTGAACGTTCCCTTAGACAGAGCAGATTTGAAACAGCCTATTTGTGCAATTTGCAAGTGTAGATTTCAAGCTCTTTAAGGTCAACGGCAGAAAAGGAAATATCTTCGTTTCAAAACTAGACAGAATTATTCCCACAAACTGCGATGTGATGTGTTCGGTCAACTCACAGAGTTTAACCTTTCTGTTCATAGAGCAGTTAGGAAACACTCTGTTTGTAAAGTCTGTAAGTGGATATTATGACATCATGTGGCCTTCTTTGGAAACGGGATTTCTTCATATTATGCTAGACAGAAGAATTCTCAGTAACTTCCTTGTGTTGTGTGTATTCAACTCACAGAGTTGAACCATCCTTTACACAGAGCAGACTTGAAACACTCTTTTTGTGGAATTTGCAAGTGGAGATTTCAGCCGCTTTGAGGTCAATAGTAGAAAAGGAAATATCTTCGTAGAAAAACTAGACAGAATGATTCTCAGAAACTCCTTTGTGATGTGGGTGTTCAACTCACAGGGTTTAACCTTTCTTTTCATAGAGCAGTTAGGAAACACTCTGTTTGTAAAGTCTGCAAGTGGATATTTTCACCTCTTTGAGGCCTTCGTTGGAAACGGGTTTTTTTTCATGTAAGGCTAGACAGAAGAATTCTCAGTAACTTCCTTGTGTTGTGTGTATTCAACTGACAGAGTTGGACTTTCATTTAGAGAGAGCAGATTTGAAACACTGTTTTTGTGGAATTTGCAAGTGGAGATTTCAAGCGCTTTGGGGCCAAAGGCAGAAAAGGAAATATCTTCGTATAAAAACTAGACAGAATCATTCTCAGAAACTGCTGCGTGATGTGTGCGTTCAACTCTCAGAGTTTAACTTTTCTTTTCATTCAGCGGTTTGGAAACACTCTGTTTGTAAAGTCTGCACGTGGATATTTTGACCACTTAGAGGCCTTCGTTGGAAACGGGTTTTTTTCATGTAAGGCTAGACAGAAGGAATTCCCAGTAACTTCCTTGTGTTGTGTGCATTCAACTCACAGAGTTGAACGTTCCCTTAGACAGAGCAGATTTGAAACACTCTATTTGTGCAATTTGCAAGTGTAGATTTCAAGCGCTTTAAAGTCAATGGCAGAAAAGGAAATATCTTCGTTTCAAAACTAGACAGAATCATTCCCACAAACTGCGTTGTGATGTGTTCGTTCAACTCACAGAGTTTAACCTTTCTTTTCATAGAGCACTTAGGAAACAGTCTGTTTGTAAATTCTGTAAGTGGATATTCTGACATACTTGTGGCCTTCGTTGGAAACGGGATTTCTTCATATTCTGCTAGACAGAATAATTCTCAGTAACTTCCTTGTGTTGTGTGTATTCAACTCTCAGAGTTGAACGATCCTTTACAGAGAGCAGACTTGAAACACTCTTTTTGTGGAATTTGCAAGTGGAGATTTCAGCCGCTTTGAGGTCAATGGTAGAATAGGAAATATCTTCCTATAGAAACTAGACAGAATGATTCTCAGAAACTCCTTTGTGATGTGTGCGTTCAACTCACAGAGTTTAACCTTTCTTTTCATAGAGCAGTTAGGAAACACTCTGTTTGTAAAGTCTGCAAGTGGATATTCAGACCTCTTTGAGGCCTTCGTTGGAAACGGGTTTTTTTCATGTAAGGCTAGACAGAAGAATTCCCAGTAACTTCCTTGTGTTGTGTGTGTTCAACTCACAGAGTTGAACTTTCATTTACACAGAGCAGATTTGAAACACTCTTTTTGTGGAATTTGCAAGTGGAGATTACAAGCGCTTTGAGGCCAAAGGCAGAAAAGGAAATATCTTCGTTTCAAAACTAGACAGAATAATTCTCAGAAACTGCTGCGTGATGTGTGCGTTCAACTCTCAGAGTTTAACTTTTCTTTTCATTCAGCGGTTTGGAAACACTCTGTTTGTAAAGTCTGCACGTGGATATTTTGGCCACTTAGAGGCCTTCGTTGGAAACGGGTTTTTTTCATGTAAGGCTAGACAGAAGAATTCCCAGTAACTTCCTTGTGTTGTGTGCATTCAACTCACAGAGTTGAACGTTCCCTTAGACAGAGGAGATTTGAAACACTCTATTTGTGCAATTTGCAAGTGTAGTTTTGAAGCTCTTTAAGGTCAACGGCAGAAAAGGAAATATCTTCGTTTCAAAACTAGACAGAATCATTCCCACAAACTGCGTTGTGATGTGTTCGTTCAACTCACAGAGTTTAACCTTTCTGTTCATAGAGCAGTTAGGAAACACTCTGTTGTAAAGTCTGTAAGTGGATATTCTGACATCTTGTGGCCTTCGCTGGAAACGGGATTTCTTCATATTCTGCTAGACAGAAGAATTCTCAGTAACTTCCTTGTGTTGTGTGTATTCAACTCACAGAGTTGAACGATCCTTTACACAGTGCAGACTTCAAACACTCTTTTTGTGGAATTTGCAAGTGGAGATTTCAGCCGCTTTGAGGTCAATGGTAGAAAAGGAAACTATCTTCATATAAAGACTAGACAGAATGATTCTCATAAACTCCTTTGTGATGTGTGCGTTCAACTCACAGAGTTTAACCTTTCTTTTCATAGAGCAGTTAGGAAACACTCTGTTTGTAAAGTGTGCAAGTGGATATTCAGACCTCCTTGAGGCCTTCGTTGGAAACGGGATTTCTTCATATTCTGCTAGACAGAAGAATTCTCAGTAACTTCCTTGTGTTGTGTGTATTCAACTCACAGAGTTGAACGATCCTTTACACAGAGCAGACTTGAAACACTCCTTTTGTGGAATTTGCAAGTGGAGATTTCAGCCGCTTTGAGGTCAATGGTAGAAAAGGAAACTATGTTCTTACAAAGACTAGACAGAATCATTCTCAGAAACTGCTCTGCGATGTCTGCGTTCAACTCTCAGAGTTTAACTTTTCTTTTCATTCAGCAGTTTGGAAACACTCTGTTTGTAAAGTCTGCACGTGGATATTTTGACCACTTAGAGGCCTTCGTTGGAAACGGGTTTTTTTCCTGTAAGGCTAGACAGAAGAATTCCCAGTAACTTCCTTGTGTTGTGTGCATTCAACTCACAGAGTTGAACGTTCCCTTAGACAGAGCAGATTTGAAACACTCTATTTGTCCAATTTGCAAGTGTAGATTTCAAGCGCTTTAAGGTCAACGGCAGAAAAGGAAATATCTTCGTTTCAAAACTAGACAGAATCATTCCCACAAACTGCGTTGTGATGTGTTCGTTCAACTCACAGAGTTTAACTTTTCTGTTCATAGAGCAGTTAGGAAACACCCTGTTTGTAAAGTCTGCAAGTGGATATTCAGACCTCCTTGAGGCCTTCGTTGGAAACGGGATTTCTTCATATTCTGCTAGACAGAAGAATTCTCAGTAACTTCCTTTTGTTGTGTGTATTCAACTCACAGAGTTGAACGATCCTTTACACAGAGCAGACTTGAAACACTCTTTTTGTGGAATTTGCAAGTGGAGATTTCAGCCGCTTTGAGTTCAATGGTAGAATAGGAAATATCTTTCTATAGAAACTAGACAGAATGATTCTCAGAAACTCCTTTGTGATGTGTGCGTTCAACTCACAGAGTTTAACCTTTCTTTTCATAGAGCAGTTAGGAAACACTCTGTTTGTAAAGTCTGCAAGTGGATATTCAGACATCTTTGAGGCTTTCGTTGGAAACGGGATTTCTTCATATTCTGCTAGACAGAAGAATTCTCAGAAACTTCCTTGTGTTGTGCGTTTTCAACTCACAGAGTTGAACGATCCTTTACACAGAGCAGACTTGAAACACTCCTTTTGTGGAATTTGCAAGTGGAGATTTCAGCCGCTTTGAGGTCAATGTTAGAATAGGAAATATCTTCCTATAGAAACTAGACAGAATCATTCTCAGAAACTGCTGCGTGATGTGTGCATTCAACTCTCAGAGTTTAACTTTTCTTTTCATTCAGCGGTTTGGAAACACTCTGTTTGTAAAGTCTGCACGTGGAAATTTTGACCACTTAGAGGCCTTCGTTGGAAACGGGTTTTTTTCATGTAAGGCTAGACAGAAGAATTCCCAGTAACTTCCTTGTGTTGTGTGCATTCAACTCACAGAGTTGAACGTTCCCTTAGACAGAGCAGATTTGAAACACTCTATTTGTGCAATTTCCAAGTGTAGATTTCAAGCGCTTTAAGGTCAACGGCAGAAAAGGAAATATCTTCGTTTCAAAACTAGACAGAATCATTCCCACAAACTGCGTTGTGAGGTGTTCGTTCAACTCACAGAGTTTAACCTTTCTTTTCATAGAGCAGTTAAGAAACAGTCTGTTTGTAAATTCTGTAAGTGGATATTCTGACATCTTGTGGCCTTCGTTGGAAACGGGATTTCTTCATATTCTGCTAGACAGAAGAATTCTCAGAATCTTCCTTGTGTTGTGTGTATTCAACTCACACAGTTGAACGATTGTTTACACAGAGCAGATTTGAAACACTCCTTTTGTGGAATTTGCAAGTGGAGATTTCAGCCGCTTTGAGGTCCATGGTAGAAAAGGAAATATCTTCGTATAAAAACTAGACAGAAGGATTCTCAGAAACTTCATTGTGACGTGTGCGTTCAACTCACAGAGTTTAACCTTTCTTTTCATAGAGCAGTTAGGAAACACTCTGTTTGTAAAGTCTGCAAGTGGATATTCAGACCTCTTTGAGGCCTTCGTTGGAAAAGGGATTTCTTCATACTGTGCTAGACAGAAGAATTCTCAGTAACTTCCTTGTGTTGTGTGTATTCAACTGACAGAGTTGTAATTTCGTTTAGAGAGAGCAGATTTGAAACACTGTTTTTGTGGAATTTGCAAGTGGAGATTTCAAGCGCTTTGGGGCCAAAGGCAGAAAAGGAAATATCTTCGTATAAAAACTAGACAGAGTCATTCTCAGAAACTGCTGTGTGATGTGTGCGTTCAACTCTCAGAGTTTAACTTTTCTTTTCATTCAGCGGTTTGGAAACACTCTGTTTGTAAAGTCTGCACGTGGAAATTTTGACCACTTAGAGGCCTTCGTTGGAAACGGGTTTTTTTCATGTAAGGCTAGACAGAAGAATTCCCAGTAACTTCCTTGTGTTGTGTACATTCAACTCACAGAGTTGAACGTTCCCTTAGACAGAGCAGATTTGAAACACTCTTTTTGTGCGATTGGCAAGTGGAGATTTCAAGCGCTTTGAGGTCAATGGCAGAAAAGGAAATATCTTCGTTTCAAAACTAGACAGAATGATTCTCAGAAACTCCTTTGTGATGTGTGCGTTCAACTCACAGAGTTTAACATTTCTTTTCATAGAGCAGTTAGGAAACACTTTGTTTGTAAACTCTGCAAGTGGATATTCAGACCTCATTGAGGCCTTCTTTGGAAACGGGATTTCTTCATACTATGCTAGACAGAAGAATTCTCAGTAACTTCCTTGTGTTGTGTGTATTCAACTCAAAGAGTTGAACGATCCTTTACACAGAGCAGACTTGAAACACTCTTTTTGTGGAATTTGCAATTGGAGATTTCAGCCGCGTTGAGGTCAATGGTAGAAAAGGAAATATCTTCGTATAAAAACTAGACAGAATGATTCTCAGAAACTCCTTTGTGATGTGTGTGTTCAACTCACAGAGTTTAACCTTTCTTTTCATAGAGCAGTTAGGAAACACTCTGTTTGTAAAGTCTGCAAGTGGATATTCAGACCTCTTTGGGGCCTTCGTTGGAAACGGGTTTTTTTCATGTAAGGCTAGACAGAAGAATTCTCAGTAACTTCCTTGTGTTGTGTGTATTCAACTCACAGAGTTGAACGATCCTTTACACAGAGCAGACTTGAAACACTCTTTTTGCGGAATTTGCAAGTGGAGATTTCAGCCGCTTTGAAGTCCATGGTAGAAAAGGAAATATCTTCGTATAAAAACTAGACAGAATCATTCTCAGAAACTGCTCTGCGATGTGTGCGTTCAACTCTCAGAGTTTAACTTTTCTTTTCATTCAGCAGTTTGGAAACACTCTGTTTGTAAAGTCTGCACGTGGATATTTTGACCATTTAGAGGCCTTCGTTGGAAACGGGTTTTTTTCTTGTAAGGCTAGACAGAAGAATTCCCAGGAACTTCCTTGTGTTATGTACATTCAACTCACAGAGTTGAACGTTTCCTTAGACAGAGCAGATTTGAAACACTCTTTTTGTGCAATTGGCAAGTGGTGATTTCACCCGCTTTGAGGTCAATGGTAGAAAAGGAAATATCTTCGTATAAAAACTAGACATAATCATTCCCACAAACTGCGTTGTGATGTGTTCGTTCAACTCACAGAGTTTAACCTTTCTGTTCATAGAGCAGTTAGGAAACACTCTGTTTGTAAAGTCTGTAAGTGGATATTCTGACATCTTGTG
Organism: Homo sapiens; assembly: GCF_000001405.40. Taxonomy (NCBI): domain Eukaryota; kingdom Metazoa; phylum Chordata; class Mammalia; order Primates; family Hominidae; genus Homo; species Homo sapiens. Next base: position 48,843,302 of record NC_000005.10, read on the forward strand.
GCCTACGTTGGAAACGGGATTTCTCCATATTCTGCTAGACAGAAGAATTCTCAGTAACTTCCTTGTGTTGTGTGTATTTAACTCACAGAGTTGAACGATCCTTTACACAGAGCAGAGTTGAAACACTCTTTTTGTGGAATTTGCAAGTGGAGATTTCAGCCGCTTTGAGGTCAATGGTAGAAAAGGAAATATCTTCGTATAAAGACTAGACAGAATGATTCTCAGAAACTCCTTTGTGATGTGTGCGTTCAACACACAGAGTTTAACTTTTCTTTTCATAGAGACGTTAGTAAACACTCTGTTTATAAAGTCTGCAAGTGGATATTCAGACCCCTTTGAGGCCTTCGTTGGAAACGGGATTTCTTCATATTATGCTAGACAGAAGAATTCCGAGTAACTTCCTTGTGTTGTGTGTGTTCAACTCACAGAGTTGAACTTTCATTTACACAGAGGAGATTTGAAACACTCTTTTTGTGGAATTTGCAAGTGGAGATTTCAAGCGCTTTGAGGCCAAAGGCAGAAAAGGAAATATCTTCGTATAAAAACTAGACAGAATCATTTTCAGAAACTGCTGCGTGATGTGTGCGTTCAACTCTCAGAGTTTAACTTTTCTTTTCATTCAGCGGTTTGGAAACACTCTGTTTGTAAAGTCTGCACGTGGATATTTTGACCACTTAGAGGCTTTCGTTGGAAACGGGTTTTTTTCATGTAAGGCTAGACAGAAGAATTCCCAGTAACTTCATTGTGTTGTGTGCATTCAACTCACAGAGTTGAACGTTCCCTTAGACAGAGCAGATTTGAAACACTCTATTTGTGCAATTTGCAAGTGTAGATTTCAAGCGCTTTAAGGTCAATGGCAGAAAAGGAAATATCTTCGTTTCAAAACTAGACAGAATGATTCTCAGAACCTCCTTTGTGATGTGTGCGTTCAACTCACAGAGTTTAACCTTTCTTTTCATAGAGCAGTTAGGAAACACTCTGTTTGTAAAGTCTGCAAGTGGATATTCAGACCTCCTTGAGGCCTTCGTTGGAAACGGGATTTCTTCATATTATGCTAGACAGAATAATTCTCAGTAACTTCCTTGTGTTGTGTGTATTCAACTCACAGAGTTGAACGATCCTTTACACAGAGCAGACTTGAAACACTCTTTTTGTGGAATTTGCAAGTGGAGATTTCAGCCGCTTTGAGGTTAATGGTAGAAAAGGAAATATCTTCGTATAAAGACTAGACAGAATGATTCTCAGAAACTCCTTTGTGATGTGTGTGTTCAACTCACAGAGTTTAACCTTTCTTTTCATAGAGCAGTTAGGAAACACTCTGTTTGTAAAGTCTGCAAGTGGATATTCAGCCCTCTTTGAGGCCTTCGTTGGAAACGGGTTTTTTTCATATAAGGCTAGACAGAAGAATTCTCAGTAACTTCCTTGTGTTGTGTGTATTCAACTGACAGAGTTGAACTTTCATTTAGAGAGAGCAGATTTGAAACACTGTTTTTGTGGAATTTGCAAGTGGAGATTTCAAGCGCTTTGGGCCAAAGGCAGAAAAGGAAATATCTTCGTATAAAAACTAGACAGAATCATTCTCAGAAACTGCTGCGTGATGTGTGCGTTCAACTCTCAGAGTTTAACTTTTCTTTTCATTCAGCGGTTTGGAAACACTCTGTTTGTAAAGTCTGCAAGTGGATATTTTGACCACTTAGAGGCCTTCGTTGGAAACGGGTTTTTTTCATGTAAGGCTAGACAGAAGAATTCCCAGTAACTTCCTTGTGTTGTGTGCGTTCAACTCACAGAGTTGAACTTTCATTTACACAGAGCAGATTTGAAACACTCTTTTTGTGGAATTTGCAAATGGAGATTTCAAGCGCTTTGAGGCCAAAGGCAGAAAAGGAAATGTCTTCGTTTCAAAACTAGACAGAATCATTCCCACAAACTGCGTTGTGATGTGTTCGTTCAACTCACAGAGTTTAACCTTTCTGTTCATAGAGCAGTTAAGAAACACTCTGTTTGTAAAGTCTGCAAGTGGATATTCAGACCTCCTAGAGGCCTTCGTTGGAAACGGGATTTCTTCATATTCTGCTAGACAGAAGAATTCTCAGTAACTTCCTTGGGTTGTGTGTATTCAACTCACAGAGTTGAACGATCCTTTACACAGAGCAGACTTGAAACACTCTTTTTGTGGAATTTGCAAGTGGAGATTTCAGCCGCTTTGAGGTCAATGGTAGAAAAGGAAATATCTTCGTATAAAGACTAGACATTATGATTCTCATAAACTCCTTTGTGATGTGTGCGTTCAACTCACAGTGTTTAACCTTTCTTTTCATAGAGCAGTTAGGAAACACTCTGTTTGTAAAGTCTGCAAGTGGATATTCAGACCTCTTTGAGGCCTTCGTTGGAAACGGGATTTCTTCATATTCTGCTACACAGAAGAATTCTCAGTAACTTCCCTTGTGTTGTGTGTATTCAACTCAGAGAGTTGAACGATCCTTTACACAGAGCAGACTTGAAACACTCTTTTTGTGGAATTTGCAATTGGAGATTTCAGGCGCTTTGAGGTCAATAGTAGAAAAGGAAATATCTTCGTAGAAAAACTAGACAGAATCATTCTCAGAAACTGCTCTGCGATGTGTGCGTTCAACTCTCAGAGTTTAACTTTTCTTTTCATTCAGCAGTTTGGAAACACTCTGTTTGTAAAGTCTGCACGTGGATATTTTGACCACTTAGAGGCCTTCGTTGGAAACGGTTTTTTTTCCTGTAAGGCTAGACAGAAGAATTCCCAGTAACTTCCTTGTGTTGTGTACATTCAACTCACAGAGTTGAACGTTCCCTTAGACAGAGCAGATTTGAAACACTCTTTGTGCAATTGGCAAGTGGAGATTTCAAGCGCTTTAAGGTCAATGGCAGAAAAGGAAATATCTTCGTTTCAAAACTAGACAGAACGATTCTCAGAAACTCCTTTGTGATGTGTGCGTTCAACTCACAGAGTTTAACCTTTCTTTTCATAGAGCAGTTAGGAAACACTCTGTTTGTAAAGTCTGCAAGTGGATATTCAGACCTCTTTGAGGCCTTCGTTGGAAACGGGATTTCCTCATATTCTGCTAGACAGAAGAATTCTCAGTAACTTCCTTGTGTTGTGTGTATTCAACTCACAGAGTTGAACGATCCTTTACACAGAGCAGACTTGAAACTCTCTTTTTGTGGAATTTGCAAGTGGAGATTTCAGCCGCTTTGAGGTCAATAGTAGAAAAGGAAATATCTTCGTAGAAAAACTAGACAGAATGATTCTCAGAAACTCCTTTGTGATGTGTGCGTTCAACTCACAGAGTTTAACCTTTCTTTTCATAGAGCAGTTAGGAAACACTCTGTTTGAAAAGTCTGCAAGTGGATACTCAGACCTCCTTGAGGCCTTCGTTGGAAACGGGATTTCTTCATATTATGCTAGACAGAAGAATTCTCAGTAACTTCCTTGTGTTGTGTGTATTCAACTGACAGAGTGGAACTTTTATTTAGAGAGAGCAGATTTGAAACACTGTTTTTGTGGAATTTGCAAGTGGAGATTTCAAGCGCTATGGGGCCAAAGGCAGAAAAGGAAATATCTTTGTATAAAAACTAGACAGAATCATTCTCAGAAACTGCTCTGTGATGTGTGCGATCAACTCTCAGAGTTTAACTTTTCTTTTCATTCAGCAGTTTGGAAACACTCTGTTTGTAAAGTCTGCACGTGGATAATTTGACCACTTAGAGGCCTTCATTGGAAACGGGTTTTTTTCATGTAAGGCTAGACAGAAGAGTTCTCAGTAACTTCCTTGTGTTGTGTGTATTCAACTCACACAGTTGAACGATCCTTTACAGAGAGCAGACTTGTAACACTCTTTTTGTGGAATTTGCAAGTGGAGATTTCAGCCGCTTTGAAGTCAAAGTAGAAAAGGAAATATCTGCCTATAAAAACTAGACAGAATCATTCCCACAAACTGCGTTGTGATGTGTTCGTTCAACTCACAGAGTTTAACCTTTGTTTTCATAGAGCAGTTAGGAAACACTCTGTTTGTAAAGTCTGTAAGTGGATATTCTGACATCTTGTGGCCTTCGTTGGAAACGGGATTTCTTCATATTCTGCTAGACAGAGAATTCTCAGTAACTTCCTTGTGTTGTGTGTATTCAACTCACAGAGTTGAACGATCCTTTACACAGAGCAGACTTGAAACACTCTTTTTGTGGAATTTGCAAGTGGAGATTTCAGCCGCTTTGAGGTCAATGGTAGAATAGGAAATATCTTCCTATAGAAACTAGACAGAATGATTCTCAGAAACTACTTTGTGATGTGTGCGTTCAACTCACAGAGTTTAACCTTTCTTTTCATAGAGCAGTTAGGAAACACTCTGTTTGTAAAGTCTGCAAGTGGATATTCAGACCTCTTTGAGGCCTTCGTTGGAAACGGGATTTCTTCATATTCTGCTAGACAGAAGAATTCCCAGTAACTTCCTTGTGTTGTGTGTGTTCAACTCACGGAGTTGAACTTTGATTTACACAGAGCAGATTTGAAACACTCTTTTTGTGGAATTTGCAAGTGGAGATTTCAAGCGCTTTGAGGCCAAAGGCAGGAAAGGGAATATCTTCATATAAAAACTAGACAGAATCATTCTCAGAAACTGCTCTGCGATGTGTGCGTTCAACTCTCAGAGTTTAACTTTTCTTTTCATTCAGCAGTTTGGAAACACTCTGTAAAGTCTGCACGTGGATATTTTGACCACTTAAAGGCGTTCGTTGGAAACGGGTTTTTTTCCTGTAAGGCTAGACAGAAGAATTCCCAGTAACTTCCTTGTGTTGTGTACATTCAACTCACAGAGTTGAACGTTCCCTTAGACAGAGCAGATTTGAAACACTCTTTTTGTGCAATTGGCAAGTGGAGATTTCAAGCGCTTTGAGGTCAATGGCAGAAAAGGAAATATCTTCGTTTCAAAACTAGACAGAATCATTCCCACAAACTGCGTTGTGATGTGTTCGTTCAACTCACAGTTTAACCTTTCTGTTCATAGAGCAGTTAGGAAACACTCTGTTTGTAAAGTCTGTAAGTGGATATTCTGACATCTTGTGGCCTTCGTTGGAAACGGGATTTCTTCATATTCTGCTAGACAGAAGAATTCTCAGTAACTTCCTTTTGTTGTGTGTATTCAACTCACAGAGTTGAACGATCCTTTACACAGAGCAGACTTGAAACACTCTTTTTGTGGAATTTCCAAGTGGAGATTTCAGCCGCTTTGAGGTCAATGGTAGAATAGGAAATATCTTCGTAGAAAAACTAGACAGAATGATTCTCAGAAACTCCTTTGTGATGTGTGCGTTCAACTCACAGAGTTTAACCTTTCTTTTCATAGAGCAGTTAGGAAACACTCTGTTTGTAAAGTCTGCAAGTGGATATTCAGACCTCTTTGAGGCCTTCGTTGGAAACGGGTTTTTTTCATATAAGGTTAGACAGAAGAATTCCCAGTAACTTCCTTGTGTTGTGTGTGTTCAACTCACAGAGTTGAACTTTCATTTACACAGAGCAGATTTGAAACACTCTTTTAGTGGAATTTGCAAATGGAGATTTCAAGCGCTTTGAGGCCAAAGGCAGAAAAGGAAATATCTTCGTATAAAAACTAGACAGAATCATTCTCAGAAACTGCTGCGTGATGTGTGCGTTCAACTCTCAGAGTTTAACTTTTCTTTTCATTCAGCGGTTTGGAAACACTCTGTTTGTAAAGTCTGCACGTGGATATTTTGACAACTTAGAGGCCTTCGTTGGAAACGGGTTTTTTTCATGTAAGGCTAGACAGAAGAATTCTCAGTAACTTCCTTGTGTTGTGTGTATTCAACTCACAGAGTTGAACGATCCTTTACACAGAGCAGACTTGTAACACTCTTTTTGTGGAATTTGCAAGTGGAGATTTCAGCCGCTTTCAAGTCAAAGGTCGAAAAGGAAATATCTTCCTATAAAAACTAGACAGAATGATTCTCAGAAACTCCTTTGTGATGTGTGCGTTCAACTCACAGAGTTTAACCTTTCTGTTCATAGAGCTGTTAGGAAACACTCTGTTTGTAAAGTCTGCAAGTGGATATTCAGAACTCCTTGAGGCCTTCGTTGGAAACGGGATTTCTTCATATTCTGCTAGACAGAAGAATTCTCAGTAACTTCCTTGTGTTGTGTGTATTCAACTCACAGAGTTGAACAATCCTTTACACAGAGCAGACTTGAAACACTCTTTTTGTGGAATTTGCAAGTGGAGATTTCAGCCGCTTTGAGGTCAATGGTAGAAAAGGAAACATCTCCGTATAAAGACTAGACAGAATGATTCTCAGAAACTCCTTTGTGATGTGTGCGTTCAACTCAAAGAGTTTAACCTTTCTTTTCATAGAGCAGTTAGGAAACACTCTGTTTGTAAAGTCTGCAAGTGGATATTCAGACATCCTTGAGGCTTTCTTTGGAAACGGGATTTCTTCATATTCTGCTAGAAAGAAGAATTCTCAGAAACTTCCTTGTGTTGTGTGTTTTCAACTCACAGAGATGAACGATCCTTTACACAGAGCAGACTTGAAACACTCCTTTTGTGGAATTTGCAAGTGGAGATTTCAGCCGCTTTGAGGTCAATGGTAGAATAGGAAATATCTTCCTATAGAAAGTAGACAGAATCATTCTCAGAAACTGCTCTGCGATGTGTGCGTTCAACTCTCAGAGTTTAACTTTTCTTTTCATTCAGCAGTTTGGAAACACTCTGTTTGTAAAGTCTGCACGTTGATAATTTGACCACTTAGAGGCCTTCGTTGGAAACGGGTTTTTTTCATATAAGGCTAGACAGAAGAATTCCCAGTAACTTCCTTGTGTTGTGTGTATTCAACTCACAGAGTTGAACGATCCTTTACACAGAGCAGACTTGTAACACTCTTTTTCTGGAATTTGCAAGTGGAGATTTCAGCCTCTTTGAAGTCAAAGGTAGAAAAGGAAATATCTTCCTATAAAAACTAGACAGAACGATTCTCAGAAACTCCTTTGTGATGTGTGCGTTCAACTCACAGAGTTTAACCTTTCTTTTCATAGAGCAGTTAGGAAACACTCTGTTTGTAAAGTCTGCAAGTGGATATTCAGACCTCCCTGAGGCCTTCGTTGGAAACGGGATTTCTTCATATTCTGCTACACAGAAGAATTCTCAGTAACTTCGTTGTGTTGTGTGTATTCAACTCACAGAGTTGAACGATCCTTTACACAGAGCAGACTTGAAACACTCTTTTTGTGGAATTTGCAAGTGGAGATTTCAGCCGCTTTGAGGTCAAAGGTAGAAAAGGAAATATCTTCGTATAAAGACTAGACAGAATGATTCTCAGAAACTCCTTTGTGATGTGTGCGTTCAACTCACAGAGTTTAACCTTTCTTTTCATAGAGCAGTTAGGAAACACTCTGATTGTAAAGTCTGCAAGTGGATATTCAGACCTCCTTGAGGCCTTCGTTGGAAACGGGATTTCTTCATATTCTGCTAGACAGAAGAATTCTCAGTAACTTCCTTGTGTTGTGTGTATTCAACTCACAGAGTTGAACGATCCTTTACACAGAGCAGACTTGAAACACTCTTTTTGTGGAATTTGCAAGTGGAGATTTCAGCCGCTCTGAGGTCAATGGTAGAATAGGAAATATCTTCCTATAGAAAATAGACAGAATCATTCTCAGAAACTGCTCTGTGATGTGTGCGTTCAACTCTCAGAGTTTAACTTTTCTTTTCATTCAGCAGTGTGGAAAAACTCTGTTTGTAAAGTCTGCACGTGGATATTCTGACCACTTAGAGGCCTTCGTTGGAAACGGGTTTTTTTCCTGTAAGGCTAGACAGAAGAATTCCCAGTAACTTCCCTGTGTTGTGTACATTCAACTCACAGAGTTGAACGTTCCCTTAGACAGAGCAGATTTGAAACACACTTTTTGTGCAATTGGCAAATGGAGATTTCAAGCGCTTTAAGTTCAATGGCAGAAAAGGAAATATCTTCGTTTCAAAACTAGACAGAATCATTCCCACAAACTGCGTTGTGATGTGTTCGTTCAACTCACAGAGTTTAACATTTCTGTTCATAGAGCAGTTAGGAAACACTCTGTTTGTAAAGTCTGCAAGTGGATATTCAGACCTCCTTGAGGCCTTCGTTGGAAACGGGATTTCTTCTTATTCTGCTAGACAGAAGAATTCCCAGTAACTTCCTTGTGTTGTGTGTATTCAACTCACAGAGTTGAATGATCCTTTACACAGAGAGGACTTGAAACACTCTTTTTGTGGAATTTGCAAGTGGAGATTTCAGCCGCTTTGAAGTCAAAGGTAGAAAAGGAAATATCTTCGTATAAAAACTAGACAGAATGATTCTCAGAAACTCCTTTGTGATGTGTGCGTTCAACTCACAGAGTTTAACCTTTCTTTTCTTAGAGCAGTTAGGAAACACTCTGTTTGTAATGTCTGCAAGTGGATATTCATACCTCCTTTAGGCCTTCGTTGGAAACGGGTTTTTTTCATATAAGGCTAGACAGAAGAATTCTCAGTAACTTACCTTGTGTTGTGTGTATTCAACTGACAGAGTTGAACTTTCATTTAGAGAGAGCAGATTTGAAACACTGTTTTTGTGGAATTTGCAAGTGGAGATTTCAAGCGCTTTGCGGCCAAAGGCAGAAAAGGAAATATCTTCGTATAAAAACTAGACAGAATCATTCTCAGAAACTACTGCGTGATGTGTGCGTTCAACTCTCAGAGTTTAACTTTTCTTTTCATTCAGCGGTTTGGAAACACTTTGTTTGTAAAGTCTGCACGTGGATATTTTGACCACCTAGAGGCCTTCGTTGGAAACGGGTTTTTTTCATGTAAGGCTAGACAGAAGAATTCCCAGTAACTTCCTTGTGTTGTGTACATTCAACTCACAGAGTTGAACGATCCCTTAGACAGAGCAGATTTGAAACACTCTTTTTGTGGAATTTGCAAATGGAGATTTCAAGCGCTTTGAGGCCAAAGGCAGAAAAGGAAATATCTTCGTATAAAAACTAGACAGAATCATTCCCACAAACTGCGTTGTGATGTGTTCGTTCAACTCACAGAGTTTAACCTTTCTGTTCATAGAGCAGTTAGGAAACACTCTGTTTGTAAAGTCTGCAAGTGGATATTCAGACCTCCTTGAGGCCTTCGTTGGAAACGGTATTTCTTAATATTCTGCTAGACAGAAGAATTCTCAGTAACTTCCTTGTGTTGTGTGTATTCAACTCACAGAGTTGAACGATCCTTTACACAGAGCAGACTTGAAACACTCTTTTTGTGGAATTCGCAAGTGGATATTTCAGCCGCTTTGAGGTCAATGGTAGAATAGGAAATATCTTCCTATAGAAACTAGACAGAATGATTCTCAGAAACTCCTTTGTGATGTGTGCGTTCAACTCACAGAGTTCAACTTTTCTTTTCATAGAGCAGTTAGGAAACACTCTGTTTGTAAAGTCTGCAAGTGGATATTCAGACCTCTTTGAGGCCTTCGTTGGAAGCGGGATTTCTTCATATTATGCTAGACAGAAGAATTCTCAGTAACTTCCTTGTGTTGTGTGTATTCAACTAACAGAGTTGAACTTTCATTTAGAGAGAGCAGATTTGAAACACTGTTTTTGTGGAATTTGCAAGTGGAGATTTCAAGCGCTTTGGGGCCAAAGGCAGAAAAGGAAATATCTTCGTATAAAAACTAGACAGAATCATTCTCACAAACTGCTCTGCGATGTGTGCGTTCAACTCTCAGAGTTTAACTTTTCTTTTCATTCAGCAGTTTGGAAACACTCTGTTTGTAAAGTCTGCACGTGGATATTTTGACCACTTAGAGGCCTTCGTTGGAAACGGGTTTTTTTCCTGTAAGGCTAGACAGAAGAATTCCCAGTAACTTCCCTTGTGTTGTGTACATTGAACTCACAGAGTTGAACGTTCCCTTAGACAGAGCAGATTTGAAACACTCTTTTTGTGCAATTGGCAAGTGGAGATTTCAAGCGCTTTAAGGTCAATGGCAGAAAAGGAAATATCTTCGTTTCAAAACTAGACAGAATCATTCCCACAAACTGTATTGTGATGTGTTCGTTCAACTCACAGAGTTTAACCTTTCTTTTCATAGAGCAGTTAGGAAACAGTCTGTTTGTAAATTCTGTAAGTGGATATTCTGACATCTTGTGGCCTTCGTTGGAAACGGGATTTCTTCATATTCTGCTAGTCAGAAGAATTCTCAGTAACTTCCTTGTGTTGTGTGTTTTCAACTCACAGAGTTGAACGATCCTTTACACAGAGCAGACTTGAAACACTCTTTTTTTGGAATTTGAAAGTGGAGATTTCAGCCGCTTTGAGGTCAATGGTAGAAAAGGAAACTATCTTCGTATAAAGACTAGACAGAATGATTCTCAGAAACTCCTTTGTGATGTGTGCGTTCAACTCACAGAGTTTAACCTTTCTTTTCATAGAGCAGTTAGGAAACACTCTGTTTGTAAAGTCTGCAAGTGGATATTCAGACCTCTTTGAGGCCATCGTTGGAAACGGGATTTGTTCATATTCTGCTAGAGAGAAGAATCCCCAGTAACTTCCTTGTGTTGTGTGTGTTCAACTCACAGAGTTGAACTTTCATTTACACAGAGCAGATTTGAAACACTCTTTTTGTGGAATTTGCAAGTGGAGATTTCAAGCGCTTTGAGGCCAAAGGCAGAAAAGGAAATATCTTCGTTTCAAAACTAGACAGAATCATTCTCAGAAACTGCTGCGTGATGTGTGCGTTCAACTCTCAGAGTTTAACTTTTCCTTTTCATTCAGCGGTTTGGAAACACTCTGTTTGTAAAGTCTGCACGTGGATATTTTGACCACTTAGAGGCCTTCGTTGGAAACGGGTTTTTTTCATGTAAGGCTAGACAGAAGAATTCTCAGTAACTTCCTTGTGTTGTGTGTATTCAACTCACAGAGTTGAACGATCCTTTACACAGAGCAGAACGATCCTTTACACAGAGCAGACTTGAAACATTCTTTTTGTGGAATTTGCAAGTGGAGATTTCAACCGCTTTGAGGTCAATGGTAGAATAGGAAATATCTTCCTATAGAAACTAGACAGAACGATTCTCAGAAACTCCTTTCTGATGTGTGCGTTCAACTCACAGAGTTTAACCTTTCTTTTCATATAGCAGTTAGGAAACACTCTGTTTGTAAAGTCTGCAAGTGGATATTCAGACCTCTTTGAGGCCTTCGTTGGAAACGGGATTTCTTCATATTCTGCTAGACAGAATAATTCTCAATAACTTCCTTGTGTTGCGTGTATTCAACTCTTAGAGTTGAACGATCCTTTACAGAGAGCAGACTTGAAACACTCTTTTTGTGGAATTTGCAAGTGGAGATTTCAGCCGCTTTGAGGTCAATGGTAGAATAGGAAATATCTTCCTATAGAAACTAGACAGAATGATTCTCATAAACTCCTTTGTGATGTGTGCGTTCAACTCACAAAGTTTAACTTTTCTTTTCATAGAGCAGTTAGGAAACACTCTGTTTGTAAAGTCTGCAAGTGGATATTCAGACCTCTTTGAGGCCTTCGTTGGAAACGGGATTTCTTCATATTATGCTAGACAGAAGAATTCTCAGTAACTTCCTTGTGTTGTGTGTATTCAACTCACAGAGTTGAACGATCCTTTACACAGAGCAGACTTGAAACATTCTTTTTGTGGAATTTGCAACTGGAGATTTCAGCCGCTTAGAGGTCAATGGTAGTATAGGAAATATCTTCCTATAGAAACTAGACACAATCATTCTCAGAAAGTGCTCTGCGATGTGTGCGTTCAACTCTCAGAGTTTAACTTTGCTTTTCATTCAGCAGTTTGGAAACACTCTGTTTGTAAAGTCTGCACGTGGATAATTTGACCACTTAGAGGCCTTCGTTGGAAACGGGTTTTTTTCATGTAAGGCTAGACAGAATAATTCCCAGTAACTTCCTTGTGTTGTGTACATTCAACTCACAGAGATGAACGTTCCCTTAGACAGAGCAGATTTGAAACACTCTTTTTGTGCAATTGACAAGTGGAGATTTCAAGCGCTTTAAGGTCACTGGCAGAAAAGGAAATATCTTCGTTTCAAATGTAGACAGAATGATTCCCACAAACTGCGTTGTGATGTGTTCGTTCAACTCACAGAGTTTAACCTTTCTTTTCATAGAGCAGTTAGGAAACACTCTGTTTGTAAATTCTGCAAGTGGATATTCAGACCTCTTTGAGGCCTTCGTTGCAAACGGGATTTCTTCATATTATGCCTGACAGAAGAATTCTCAGTAACTTCCTTGTGTTGTGTGTATTCAACTCACAGAGTTGAACGATCCTTTACACAGAGCAGACTTGAAACTCTCTTTTTGTGGAATTTGCAAGTGGAGATTTCAGCCGCTTTGAGTTCAATGGTAGAATAGGAAATATCTTCCTATAGAAACTAGACAGAATGATTCTCAGAAACTCCTTTGTGATGTGTGCGTTCAACTCACAGTAGTTTAACGTTTCTTTTCATAGAGCAGTTAGGAAACACTCTGTTTCTAAAGTATGCAAGTGGATATTCAGACCTCTTTGAGGCCTTCGTTGGAAACGGGTTTTTTTCATATAAGGCTAGAGAGAAGAATTCTCAGTAACTTCCTTGTGTTGTGTGTATTCAACTGACAGAGTTGAACTTTCATTTAGAGAGAGCTGATTTGAAACACTGTTTTTGTGGAATTTGCAAGTGGAGATTTCAAGCGCTTTGGGGCCAAAGGCAGAAAAGGAAATATCTTCGTATAAAAACTAGACAGAATCATTCTCAGAAACTGCTGCATGATGTGTGCGTTCAACTCTCAGAGTTTAACTTTTCTTTTCATTCAGCGGTTTGGAAACACTCTGTTTGTAAAGTCTGCACGTGGATATTTTGACCACTTAGAGGCCTTCGTTGGAAACGGGTTTTTTTTCATGTAAGGCTAGACAGAAGAATTCCCAGTAACTTCCTTGTGTTGTGTACATTCAACTCACAGAGTTGAACGTTCCCTTAGACAGAGCAGATTTGAAACACTCTTTTTGTGCAATTGGCAAGTGGAGATTTCAAGCGCTTTGAGGTCAATGGCAGAAAAGGAAATATCTTCGTTTCAAAACTAGACAGAATGATTCTCAGAAACTCCTTTGTGATGTGTGCGTTCATCTCACAGAGTTTAACTTTTCTTTTCATAGAGCAGTTAGGAAACACTCTGTTTGTAAAGTCTGCAAGTGGATATTCAGACCTCTTTGAGGCCTTCGTTGGAAACGGGATTCTTCATATTATGCTAGACAGAATAATTCTCAGTAACTTCCTTGTGTTGTGTGTATTCAACTCACAGAGATGAACGATCCTTTACAGAGAGCAGACTTGAAACACTCTTTTTGTGGAATTTGCAAGTGGAGATTTCAGCCGCTTTGAGGTCAATGGTAGAAAAGGAAATATCTTCGTATAAAGACTAGACAGAATGATTCTCAGAAACTCCTTTCTGATGTGTGTGTTCAACTCACAGAGTTTAACCTTTCTTTTCATAGAGCAGTTAGTAAACAGTCTGTTTATAAAGTCTGCAAGTGGATATTCAGACCCCTTTGAGGCCTTCGTTGGAAACGGGATTTCTTCATATTATGCTAGACAGAAGAATTCCCAGTAACTTCCTTGTGTTGTCTGTGTTCAACTCACGGAGTTGAGCTTTCATTTACACAGAGCAGATTTGAAACACTCTTTTTGTGGAATTTGCAAGTGGAGATTTCAAGCGCTTTGAGGCCAAAGGCAGAAAAGGAAATATCTTCGTATAAAATCTAGACAGAATCATTCTCAGAAACTGCTCTGTGATGTGTGCGTTCAACTCTCAGAGTTTAACTTTTCTTTTCATTCAGCAGTTTGGAAACACTCTGTTTGTAAAGTCTGCACGTGGATATTTTGACCACTTAGAGGCCTTCGTTGGAAACGGGTTTTCTTCATGTAAGGCTAGACAGAAGAATTCCCAGTAACTTCCTTGTGTTGTGTGCATTCAACTCACAGAGTTGAACGTTCCCTTAGACAGAGCAGATTTGAAACAGCCTATTTGTGCAATTTGCAAGTGTAGATTTCAAGCGCTTTAAGGTCAACGGCAGAAAAGGAAATATCTTCCTTTCAAAACTAGACAGAATCATTCCCACAAACTGCGTTGTGATGTGTTCGTTCAACTCACAGGGTTTAACCTTTCTGTTCATAGAGCAGTTAGGAAACACTCTGTTTGTAAAGTCTGCAAGTGGATATTCAGACCTCCTTGAGGCCTTCGTTGGAAACGGGATTTCTTCATATTCTGCTAGACAGAAGAATTCTCAGTAACTTCCTTGTGTTGTGTGTATTCAACTCACAGAGTTGAACGATCCTTTACACAGAGCAGACTTGAAACACTCTTTTTGTGGAATTTGCAAGTGGAGATTTCAGCCGCTTTGAGTTCAATGGTAGAATAGGAAATATCATCCTATAGAAACTAGACAGAATGATTCTCAGAAACTCCTTTGTGATGTGTGCGTTCAACTCACAGAGTTTAACCTTTCTTTTCATAGAGCAGTTAGGAAACACTCTGTTTGTAAAGTCTGCAAGTGGATATTCAGACCTCTTTGAGGTCTTCGTTGGAAACGGGTTTTTTTCATATAAGGCTAGACAGAAGAATTCCCAGTAACTTCCCTTGTGTTGTGTGTGTTCAACTCTGTGAGTTGAACTTTCATTTACACAGAGCAGATTGGAAACACTCTTTTTGTGGAATTTGCAAGTGGAGATTTCAAGCGCTTTGAGGCCAAAGGCAGAAAAGGAAATATCTTCGTATAAAAACTAGACAGAATCATTCTCAGAAACTGCTCTGCGATGTGTGCGTTCAACTCTCAGAGTTTAACTTTTGTTTTCATTCAGCAGTTTGGAAACACTCTGTTTGTAAAGTCTGCACGTGGATATTTTGAGCACTTAGAGGCCTTCGTTGGAAACGGGTTTTTATCCTGTAAGGCTAGACAGAAGAATTCCCAGTAACTTCCTTGTGTTGTGTACATTCAACTCACAGAGTTGAACGTTCCCTTAGACAGAGCAGATTTGAAACACTCTTTTTGTGCAATTGGCAAGTGGAGATTTCAAGCGCTTTAAGGTCAATGGCAGAAAAGGAAATATCTTCGTTTCAAAACTAGACAGAATGATTCTCAGAAACTCCTTTGTGATGTGTGCGTTCAACTCACAGAGTTTAACTTTTCTTTTCATAGAGCAGTTAGGAAACACTCTGTTTGTAAAGTCTGCAAGTGGATATTCAGACCTCTTTGAGGCTTTCGTTGGAAACGGGATTTCTTCATATTCTGCTAGACAGAAGAATTCTCAGAATCTTCCTTGTGTTGTGTGTATTCAACTCACAGAGTTGAACGATCCTTTACACAGAGCAGACTTGTAACACTCTTTTTGTGGAATTTGCAAGTGGAGATTTCAGCCGCTTTGAGGTCCATGGTAGAAAAGGAAATATCTTCGTATAAAAACTAGACAGAATGATTCTCAGAAACTCCTTTGTGATGTGTGCGTTCAACTCACAGAGTTTAACCTTTCTTTTCATAGAGCAGTTAGGAAACACTCTGTTTGTAAAGTCTGCAAGTGGATATTCAGACCTCCTTGAGGCCTTCGTTGGAAACGGGTTTTGTTCATATTATGCTAGACAGAAGAGTTCTCAGTAACTTCCTTGTGTTGTGTGTATTCAACTCACACAGTTGAACTTTCATTTACACAGAGCAGATTTGAAACACTCTTTTTGTGGAATTTGCAGGTGGAGATTTCAAGCGCTTTGAGGCCAAAGGCAGAAAAGGAAATATCTTCGTATAAAAACTAGACAGAATGATTCTCAGAAACTTCTTTGTGATGAGTGCGTTCAACTCACAGAGTTTAACCTTTCTTTTCATCGAGTAGTTAGGAAACACTCTGTTTGTAAAGTCTGCAAGTGGATATTTTGACCTCTTTGAGGCTTTCGTTGGAAACGGGTTTTTTTCCTGTAAGGCTAGACAGAAGAATTCCCAGTAACTTCCTTGTGTTGTGTACATTCAACTCACAGAGTTGAACGTTCCCTTAGACAGAGCAGATTTGAAACACTCTTTTTGTGCAATTGGCAAGTGGAGATTTCAAGCGCTTTAAGGTCAATGGCAGAAAAGGAAATATCTTCGTTTCAAAACTAGACAGAATGATTCTCAGAAACTCCTTTGTGATGTGTGCGTTGAACTCACAGAGTTTAACCTTTCTGTTCATAGAGCAGTTAGGAAACACTCTGTTTGTAAAGTCTGTAAGTGGATATTCTGACATCTTGTGGCCTTCGTTGGAAACGGGATTTCTTCATATTCTGCTAGACAGAAGAATTCTCAGTAACTTCCTTGTGTTGTGTGTATTCAACTCACAGAGTTGAACAATCCTTTACACAGAGCAGACTTGAAACACTCTTTTTGTGGAATTTGCAAGTGGAGATTTCAGCCGCTTTGAGGTCAATGGTAGAAAAGGAAACTATCTTCATATAAAGACTTGACAGAATGATTCTCAGAAACTCCTTTGTGATATGTGCGTTCAACTCACAGAGTTTAACCTTTCTTTTCATAGAGCAGTTAGGAAACACTCTGTTTGTAAAATCTGCATGTGGATATTTGGACTTCTTTGAGGCCTTCGTTGGAAACGGGTTTTTTTCATGTAAGGCTAGACAGAAGAATTCCCAGTAACTTCCTTGTGTTGTGTGTGTTCAACTCACAGAGTTGAACTTTGATTTACACAGAGCAGATTTGAAACACTCTTTTTGTGGAATTTGCAAATGGAGATTTCAAGCGCTTTGAGGCCAAAGGCAGAAAAGGAAATATCTTTGTATAAAAACTAGACAGAATGATTCTCAGAAACTCCTTTGTGATGTGTGCGTTCAACTCACAGAGTTCAACCTTTCTTTTCATAGAGCAGTTGGGAAACACTCTGTTAGTAAAGTCTGCTAGTGGATATTCAGACCTCTTTGAGGCCTTCGTTGGAAGCGGGATTTCTTCATATTCTGCTAGACAAAAGAATTCTCAGTAACTTCCTTGTGTTGTGTGTATTCAACTCACAGAATTGAACGATCCTTTACACAGAGCAGACTTCAAACACTCTTTTTGTGGAATTTGCAAGTGGAGATTTCAGCCGCTTTGAGGTCAATGGTAGAAAAGGAAATATCTTCGTATAAAAACTAGACAGAATGATTCTCAGAAACTCCTTTGTGATGTGTGCGTTCAACTCACAGAGTTTAACCTTTCTTTTCATAGAGCAGTTAGGAAACACTCTGTTTGTAAAGTCTGCAAGTTGATATTCAGACCTCCTTGAGGCCTTCGTTGGAAACGGGATTTCTTCATATTATGCTAGACAGAAGAATTCTCAGTAACTTCCTTGTGTTGTGTGTATTCAACTCACAGAGTTGAACGATCCTTTACACAGAGCAGACTTGAAACACTCTTTTTGTGGAATTTGCAAGTGGAGATTTCAGCCGCTTTGAGGTCAATGGTAGAAAAGGAAATATCTTCGTATAAAAACGAGACAGAATGATTCTCAGAAACTTCTTTGTGATGTGTGCGTTCAACTCACAGAGTTTAACCTTTCTGTTCATAGTGCAGTTAGGAAACACTCTGTTTGTAAACTCTGCAAGTGGATATTCAGACCTCTTTGAGGCCTTCGATGGAAACGGGATTTCTCCATACTGTGCTAGACAGAAGAATTCCCAGTAACTTCCTTGTGTTGTGTGTGTTCAACTCACAGAGTTGAACTTTCATTTACACAGAGCAGATTTGAAACACTCTTTTTGTGGAATTTGCAAGTGGAGATTTCAAGCGGTTTGAGGCCAAAGGTAGAAAAGGAAATATCTTCGTTTCAAAACTAGACAGAATCATTCTCAGAAACTGCTCTGCGATGTGTGCGTTCAACTCTCAGAGTTTAACTTTTCTTTTCATTCAGCAGTTTGGAAACACTCTGTTTGTAAATTCTGCACGTGGATATTTTGACCACTTAGAGGCCTTCGTTGGAAACGGGTTTTTTTCCTGTAAGGCTAGACAGAAGAAATCCCAGTAACTTCCTTGTGTTGTGTGCATTCAACTCACAGAGTTGAACGTTCCCTTAGACAGAGCAGATTTGAAACACTCTATTTGTGCAATTTCCAAGTGTAGATTTGAAGCGCTTTAAGGTCAACGGCAGAAAAGGAAATATCTTCGTTTCAAAACTAGACAGAAATCATTCTCATAAACTGCTCTGCGATGTGTGCGTTCAACTCTCAGAGTTTAACTTTTCTTCTCATTCAGCAGTTTGGAAACACTCTGTTTGTAAAGTCTGCACGTGGATAATTTGACCACTTAGAGGCCTTCGTTGGAAACGGGTTTTTTTCATGTAAGGCTAGACAGAAGAATTCTCAGTAACTTCCTTGTGTTGTGTGTATTCAACTCACAGAGTTGAACGATCCTTTACACAGAGCAGACTTGTAACACTCTTTTTGTGGAATTTGCAAGTGGAGATTTCAGCCGCTTTGAAGTCTAAGGTAGAAAAGGAAATATCTTCCTATAAAAACTAGACAGAATGATTCTCAGAAACTCCTTTGTGATGTGTGCGTTCAACTCACAGAGTTTAACCTTTCTTTTCATAGAGCAGTTAGGAAACACTCTGTTTGTAAAGTCTCCAAGTGGATATTCAGACCTCTTTGAGGCCTTCGTTGGAAACGGGTTTTTTTCATATAAGGCTAGACAGAAGAATTCCCAGTAACTTCCTTGTGTTGTGTGTGTTCAACTCACAGAGTTGAACTTTCGTTTACACAGAGCAGATTTGAAACACTCTTTTTGTGGAATTTGCAAATGGAGATTTCAAGCGCTTTGAGGCCAAAGGCAGAAAAGGAAATATCTTCGTATAAAAACTAGACAGAATCATTCTCAGAAACTGCTGCGTGATGTGTGCGTTCAACTCTCAGAATTTAACTTTTCTTTTCATTCAGCGGTTTGGAAACACTCTGTTTGTAAAGTCTGCACGTGGAAATTTTGACCACTTAGAGGCCTTCGTTGGAAACGGGTTTTTTTCATGTAAGGCTAGACAGAAGAATTCCCAGTAACTTCCTTGTGTTGTGTGCATTCAACTCACAGAGTTGAACGTTCCCTTAGACAGAGCAGATTTGAAACACTCTATTTGTGCAATTTGCAAGTGTAGATTTCAAGCGCTTTAAGGTCAATGGCAGAAAAGGAAATATCTTCGTTTCAAAACTAGAGAGAATGATTCTCAGAAACTCCTTTGTGATGTGTGCGTTCAACTCACAGAGTTTAACCTTTCTTTTCATAGAGCAGTTAGGAAACACTCTGTTGGTAAAGTCTGCAAGTGGATATTCAGACCTCTTTGAGGCCTTCGTTGGAAGCGGGATTTCTTCATGTTCTGCTAGACAGAAGAATTCTCAGAAACTTCCTTGTGTTGTGTGTTTTCAACTCACAGAGTTGAACGATGCTTTACACAGAGTAGACTTGAAACACTCTTTTTGTGTAATTTGCAAGTGGAGATTTCATCCGCTTTGAGGTCAATGGTAGAAAAGGAAATATCTTCGTATAAAAACTAGACAGAATGATTCTCAGAAACTCCTTTGTGATGTGTGTGTTCAACTCACAGAGTTTAACGTTTCTTTTCATAGAGCAGTTAGTAAACACTCTGTTTATAAAGTCTGCAAGTGGATATTCAGACCCCTTTGAGGCCTTCGTTGGAAACGGGATTTCATCATATTATGCTAGACAGAAGAATTCTCAGTAACTTCCTTGTGTTGTGTGTATTCAACTGACAGAGTTGAACTTTCATTTAGAGAGAGCAGATTTGAAACACTGTTTTTGTGGAATTTGCAAGTGGAGATTTCAAGCGCTTTGGGGCCAAAGGCAGAAAAGGAGATATCTTCGTATAAAAACTAGACAGAATGATTCTCAGAAACTCCTTTGTGATGTGTGCGTTCAACTCTCAGAGTTTAACTTTTCTTTTCATTCAGCAGTTTGGAAACACTCTGTTTGTAAAGTCTGCACGTGGATATTTTGACCACTTAGAGGCCTTCGTTGGAAACGGGTTTTTTTACCTGTAAGGCTAGACAGAAGAATTCCCAGTAACTTCCTTGTGTTGTGTGCATTCAACTCACAGAGATGAACGTTCCCTTAGACAGAGCAGATTTGAAACACTCTATTTGTGTAATTTGCAAGTGTAGATTTCAAGCGCTTTAAGGTCAATGGCAGAAAAGGAAATATCTCCGTTTCAAAACTAGACAGAATCATTCCCACAAACTGCGTTGTGATGTGTTCGTTCAACTCACAGAGTTTAACCTTTCCGTTCATAGAGCAGTTAGGAAACACACTGTTTGTAAAGTCTGTAAGTGGATATTCTGACATCTTGTGGCCTTCGTTGGAAACGGGATTTCTTCATATTCTGCTAGACAGAAGAATTCTCAGTAACTTCCTTGTGTTGTGTGTATTCAACTCACAGAGTTGAACGATCCTTTACACAGAGCAGACTTGTAACACTCTTTTTGTGGAATTTGCAATTGGAGATTTCAGCCGCTTTGAAGTCAAAGGTAGAAAAGGAAATATCTTCCTATAAAAACTAGACAGAATGATTCTCAGAAACTCCTTTGTGATGTGTGCGTTCAACTCACAGAGTTTAACCTTTCTTTTCATAGAGCAGTTAGGAAACACTCTGTTTGTAAAGTCTGCAAGTGGATATTCAGACCTCTTTGAGGCCTTCGTTGGAAATGGGTTTTTTTCATATAAGGCTAGAGAGAAGAATTCTCAGTAACTTCCTTGTGTTGTGTGTATTCAACTGACAGAGTTGAACTTTCATTTAGAGAGAGCAGATTTGAAACACTGTTTTTGTGGAATTTGCAAGTGGAGATTTCAAGCGCTTTGGGGCCAAAGGCAGAAAACGAAATATCTTCGTATAAAAACTAGACAGAATCATTCTCAGAAACTGCTCTGCGATGTGTGCGTTCAACTCTCAGAGTTTAACTTTGCTTTTCATTCAGCAGTTTGGAAACACTCTGTTTGTAAAGTCTGCACGTGGATATTTTGACCACTTAGAGGCCTTCGTTGGAAACGTGTTTTTTTCCTGTAAGGCTAGACAGAAGAATTCCCAGTAACTTCCTTGTGTTGTGTACATTCAACTCACAGAGTTGAACGTTCCCTTAGACAGAGCAGATTTGAAACACTCTTTTTGTGCAATTGGCAAGTGGAGATTTCAAGCGCTTTAAGGTCAATGGCAGAAAAGGAAATATCTTCGTTTCAAACTAGACAGAATCATTCTCAGAAACTGCTCTGTGATGTGTGCGTTCAACTCTCAGAGTTTAAATTTTCTTCTCATTCAGCAGTTTGGAAACACTCTGTTTGTAAAGTCTGCACGTGGATAATTTGACCACTTAGAGGCCTTCGTTGGAAACGGGTTTTTTTCATGTAAGGCTAGACAGAAGAATTCTCAGTAACTTCCTTGTGTTGTGTGTATTCAACTCACAGAGTTGAAAGACCCTTTACACAGAGCAGACTTGAAACACTCTTTTTGTGGAATTTGCAAGTGGAGATTTCAGCCGCTTTGAAGTCAAAGGTAGAAAAGGAAATATCTTCGTATAAAAACTAGATAGAATGATTCTCATAAACTCCTTTGTGATGTGTGCGTTCAACTCACAGAGTTTAACCTTTCTTTTCATAGAGCAGTTAGGAAACACTCTGTTTGTAAAGTCTGCAAGTGGATATTCAGACCTCTTTGAGGCCTTCGTTGGAAACTGGATTTCTTCATATTCTGCTAGACAGAAGAATTCCCAGTAACTTCCTTGTGTTGTGTGTGTTCAACTCACAGAGTTGAACTTTCATTTACACAGAGCAGATTTGAAACACTCTTTTTGTGGAATTTGCAAATGGAGATTTCAAGCGCTTTGAGGCCAAAGGCAGAAAAGGAAATATCTTAGTATAAAAACTAGACAGAATGATTCTCAGAAACTGCTCTGTGATGTGTGCGTTCAACTCTCAGAGTTTAACTTTTCTTTTCATTCAGCAGTTTGGAAACACTCTGTTTGTAAAGTCTGCACGTGGATAATTTGACCACTTAGAGGCCTTCGTTGGAAACGGGTTTTTTTCAAGTAAGGCTAGACAGAAGAATTCCCAGTAACTTCCTTGTGTTGTGTGCATTCAACTCACAGAGTTGAACGTTCCCTTAGACAGAGCAGATTTGAAACACTCTATTTGTGCAATTTGCAAGTGTAGATTTCAAGCGCTTTAAGGTCAACGGCAGAAAAGGAAATATCTTCGTTTCAAAACTAGACAGAATCATTCCCACAAACTGCGTTGTGATGTGTTCGTTCAACTCACAGAGTTTAACCTTTCTTTTCATAGAGCAGTTAGGAAACAGTCTGTTTGTCAATTCTGTAAGTGGATATTCTGACATCTTGTGGCCTTTGTTGGAAACGGGATTTCTTCATATTCTGCTAGACAGAAGAATTCTCAGAATCTTCCTTGTGTTGTGTGTATTCAACTCACAGAGTTTAACGATCCTTTACACAGAGCAGACTTGAAACACTCTTTTTGTGGAATTTGCAAGTGGAGATTTCAGCCGCTTTGAGGTCCATGGTAGAAAAGGAAATATCTTCGTATAAAAACTAGACAGAATGATTCTCAGAAACTCCTTTGTGATGTGTGCGTTCAACTCACACAGTTTAACCTTTCTTTTCATAGAGCAGTTGGGAAACACTCTGTTTGTAAAATCTGCAAGTGGATATTCAGACCTCCTTGCGGCCTTCGTTGGAAACGGGATTTCTTCATATTATGCTAGACAGAATAATTCTCAGTAACTTCCTTGTGTTGTGTGTATTCAACTCACGGAGTTGAACGATCCTTTACACAGAGCAGACTTGAAACACTCTTTTTGTGGAATTTGCAAGTGGAGATTTCAGCCGCTTTGAAGTCAATGGTAGAATAGGAAATATCTTCCTATAGAAACTAGGCAGAATCATTCTCAGAAACTGCTGCGTGATGTGTGCGTTCAACTCTCAGAGTTTAACTTTTCTTTTCATTCAGCGGTTTGGAAACACTCTGTTTGTAAAGTCTGCACGTGGATATTTTGACCACTTAGAGGCCTTCGTTGGAAACGGGTTTTTTTCATGTAAGGCTAGACAGAAGAATTCCCAGTAACTTCCTTGTGTTGTGTGCATTCAACTCACAGAGTTGAACGTTCCCTGAGACAGAGCAGATTTGAAACACTCTATTTGTGCAATTTGCAAGTGTAGATTTCAAGCGCTTTAAGGTCAACGGCAGAAAAGGAAATATCTTCGTTTCAGAACTAGACAGAATCATTCCCACAAACTGCGTTGTGATGTGTTCGTTCAACTCACAGCAGTTTAACCTTTCTGTTCATAGAGCAGTTAGGAAACACTCTGTTTGTAATGTCTGTAAGTGGATATTCTGACATCTTGTGGCCTTCGTTGGAAACGGGATTTCTTCATATTCTGCTAGACAGAAGAATTCTCAGTAACTTCCTTGCGTTGTGTTTATTCAACTCACAGAGTTGAATGATCCTTTACACAGAGCAGACTTGAAACACTCTTTTTGTGGAATTTGCAAGTGGAGATTTCAGCCGCTTTGAGGTCAATGGTAGAAAAGTAAATATCTTCGTATAAGGACTAGACAGAATGATTCTCAGAAACTCCTTTGTGATGTGTGCGTTCAACTCACAGAGTTCAACCTTTCTTTTCATAGAGCAGTTGGGAAACACTCTGTTTGTAATGTCTGCAAGTGGATATTCAGACTTCTTTGAGGCCTTCGTTGGAAGCGGGATTTCTTCATATTCTGCTAGACAGAAGAATTCCCAGTAACTTCCTTGTGTTGTGTGTGTTCAACTCACAGAGTTGAACTTTCATTTACCCAGAGCAGATTTGAAACACTCTTTTTGTGGAATTTGCAAGTGGAGATTTCAAGCGCTTTGAGCCCAAAGGCAGAAAAGGAAATATCTTCGTTTCAAAACTAGACAGAATCATTCTCAGAAACTGCTGCGTGATGTGTGCGTTCAACTCTCAGAGTTTAACTTTTCTTTTCATTCAGCGGTTTGGAAACACTCTGTTTGTAAAGTCTGCACGTGGAAATTTTGACCACTTAGAGACCTTCATTGGAAACGGGTTTTTTTCATGTAAGGCTAGACAGAAGAATTCCCAGTAACTTCCTTGTGTTGTGTACATTCAACTCACAGAGTTGAACGTTCCCTTAGACAGAGCAGATTTGAAACACTCTTTTTGTGCAATTGGCAAGTGGAGATTTCAAGCGCTTTAAGGTCAATGGCAGAAAAGGAAATATCTTCGTTTCAAAACTAGACAGAATGATTCTCAGAAACTCCTTTGTGATGTGTGCGTTCAACTCACAGAGTTTAACCTTTCTTTTCATAGAGCAGTTAGGAAACACTCTGTTTGTAAAGTCTGCAAGTGGATATTCAGACCTCCTTGAGTCCTTCGTTGGAAACGGGATTTCTTCATATTATGCTAGACAGAAGAATTCTCAGTAACTTCCTTGTGTTGTGTGTATTCAACTCACAGAGTTGAACGATCCTTTACACAGAGCAGACTTGAAACACTCTTTTTGTGGAATTTGCAAGTGGAGATTTCAGCCGCTTTGAGGTCAATTGTAGAATAGGAAATATCTTCCTATAGAAACTAGACAGAATGATTCTCAGAAACTCCTTTGTGATGTGTGCGTTCAACTCACAGAGTTCAACCTTTCTTTTCATAGAGCAGTTGGGAAACACTCTGTTTGTAAAGTCTGCAAGTGGATATTCAGACTTCTTAGAGGCCTTCGTTGGAAGCGGGATTTCTTCATATTCTGCTAGACAGAAGAATTCCCAGTAACTTCCTTGTGTTGTGTGTGTTCAACTCACAGAGTTGAACTTTCATTTACACAGAGCAGATTTGAAACACTCTTTTTGTGGAATTTGCAAGTGGAGATTTCAAGCGCTTTGAGGCCAAAGGCAGGAAAGGAAATATCTTCGTATAAAAACTAGACAGAATCATTCTCAGAAACTGCTCTGCGATGTGTGCGTTGAACTCTCAGAGTTTAACTTTTCTTTTCATTCAGCAATTTGGAAACACTCTGTTTGTAAAGTCTGCACGTGGATATTTTGACCACTTAGAGGCCTTCGTTGGAAACGGGTTTTTTTCCTGTAAGGCTAGACAGAAGAATTCTCAGTAACTTCCTTGTGTTGTGTGTATTCAACTCACAGAGTTGAACGATCCTTTACACAGAGCAGACTTGTAACACTCTTTTTCTGGAATTTGCAAGTGGAGATTTCAGCCGCTTTGAAGTCAAAGGTAGAAAAGGAAATAACTTCCTATAAAAACTAGACAGAATGATTCTCAGAAACTTCTTTGTGATGTGTGCGTTCAACTCACAGAGTTTAACCTTTCTTTTCATAGAGCAGTTAGGAAACACTCTGTTTGTAAACTCTGCAAGTGGATATTCAGACCTCTTTGAGGCCTTCGTTGCAAACGGGATTTCTTCATGCTATGCTAGACAGAAGAATTCTCACTAACTTCCTTGTGTTTTGTGTATTCAACTCACAGAGTTGAACGATCCTTTACACAGAGCAGACTTGAAACACTCTTTTTGTGGAATTTGCAAGTGGAGATTTCAGCCGCTTTGAGGTCAATGGTAGAAAAGGAAATATCTTCGTATAAAGACTAGACAGATAGATTCTCAGAAACTCCTTTGTGATGTGTGCGTTCAACTCACAGAGTTTAACCTTTCTTTTCATAGAGCAGTTAGGAAACACTCTGTTTGTAAAGTCTGCAAGTGGATATTCAGACCTCTTTGAGGCCATCGTTGGAAACGGGTTTTTTTCATATAAGGCTAGACAGAAGAATTCCCAGTAACTTCCTTGTGTTGTGTGTGTTCAACTCACAGAGTTGAACTTTCATTTACACAGAGCAGATTGGAAACACTCTTTTTGTGGAATTTGCAAATGGAGATTTCAAGCGCTTTGAGGCCAAAGGCAGAAAAGGAAATATCTTCGTATAAAAACTAGACAGAATCATTCTCAGAAACTGCTCTGCGATGTGTGCGTTCAACTCTCAGAGTTTAACTTTTCTTTTCATTCAGCAGTTTGGAAACACTCTGTTTGTAAAGTCTGCACGTGGATATTTTGACCACTTAGAGGCCTTCGTTGGAAACGGGTTTTTTTCCTGTAAAGCTAGACAGAAGAATTCCCAGTAACTTCCTTGTGTTGTCTACATTCAACTCACAGAGTTGAACGTTCCCTTAGACAGAGCAGATTTGAAACACTCTTTTTGTGCAATTGGCAAGTGGTGATTTCAGCCGCTTTGGGGTCAATGGTAGAAAAGGAAATATCTTCGTATAAAAACTAGACAGAATGATTCTCAGAAACTTCATTGTGAAGTGTGCGTTCAACTCACAGAGTTTAACCTTTCTTTTCATAGAGCAGTTAGGAAACACTCTGTTTGTAAAGTCTGCAAGTGGATATTCAGACCTCTTTGAGGCCTTCGTTGGAAACGGGATTTCTTCATACTGTGCTATACAGAAGAATTCTCAGTAACTTCATTGTGTTGTGTGTATTCAACTCACAGAGTTGAACGATCCTTTACACAGAGCATACTTGAAACACTCTTGTTGTGGAATTTGCAAGTGGAGATTTCAGCCGCTTTGAGGTCAATGGTAGAATAGGAAACATCTTCCTATAGAAACTAGACAGAATGATTCTCAGAAACTCCTTAGTGATGTGTGTGTCCAACTCACAGGGTTTAACCTTTCTTTTCATAGAGCAGTTAGCAAACACTCTGTTTGTAAAGTCTGCAAGAGGATATTCAGACCTTTTTGAGGCCTTCGTTGGAAACGGGTTTTTTTCATATAAGGCTAGACAGAAGAATTCCCAGTAACTTCCTTGTGATGTGTGTGTTCAACTCACAGAGTTGAACTTTCATTTACATAGAGCAGATTTGAAACACTCTTTTTGTGGAATTTGCAAGTGGAGATTTCAAGCGCTTTGAGGCCAAAGGCAGAAAAGGAAATATCTTCGTATAAAAACTACACAGAATCATTCTCAGAAACTGCTGCGTGATGTGTGCGTTCAACTCTCAGAGTTTAACTTTTCTTTTCATTCAGCAGTTTGGAAACACTCTGTTTGTAAAGTCTGCACGTGGAAATTTTGACCACTTAGAGGCCTTCGTTGGAAACGGGTTTTTTTCATGTAAGGCTAGACAGAAGAATTCCCAGTAACTTCCTTGTGTTGTGTACATTCAACTCACAGAGTTGAACGTTCCCTTAGACAGAGCAGATTTGAAACACTCTTTTTGTACAATTGGCAAGTGGAGATTTCAAGCGCTTTAAGGTCAAAGGCAGAAAAGAAAATATCTTCGTTTCAAAACTAGACAGAATCATTCCCACAAACTGCGTTGTGACGTGTTCGTTCAACTCACAGAGTTTAACCTTTCTGTTCATAGAGCAGTTAGGAAAAACTCTGTTTGTAAAGTCTGTAAGTGGATATTCTGACATCTTGTGGCCTTCGTTGGAAACGGGATTTCTTCATATTCTGCTAGACAGAAGAATTCTCAGTAACTTCCTTGTGTTGTGTCTATTCAACTCACAGAGTTGAACGATCCTTTACACAGAGCAGACTTGAAACACTCTTTTTGTGGAATTTGCAAGTGGAGATTTCAGCCGCTTTGAGGTCAATGGTAGAAAAGGAAATATCTTCGTATAAAGACTAGACAGAATGATTCTCAGAAACTCCTTTGTGATGTGTGCGTTCAACTCACAGAGTTTAACGTTTCTGTTCATAGAGCTGTTAGGAAACACTCTGTTTGTAAAGTCTGCAAGTGGATATTCAGACCTCCTTGAGGCCTTCGTTGGAAACGGGATTTCTTCATATTCTGCTAGACAGAGTAATTCTCAGTAACTTCCTTGTGTTGTGTGTATTCAACTCACAGAGTTGAACGATCCTTTACACAGAGCAGATTTGTAACACTCTTTTTGTGGAATTTGCAAGTGGAGATTTCAAGCGCTTTGAGGCCAAAGGCAGAAAAGGAAATATCTTCGTTTCAAAACTAGACAGAATCATTCTCAGAAACTGCTCTGCGATGGGTGCGTTCAACTCTCAGAGTTTAACTTTTCTTTTCATTCAGCAGTTTGGAAACACTCTGTTTGTAAAGTCTGCACGTGGATAACTTGACCACTTAGAGGACTTCGTTGGAAACGGGTTTTTTTCCTGTAAGGCTAGACAGAAGAATTCCCAGTAACTTCCTTGTGTTGTGTACATTCAACTCACAGAGTTGAACGTTCCCTTAGACAGAGCAGATTTGAAACACTCTTTTTGTGCAATTGGCAAATGGAGATTTCAATCGCTTTAAGGTCAATGGCAGAAAAGGAAATATCTTCGTTTCAAAACTAGACAGAATCATTCCCACAAACTGCGTTGTGATGTGTTCGTTCAACTCACAGAGTTTAACCTTTCTTTTCTTAGAGCAGTTAGGAAACAGTCTGTTTGTCAATTCTGTAAGTGGATATTCTGACATCTTGTGGCCTTCGTTGGAAACGGGATTTCTTCATATTCTGCTAGACAGAATAATTCTCAGTAACTTCCCTTGTGTTGTGTGTATTCAACTCACAGAGTTGAACGATCCTTTACACAGAGCAGACTTGAAACACTCTTTTTGTGGAATTTGTAAGTGGAGATTTCAGCCGCTTTGAGGTCAATGGTAGAATAGGAAATATCTTCCTATAGAAACTAGACAGAATGATTCTCAGAAACTCCTTTGTGATGTGTGCGTTCAACTCACAGAGTTTAACCTTTCTTTTCATAGAGCAGTTAGGAAACACTCTGTTTGTAAAGTCTGTAAGTGGATATTCAGACCTCCTTGAGGCCTTCGTTGGAAACGGGATTTCTTCCTATTATGCTAGACAGAAGAATTCTCAGTAACTTCCTTGTGTTGTGTGTATTCAACTCACAGAGTTGAACGATCCTTTACACAGAGCAGACTTGAAACACACTTTTTGTGGAATTTGCAAGTGGAGATTTCAGCCGCTTTGGGTTCAATGGTAGAATAGGAAATATCTTCCTATAGAAACTAGACAGAATCATTCTCAGAAACTGCTCTGCGATGTGTGCGTTCAACTCTCAGAGTTTAACTTTTCTTTTCATTCAGCAGTTTGGAAACACTCTGTTTGTAAAGTCTGCACGTGGATACTTTGACCACTTAGAGGCCTTCGTTGGAAACGGGTTTTTTTCCTGTAAGGCTAGACAGAAGAATTCCCAGTAACTTCCTTGTGTTGTGTGCATTCAACTCACAGAGTTGAACGTTCCCTTAGACAGAGCAGATTTGAAACATCCTATTTGTGCAATTTGCAAGTGTAGATTTCAAGCGCTTTAAGGTCAACGGCAGAAAAGGAAATATCTTCCTTTCAAAACTAGACAGAATCATTCCCACAAACTGCGTTGTGATGTGTTCGTTCAACTCACAGAGTTTAACCTTTCTTTTCATAGAGCAGTTAGGAAACAGTCTGTTTGTAAATTTTGTAAGTGGATATTCTGACATCTTGTGGCCTTCGTTGGAAACGGGATTTCTTCATATTCTGCTAGACAGAAGAATTCTCAGTAACTTCCTTGTGTTGCGTGTATTCAACTCACAGAGTTGAACGATCCTTTACCCAGAGCGGACTTGAAACACTCTTTTTGTGGAATTTGCAAGTGGAGATTTCAGCCGCTTTGAGGTCAATGGTAGAAAAGGAAATATCTTCTTATACAGACTAGACAGAATGATTCTCAGAAACTCCTTTGTGATGTGTGCGTTCAACTCACAGAGTTCAACCTTTCTTTTCATAGAGCAGTTGGGAAACACTCTGTTTGTAAAGTCTGCAAGTGGATATTCAGACCTCCTTGAGGCCTTCGTTGGAAACGGGATTTCTTCATATTCTGCTAGACAGAAGAATTCCCAGTAACTTCCTTGTGTTGTGTGTGTTCAACTCACAGAGTTAAACTTTCATTTACCCAGAGCAGATTTGAAACACTCTTTTTGTGGAATTTGAAAGTGGAGATTTCAAGCGCTTTGAGGCCAAAGGCAGAAAAGGAAATATCTTCGTTTCAAAACTAGACAGAATCATTCTCAGAAAGTGCTCTGCGATGTGTGCGTTCAACTCTCAGAGTTTAACTTTGCTTTTCATTCAGCAGTTTGGAAACACTCTGTTTGTAAAGTCTGCACGTGGATAATTTGACCACTTAGAGGCCTTCGTTGGAAACGGGTTTTTTTCATGTAAGGCTAGACAGAAGAGTTCTCAGTAACTTCCTTGTGTTGTGTGTATTCAACTCACACAGTTGAACGATCCTTTACAGAGAGCAGACTTGTAACACTCTTTTTGTGGAATTTGCAAGTGGAGATTTCAGCCGCTTTGAAGTTAAAGTAGAAAAGGAAATATCTTCCTATAAAAACTAGACAGAATGATTCTCAGAAACTCCTTTGTGATGTGTGCGTTCAACTCACAGAGTTTAACCTTTCTTTTCATGGAGCAGTTAGGAAACACACTGTTTGTAAAGTCTGCAAGTGGATATTCAGACCTCCTTGAGGCCTTCTTTGGAAACGGGATTTCTTCATATTCTGCTAGACAGAATAATTCTCAGTAACTTCCTTGTGTTGTGTGTATTCAACTCACAGAGTTGAACGATCCTTTACACAGAGCAGACTTGAAACACTCTTTTTGTGGAATTTGCAAGTGGAGATTTCAGCCGCTTTGAGGTCAATGGTAGAAAAGGAAATATCTTCGTATAAAGACTAGACAGAATGATTCTCAGAAACTCCTTTTTGATGTGTGCGTTCAACTCACAGAGTTTAACCTTTCTTTTAATAGAGCAATTAGGAAACACTCTGTTTCTAAAGTCTGCAAGTGGATATTCAGACCTCTTAGCGGCCTTCGTTGGAAACGGGATTTCTTCATATTTTGCTAGACAGAAGAATTCTCAGTAACTTCCTTGTGTTGTGTGCATTCAACTCACAGAGTTGAACGATCCTTTACACAGAGCAGATTGGAAACACTCTTTTTGTGGAACTGCAAGAGGAGATTTCAGCCGCTTTGAGGTCAATGGTAGAAAAGGAAATATCTTCGTATAAAAACTAGACAGAATCATTCTCAGAAACTGCTCTGCGATGTGTGCGTTCAACTCTCAGAGTTTAACTTTTCTTTTCATTCAGCAGTTTGGAAACACTCTGTTTGTAAAGTCTGCACGTGGATATTTTGACCACTTAGAGGCCTTCGTTGGAAACGGGTTTTTTTCCTGTAAGGCTAGAGAGAAGAATTCCCAGGAACTTCCTTGTGTTGTGTACATTCAACTCACAGAGTTGAACGTTCCCTTAGACAGAGCAGATTTGAAACACTCTTTTTGTGCAATTGGCAAGTGGTGATTTCAGCAGCTTTGAGGTCAATGGTAGAAAAGGAAATATCTTCGTATAAAAACTAGACAGAATGATTCTCAGAAACTCCTTTGTGATGTGTGCGTTCAACTCACAGAGTTCAACCTTTCCTTTCATAGAGCAGTTGGGAAACACTCTGTTTGTAAAGTCTGCAAGTGGATATTCAGACTTTGAGGCCTTCGTTGGAAGCGGGATTTCTTCATATTCTGCTAGACAGAAGAATTCTCAGTAACTGCCTTGTGTTGTGTGTATTCAACTCACAGAGTTGCACGATCCTTTACACAGAGCAGACTTGAAACACTCTTTTTGTGGAATTTGCAAGTGGAGATTTCAGCCGCTTTGAGGTCAATGGTAGAATAGGAAATATCTTCCTATAGAAACTAGACAGAATGATTCTCAGAAACTTCTTTGTGATGTGTGCGTTCAACTCACAGAGTTTAACCTTTCTTTTCATAGAGCAGTTAGGAAACACTCTGTTTGTAAAGTCTGCAAGTGGATATTCAGACCTCCTTGAGGCCTTCGTTGGAAGCGGGATTTCTTCATGTTCTGCTAGACAGAAGAATTCTCAGAAACTTTCTTGTGTTGTGTGTTTTCAACTCACAGAGTTGAACGATCCTTTACACAGAGCAGACTTGAAACACTCCTTTTGTGGAATTTGCAAGTGGAGATTTCAGCCGCTTTGAGGTCAATGGTAGAATAGGAAATATCTTCCTATAGAAAGTAGACAGAATCATTCTCAGAAACTGCTGCGTGATGTGTGCGTTCAACTCTCAGAGTTTAACTTTTCTTTTCATTCAGCGGTTTGGAAACACTCTGTTTGTAAAGTCTGCACGTGGATATTTTGACCACTTAGACGCCTTCGTTGGAAACGGGTTTTTTTCATGTAAGGCTAGACAGAAGAATTCCCAGTAACTTTCCTTGTGTTGTGTGCATTCAACTCACAGAGTTGAACGTTCCCTTAGACAGAGCAGATTTGAAACACTCTATTTGTGCAATTTGCAATTGTAGATTTCAAGCGTTTTAAGGTCAATGGCAGAAAAGGAAATATCTTCGTTTCAAAACTAGACAGAATCATTCTCAGAAACTGCTCTGCGATGTGTGCGTTCAACTCTCAGAGTTTAACTTTTCTTTTCATTCAGCAGTTTGGAAACACTCTGTTTGTAAAGTCTGCACGTGGATAATTTGACCACTTAGAGGTCTTCGTTGGAAACGGGTTTTTTTCATGTAAGGATAGACAGAAGAATTCTCAGTAACTTCCTTGTGTTGTGTGTATTCAACTCACAGAGTTGAACGATCCTTTACACAGAGCAGACTTGTAACACTCTTTTTGTGGAATTTGCAAGTGGAGATTTCAGCCGCTTTGAAGTCAAAGGTAGAAAAGGAAATATCTTCCTATAAACACTAGACAGAATGATTCTCAGAAACTCCTTTGTGCTGTGTGCGTTCAACTCACAGAGTTTAACCTTTCTTTTCATAGAACAGTTAGTAAACACTCTGTTTGTAAAGTCTGCAAGTGGATATTCAGACACCTTTGAGGCTTTCGTTGGAAACGGGATTTCTTCATATTCTGCTAGACAGAAGAATTCTCAGTAACTTCCTTGTGTTGTGTGTATTCAACTGACAGAGTTGAACTTTCATTTAGAGAGAGCAGATTTGAAACACTGTTTTTGTGGAATTTGCCAGTGGAGATTTCAAGCGCATTGGGGCCAAAGGCAGAAAAGGAAATATCTTCGTATAAAAACTAGACAGAATCATTCTCAGAAACTGCTGCGTGATGTGTGCGTTCAACTCTCAGAGTTTAACTTTTCTTTTCATTCAGCGGTTTGGAAACACTCTGTTTGTAAAGTCTGCACGTGGATATTTTGACCACTTAGAGGCCTTCGTTGGAAACGGGTTTTTTTTCATGTAAGGCTAGACAGAAGAATTCCCAGTAACTTCCTTGTGTTGTGTGCATTCAACTCACAGAGTTGAACGTTCCCTTAGACAGAGCAGATTTGAAACACTCTATTTGTGCAATTTGCAAGTGTAGATTTCAAGTGCTTTAAGGTCAACGGCAGAAAAGGAAATATCTTCGTTTCAAAACTAGACAGAATCATTCCCACAAACTGCGTTGTGATGTGTTCGTTCAACTCACAGAGTTTAACCTTTCTTTTCATAGAGCAGTTAGGAAACAGTCTGTTTGTAAATTCTGTAAGTGGATATTCTGACATCCTGTGGCCTTCGTTGGAAACGGGATTTCTTCATATTCTGCTAGACAGAAGAATTCTCAGTAACTTCCTTGTGTTGTGTTTATTCAACTCACAGAGTTGAATGGTCCTTTACACAGAGCAGACTTGAAACACTCTTTTTGTGGAATTTGCAAGTGGAGATTTCAGCCGCTTTGAGGTCAATGGTAGAAAAGTAAATATCTTCCTATAAAGACTAGACAGAATGATTCTCAGAAACTCCTTTATGATGTGTGCATTCAACTCACAGAGTTTAACCTTTCTTTTCATAGAGCAGTTAGGAAACACTCTGCTTGTAAAGTCTGCAAGTGGATATTCAGCCCTCTTTGAGGCCTTCGTTGGAAACGGGTTTTTTTCATATAAGGCTAGACAGAAGAATTCCCAGTAACTTCCTTGTGTTGTGTGTGTTCAACTCACAGAGTTGAACTTTCATTTACACAGAGCAGATTTGAAACACTCTTTTTGTGGAATTTGCAAGTGGAGATTTCAAGCGCTTTGAGGCCAAAGGCAGAAAAGGAAATATCTTCGCATAAAAACTAGACAGAATCATTCTCAGAAACTGCTCTGCGATGTGTGCGTTAAACTCTCAGAGTTTAACTTTTCTTTCATTCAGCAGTTTGGAAACACTCTGTTTGTAAAGTCTGCACGTGGATATTTTGACCACTTAGAGGCCTTCGTTGGAAACGGTTTTTTTTCCTGTAAGGCTAGACAGAAGAATTCCCAGTAACTTCCTTGTATTGTGTACATTCAACTCACAGAGTTGAACGTTCCCTTAGACAGAGCAGATTTGAAACACTCTTTTTGTGCAATTGGCAAATGGAGATTTCAAGCGCTTTAAGGTCAATGGCAGAAAAGGAAATATCTTCGTTTCAAAACTAGACAGAATCATTCCCACAAACTGCGTTGTGATGTGTTCGTTCAACTCACAGAGTTTAACCTTTCTGTTCATAGAGCAGTTAGGAAACACTCTGTTTGTAAAGTCTGCAAGTGGATATTCAGACCTCCTAGAGGCCTTCGTTGGAAACGGGATTTCTCCATATTCTGCTAGACAGAAGAATTCTCAGTAACTTCCTTGTGTTGTGTGTATTCAACTCACAGAGTTGAACGATCCCTTTACACAGAGCAGACTTGTAACACTCTTTTTGTGGAATTTGCAAGTGGAGATTTCAGCCGCTTTGAAGTCAAAGGTAGAAAAGGAAATATCTTCCTATAAAAACTAGACAGAATGATTCTCAGAAAATCCTTTGTGATGTGTGCGTTCAACTCACAGAGTTTAACTTTTCTTTTCATAGAGCAGTTAGGAAACACTCTGTTTGTAAAGTCTGCAAGTGGATATTCAGACCTCTTTGAGGCCTTCGTTGGAAACGGGATTTCTTCATATTCTGCTAGACAGAAGAATTCTCAGTAACTTCCTTGTGTTGTGTGTATTCAACTGACAGAGTTGAACTTTCATTTAGAGAGAGCAGATTGAAACACTGTTTTTGTGGAATTTGCAAGTGGAGATTTCAAGCGCTTTGTGGCCAAAGGCAGAAAACGAAATATCTTCGTATAAAAACTAGACAGAATCATTCTCAGAAACTGCTGCGTGATGTGTGCGTTCAACTCTCAGA
This sequence comes from Homo sapiens, assembly GCF_000001405.40. Taxonomy (NCBI): domain Eukaryota; kingdom Metazoa; phylum Chordata; class Mammalia; order Primates; family Hominidae; genus Homo; species Homo sapiens. The sequence goes on from NC_000005.10 coordinate 48,878,589, forward strand.
GTTTAACTTTTCTTTTCATTCAGCGGTTTGGAAACACTCTGTTTGTAAAGTCTGCACGTGGATATTTTGACCACTTAGAGGCCTTCGTTGGAAACGGGTTTTTTTCATGTAAGGTTAGACAGAAGAATTCTCAGTAACTTCCTTGTGTGGTGTGTATTCAACTCACAGAGGTGTACGATCCTTTACACAAAGCAGACTTGAAACACTCTTTTTGTGGAATTTGCAAGTGGAGATTTCAGCCGCTTTGAGGTCAATGGTAGAAAAGGAAATATCTTCGCATAAAGAATAGACAGAATGATTCTCAGAAACTCCTTTGTGATGTGTGCGTTCAACTCACAGAGTTTAACCTTTCTGTTCATAGAGCAGTTAGGAAACACTCTGTTTGTAAAGTCTGCAAGTGGATATTCAGACCTCCTTGAGGCCTTCGGTGGAAACGGGATTTCTTCATATTATGCTAGACAAAAGAATTCTCAGTAACTTCCTTGTGTTGTGTGTATTCAACTCACAGAGTTGAACGATCCTTTACACAGAGCAGACTTGAAACACTGTTTTTGTGGAATTTGCAAGTGGAGATTTCAGCCGCTTTGAGGTCAATGGTAGAATAGGAAATATCTTCCTATAGAAACTAGACAGAATGATTCTCAGAAACTCCTTTGTGATGTGTGCGTTCAACTCACAGAGTTTAACCTTTCTTTTCATAGAGCAGTTAGGAAACACTCTGTTTGTACAGTCTGCAAGTGGATATTCAGACATCCTTGAGGCTTTTGTTGGAAACGGGATTTCTTCATATTCTGCTAGAAAGAAGAATTCTCAGTAACTTCCTTGTGTTGTGTGTATTCAACTGACAGAATTGAACTTTCATTTAGAGAGAGCAGATTTGAAACACTGTTTTTGTGGAAATTGCAAGTGGAGATTTCAAGCGCTTTGGGGCCAAAGGCAGAAAAGGAAATATCTTCGTATAAAAAGTAGACAGAATCATTCTCAGAAACTGCTGCGTGATGTGTGCGTTCAACTCTCAGAGTTTAACTTTTCTTTTCATTCAGCGGTTTGGAAACACTCTGTTTGTAAAGTCTGCACGTGGATATTTTGACCACTTAGAGGCCTTCGTTGGAAACGGGTTTTTTTCATGTAAGGCTAGACAGAAGAATTCCCAGTAACTTCCTTGTGTTGTGTGCATTCAACTCACAGAGTTGAACGTTACCTTAGACAGAGCAGATTTGAAACACTCTATTTGTGCAATTTGCAAGTGTAGATTTCAAGCGCTTTAAGGTCAATGGCAGAAAAGGAAATATCTTCGTTTCAAAACTAGACAGAATCATTCCCACAAACTGCGTTGTGATGTGTTCGTTCAACTCACAGAGTTTAACCTTTCTTTTCATAGAGCAGTTAGGAAACAGTCTGTTTGTCAATTCTGTAAGTGGATATTCTGACATCTTGTGGCCTTCGTTGGAAACGGGATTTCTTCATATTCTGCTAGAAAGAAGAATTCTCAGTAACTTCCTTGTGTTGTGTGTATTCAACTCACAGAGTTGAACGATCTTTTACACAGAGCAGACTTGAAACACTCTTTTTGTGGAATTTGCAAGTGGAGATTTCAGCCCTTTTGAGGTCAATGGTAGAAAAGGAAATATCTTCGTATAAAGACTAGACAGAATGATTCTCAGAAACTCCTTTGTGATGTGTGCGTTCAACTCACAGAGTTTAACCTTTCTTTTCATAGAGCAGTTGGGAAACACTCTGTTTGTAAAGTCTGCAAGTGGATATTCAGACATCCTTGAGGCTTTCGTTGGAAACAGGATTTCTTCATATTCTGCTAGAAAGAAGAATTCCCAGTACCTTCCTTGTGTTGTGTGTGTTCAACTCACAGAGTTGAACTTTCATTTACACAGAGCAGATTTGAAACACTCTTTTTGTGGAATTTGCAAGTGGAGATTTCAAGCGCTTTGAGGCCAAAGGCAGAAAAGGAAATATCTTCGTTTCAAAACTAGACAGAATCATTCTCAGAAACTGCAGCGTGATGTGTGTGTTCAACTCTCAGAGTTTAACTTTTCTTTTCATTCAGCGGTTTGGAAACACTCTGTTTGTAAAGTCTGCACGTGGAAATTTTGACCACTTAGAGGCCTTCGTTGGAAACGGGTTTTTTTCATGTAAGGCTAGACAGAAGAATTCCCAGTAACTTCCTTGTGTTGTGTGCATTCAACTCACAGAGTTGAACGTTCCCTTAGACAGAGCAGATTTGAAACACTCTATTTGTGCAATTTGCAAGTGTAGATTTCAAGCGCTTTAAGGTCAATGGCAGAAAAGGAAATACCTTCGTTTCAAAACTAGACAGAATCATTCCCACAAACTGCGTTGTGATGTGTTCGTTCATCTCACAGAGTTTAACCTTTCTTTTCATAGAGCAGTTAGGAAACATTCTGTTTGTAAATTCTGTAAGTGGATATTCTGACATCTTGTGGCCTTCGTTGGAAACGGGATTTCTTCATATTCTGCTAGACAGAAGAATTCTCAGAATCTTCCTTGTGTTGTGTGTATTCAACTCACACAGTTGAACGATGGTTTACACAGAGCAGATTTGAAACACTCTTTTTGTGGAATTTGCAAGTGGAGATTTCAGCCGCTTTGAGGTCAATGGTAGAAAAGGAAATATCTTCGTATAAAAACTAGAGAGAATGATTCTGAGAAACTCCTTTGTGATGTGTGCGTTCAACTCACACACTTTAACCTTTCTTTTCATAGAGCAATTAGGAAACACTCTGTTTGTAAAGTCTGCAAGTGGATATTCAGACCTCCTTGAGGCCTTCTTTGGAAACGGGATTTCTTCATATTCTGCTAGACAGAAAAATTCTCAGAATCTTCCTTGTGTTGTGTGTATTCAACTCACAGAGTTGAACGATCCTTTACACAGAGCAGATTTGAAACACTCTTTTTGTGGAATTTGCAAGTGGAGATTTCAAGCGCTTTGAGGCTAAAGGCAGAAAAGGAAAATATCTTCGTATAACAACTAGACAGAATCATTCTCAGAAACTGCTGCGTGATGTGTGCGTTCAACTCTCAGAGTTTAACTTTTCTTTTCATTCAGCGGTTTGGAAACACTCTGTTTGTAAAGTCTGCACATGGATATTTTGCCCACTTAGAGGCCTTCGTTGGAAACGGGTTTTTTTCATGTAAGGCTAGACAGAAGAATTCCCAGTAACTTCCTTGTGTTGTGTGCATTCAACTCACAGAGTTGAACGTTCCCTTAGACAGAGCAGATTTGAAACACTCTATTTGTGCAATTTGCAAGTGTAGTTTTCAAGCTCTTTAAGGTCAACGGCAGAAAAGGAAATATCTTGGTTTCAAAACTAGACAGAATCATTCCCACAAACTGCGTTGTGATGTATTCGTTCAACTCACAGAGTTTAACCTTTCTGTTCATAGAGCAGTTAGGAAACACTCTGTTTGTAAAGTCTGTAAGTGGATATTCTGACATCTTGTGGCCCTTCGTTGGAAACGGGATTTCTTCATATTCTGCTAGACAGAAGAATTCTCAGTAACTTCCTTGTGTTGTGTGTATTCAACTCACAGAGTTGAACGATCCTTTACACAGAGCAGACTTGAAACACTCTTTTTGTGGAATTTGCAAGTGGAGATTTCAGCCGCTTTGAGGTCAATGGTAGAATAGGAAATATCTTCCTATAGAAACTAGACAAACGATTCTCAGAAACTCCTTTGTGATGTGTGCGTTCAACTCACAGAGTTTAACCTTTCTGTTCATAGAGCAGTTAGGAAACACTCTATTTGTAAAGTCTGCAAGTGGATATTCAGACCTCTTTGAGGCCTTCGTTGGAAACGGGATTTCTTCATATTCTGCTAGACAGAAGAATTCCCAGTAACTTCCTTGTGTTGTGTGTGTTCAACTCACAGAGTTGAACTTTCATTTACAAAGAGCATATTTGAAACACTCTTTTTGTGGAATTTGCAAGTGGAGATTTCAAGCGCTTTGAGGCCAAAGGCAGAAAAGGAAATATCTTCGTATAAAAACTAGACAGAATCATTCTCAGAAACTGCTCTGCGATGTGTGCGTTCAACTCTCAGAGTTTAACTTTTCTTTTCATTCAGCAGTTTGGAAACACTCTGTTTGTAAAGTCTGCACGTGGATATTTTGACCACTTACAGGCCTTCGTTGGAAACGGGTTTTTTTCCTGTAAGGCTAGACAGAAGAATTCCCAGTAACTTCCTTGTGTTGTGTGCTTTCAACTCACAGAGTTGAACGTTCCCTTAGACAGAGCAGATTTGAAACACTCTATTTGTGCAATTTGCAAGTGTAGATTTCAAGCGCTTTAAGGTCAATGGCAGAAAAGGAAATATCTTCGTTTCAAAACTAGACAGAATCATTCCCACAAACAGCGTTGTGATGTGTTCGTTCAACTCACAGAGTTTAACCTTTCTTTTCATAGAGCAGTTAGGAAAGAGTCTGTTTGTCAATTCTGTAAGTGGATATTCTGACATCTTGTGGCATTCGTTGGAAACGGGATTTCTTCATATTCTGCTAGACAGAAGAATTCTCAGTAACTTCCTTGTGTTGTGTGTATTCAACTCACAGAGTTGAACGATCCTTTACACAGAGCAGACTTGAAACATTCTTTTTGTGGAATTTGCAAGTGGAGATTTCAGCCGCTTTGTGGTCAATGGTAGAATAGGAAATATCTTCCTATAGAAACTAGACAGAATGATTCTCAGAAACTTCTTTGTGATGTGTGCGTTCAACTCACAGAGTTTAACCTTTCTTTTCATAGAGCAGTTAGGAAACACTCTGTTTGTAAACTCTGCAAGTGGACATTCAGACCTCTTTGAGGCCTTCGTTGGAAACGGGATTTCTTCATACTGTGCTAGACAGAAGAATTCTCAGAATCTTCCTTGTGTTGTGTGTATTCAACTCACACAGTTGAACGATCCTTTACACAGAGCAGACTTGGAACACTCTTTTTGTGGAATTTGCAAGTGGAGATTTCAGCCGCTTTGAAGTCAAATGTAGAAAAGGAAATATCTTCCTATAAAAACTAGACAGAATCATTCTCAGAAAATCCTCTGTGATGTGTGCGTTCAACTCTCAGAGTTTAACTTTTCTTTTCATTCAGCAGTTCAGAAACACTCTGTTTGTAAAGTCTGCACGTGGATATTTTGACCACTTAGAGGCCTTCGTTGGAAACGGGTTTTTTTCATATAAGGGTAGACAGGAGAATTCCCAGTAACTTCCTTGTGTTGTGTGCATTCAACTCACAGAGTTGAACGTTCCCTTAGACAGAGCAGATTTGAAACACTCTATTTGTGCAATTTGCAAGTGTAGATTTCAAGCGCTTTAAGGTCAACGGCAGAAAAGGAAATATCTTCGTTTCAAAACTAGACAGAATCATTCCCACAAACTGCGTTGTGATGTGTTCGTTCAACTCACAGAGTTTAACCTTTCTGTTCATAGAGCAGTTAGGAAACACTCTGTTTGTAAAGTCTGTAAGTGGATATTCAGACATCTTGTGGCCTTCGTTGGAAACGGGATTTCTTCATATTCTGCTAGACAGAAGAATTGTCAGAAACTTCCTTGTGTTGTGTGTCTTCAACTCACAGAGTTAAACGATGCTTTACACAGAGTAGACTTGAAACACTCTTTTTCTGGAATTTGCAAGTGGAGATTTCAGCCGCTTTGAGGTCAATGGTAGAAAAGGAAATATCTTCGTATAAAAACTAGACAGAATGATTCTCAGAAACTCCTTTGTGATGTGTGCGTTCAACTCACAGAGTTTAACTTTTCTTCTCATAGAGCAGTTAGGAAACACTCTGTTTGTAAAGTCTGCAAGTGGATATTCAGACCTCTTTGAGGTCTTCGTTGGAAACGGGATTTCTTCATATTATGCTAGACAGAAGAATTCTCAGTAACTTCCTTGTGTTGTGTGTATTCAACTGACAGAGTTGAACTTTCATTTAGACAGAGCAGATTTGAAACACTCTTTTTCCGGAATTTGCAAGTGGAGATTTCAAGCGCTTTGAGGCCAAAGGCAGAAAAGGAAATATCTTCGTATAAAAACTAGACAGAATCATTCTCAGAAACTGCTCTGTGATGTGTGCGTTCAACTCTCAGAGTTTAACTTTTCTTTTCATTCAGCAGTTTGGAAACACTCTGTTTGTAAAGTCTGCACGTGGATATTTTGACCACTTAGAGGCCTTCGTTGGAAACGGGTTTTTTTCATGTAAGGCTAGACAGAAGAATTCCCAGTAATTTCCTTGTATTGTGTGCATTCAACTCACAGAGTTGAACGTTCCCTTAGACAGAGCAGATTTGAAACACTCTATTTGTGCAATTTGCAAGTGTAGATTTCAAGCGCTTTAAGGTCAATGGCAGAAAAGGAAATATCTTCGTTTCAAAACTAGACAGAATCATTCCCACAAACTGCGTTGTGATGTGTGCGTTCAACTCACAGAGTTTAACCTTTCTTTTCATAGAGCAGTTAGGAAACAGTCTGTTTGTCAATTCTGTAAGTGGATATTCTGACATCTTGTGGCCTTCGTTGGAAACGGGATTTCTTCATATTCTCCTAGACAGAAGAATTCTCAGTAACTTCCTTGTGTTGTGTGTATTCAACTCACAGAGTTGAACGATCCTTTACACAGAGCAGACTTGAAACACTCTTTTTCTGGAATTTGCAAGTGGAGATTTCAGCCGCTTTGAGGTCAATGGTAGAATAGGAAATATCTTTCTATAGAAACTAGACAGAATGATTCTGAGAAACTCCTTTGTGATGTGTGCGTACAACTCACAGAGTTTAACCTTTCTTTTCATAGAGCAGTTGGGAAACACTCCGTTTGTAAACTCTGCAAGTGGATATTCAGACCTCCTTGAGGCCTTCGTTGGAAACGGGATTTCTTCATATTATGCTAGACAGAAGAATTCTCAGTAACTTCCTTGTGTTGTGTGTATTCAACTGACAGCAGTTGAACTTTCATTTAGAGAGAGCAGATTTGAAACACTGTTTTTGTGGAATTTGCAATTGGAGATTTCAAGCGCTTTGGGGCCAAAGGCAGAAAAGGAAATATCTTCGTATAAAAACTACACAGAATCATTCTCCGAAACTGCTCTGCGATGTGTGCGTTCAACTCTCAGAGTTTAACTTCTCTTTTCATTCAGCAGTTTGGAAACACTCTGTTTGTAAAGTCTGCACGTGGATAACTTGACCACTTAGAGGCCTTCGTTGGAAACGGGTTTTTTTCATGTAAGGCTAGACAGAAGAATTCTCAGTAACTTCCTTCTGTTGTGTGTATTCATCTCACAGAGTTGAACGATCCTTTACACAGAGCAGACTTGTAACACTCTTTTTGTGCAATTGGCAAATGGAGATGTCAAGCGCTTTAAGGTCAATTGCAGAAAAGAAAATATCTTCGTTTCAAAACTAGACAGAATGATTCTCAGAAACTTCTTTGTGATGTGTGCGTTCAACTCACAGAGTTTAACCTTATTTTTCATAGAGCAGTTAGGAAACACTCTGTTTGTAAACTCTGCAAGTGGATATTCAGACCTCTTTGGGGCCTTCGTTGGAAACGGGATTTCTTCATACTATGCTAGACAGAAGAATTCTCAGTAACTTCCTTGTGTTGTGTGTATTCAACTCACAGAGTTGAACGATCCTTTACACAGAGCAGACTTGAAACACTCTTTTTGTGGAATTTGCAAGTGGAGATTTCAAGCGCTTTGAGGCCAAAGGCAGAAAAGGAAATATCTTCGTATAAAAACTAGACAGAATGATTCTCAGAAACTTCTTTGTGATGTGTGTGTTCAACTCACAGAGTTTAACCTTTCTTTTCATAGAGCAGTTAGGAAACACTGTGTTTTTAAACTCTGCAAGTGGATATTCAGACCTCTTTGAGGCCTTTCCTTGGAAACGGGTTTCTTCATACTGTGCTAGACAGAAGAATTCTCAGTAACTTCCTTGTGTTGTGTGTATTCAACTGACAGAGTTGAACTTTCATTTAGAGAGAGCAGATTTGAAACACTGTTTTTGTGGAATTTGCAAGTGGAGATTTCAAGCGCTTTGGGGCCAAAGGCAGAAAAGGAAATATCTTCGTATAAAAATTAGACAGAATCATTCTCAGAAACTGCTGCGTGATGTGTGCGTTCAACTCTCAGAGTTTAACTTTTCTTTTCATTCAGCGGTTTGGAAACACTCTGTTTGTAAAGTCTGCACGTGGATATTTTGCCCACTTAGAGGCCTTCGTTGGAAACGGGTTTTTTTCATGTAAGGCTAGACAGAAGAATTCCCAGTAACTTCCTTGTGTTGTGTACATTCAACTCACAGAGTTGAACGTTCCCTTAGACAGAGCAGATTTGAAACACTCTTTTTGTGCAATTGGCAAATGGAGATTTCAAGCGCTTTAAGGTCAATGGCAGAAAAGGGAATATCTTCGTTTCAAAACTAGACAGAATCATTCCCACAAACTGCGTTGTGATGTGTTCGTTCAACTCACAGAGTTTAACCTTTCTGTTCATAGAGCAGTTAGGAAACACTCTGTTTGTAAAGTCTGTAAGTGGATATCCTGACATCTTGTGGCCTTCGTTGGAAAAGGGATTTCTTCATATTCTGCTAGACAGAAGAATTCTCAGAAACTTCCTGGTGTTGCGTGTTTTCAACTCACAGAGTTCTACGATCCTTTACACAGAGTAGACTTGAAAAACTCTTTTTGTTGAATTGGCCAGTGGAGATTTCAGCCGCTTTGAGGTCAATGGTAGAAAAGGAAATATCTTCGTATAAAAACTAGACAGAATGATTCTCAGAAACTCCTTTGTGATGTGTGCGTTCAACTCACAGAGTTTAACCTTTCTTTTCATAGAGCAGTTAGGAAACACTCTGTTTGTAAAGTCTGCAAGTGGATATTCAGACATCTTTGAGGCTTTCGTTGGAAACGGGATTTCATCATATTCTGCTAGACAGAAGAATTCCCAGTAACTTCCTTGTGTTGTGTGTGTTCAACTCACAGAGTTGAACTTTCATTTACACAGAGCAGATTTGAAACACTCTTTTTGTGGAATTTGCAAGTGGAGATTTCAAGCGCTTTGAGGCCAAAGCAGAAAAGGAAATATCTTCGTTTCAAAACTAGACAGAATCATTCTCAGAAACTGCTGCGTGATGTGTGCGTTCAACTCTCAGAGTTTAACTTTTCTTTTCATTCAGCGGTTTGGAAACACTCTGTTTGTAAAGACTGCACGTGGATATTTTGACCCCTTAGAGGTCTTCGTTGGAAACGGGTTTTTTTCATGTAAGGCTAGACAGAAGAATTCCCAGTAACTTCCTTGTGTTGTGTGCATTCAACTCACAGAGTTGAACGTTCCCTTAGACAGAGCAGATTTGAAACACTCTATTTGTGCAATTTGCAAGTGTAGTTTTCAAGCTCTTTAAGGTCAACGGCAGAAAAGGAAATATCTTCGTTTCAAAACTAGACAGAATCATTCCCACAAACTGCGTTGTGATGTGTTCGTTCAACTCACAGAGTTTAACCTTTGTTTTCATAGAGGAGTTAGGAAACAGTCTGTTTGTAAATTCTGTAAGTGGATATTCTGACATCTTGTGGCCTTCGTTGGAAACGGGATTTCTTCATATTCTGCTAGACAGAAGAATTCTCAGTTACTTCCTTGTGTTGTGTGTATTCAACTCAAAGAGTTCAACGATCCTTTCTACAGGGCAGACTTGAAACACTCTTTTTGTGGAATTTGCAAGTGGAGATCTCAGCCGCTTTGTGGTCAATAGTAGAAAAGGAAATATCTTCGTATAAAAACTAGACAGAATGATTCTCAGAAACTCCCTTGTGATGTGTGCGTTCAACTCACAGAGTTTAACCTTTCTTTTCATAGAGCAGTTAGGAAACACTCTGTTTGTAAAGTCTGCAAGTGGATATTCAGACTTCTTTGAGGCCTTCGTTGGAAACGGGATTTCTTCATATTCTGCTAGACAGAAGAATTCTCAGTAACTTCCTTGTGTTGTGTGTATTCAACTGACAGAGTTGAACTTTCATTTAGAGACAGCAGATTTGAAACACTGTTTTTGTGGAAGTTGCAAGTGGAGATTTCAAGCGCTTTGGGGCCAAAGGCAGAAAAGGAAATATCTTCGTATAAAAACTAGACAGAATCATTCTCAGAAAATGCTCTGTGATGTGTGCGTTCAACTCTCAGAGTTTAACTTTTCTTTTCATTCAGCAGTTTGGAAACACTCTGTTTGTAAAGTCTGCACGTGGATATTTTGACCACTTAGAGGCCTTCGTTGGAAACGGGTTTTTTTCATGTAAGGGTAGAAAGAAGAATTCCCAGTAACTTCCTTGTGTTGTGTGCATTCAACTCACAGAGTTGAACGTTCCTTTAGACAGAGCAGATTTGAAACACTCTATTTGTGCAATTTGCAAGTGTAGTTTTCAAGCTCTTTAAGGTCAACGGCAGAAAAGGAAATATCTTGGTTTCAAAACTAGACAGAATCATTCCCACAAACTGCGTTGTGATGTGTTCGTTCAACTCACAGAGTTTAACCTTTCTTTTCATAGACCAGTTAGGAAACAGTCTGTGTGTAAATTCTGTAAGTGGATATTCTGACATCTTGTGGCCTTCGTTGGAAACGGGATTTCTTCATATTCTGCTAGACAGAAGAATTCTCAGAATCTTCCTTGTGTTCTGTGTATTCAACTCACAGAGTTGAACGATCCTTTACACAGAGCAGACTTGAAACACTCTTTTTGTGGAATTTGCAAGTGGAGATTTCAGCCGCTTTGAGGTCCATGGTAGAAAAGGAAATATCTTCGTATAAAAACTAGACAGAATGATTCTCAGAAACTTCATTGTGATGTGTGCGTTCAACTCACAGAGTTTAACCTTTCTTTTCATAGAGCAGTTAGGAAGCACTCTGTTTGTCAACTCTGCAAGTGGATATTCAGACCTCTTTGAGGCCTTCGTTGGAAACGGGATTTCTTCATACTGTGCTAGACAGAAGAAATCTCACTAACTTCCTTGTGTTGTGTGTATTCAACTCACAGAGTTGAACGATCCTTTACACAGAGCGGACTTGAAACACTCATTTTGTGGAATTTGCAAGTGGAGATTTCAGCCGCGTTGAGGTCAATGGTAGAAAAGGAAATATCTTCGTATAAAAACTAGACAGAATCATTCTCAGAAACTGCTGCGTGATGTGTGCGTTCAACTCTCAGAGTTTAACTTTTCTTTTCATTCAGCGGTTTGGAAACACTCTGTTTGTAAAGTCTGCACGTGGATATTTTGACCACTTAGAGGCCTTCGTTGGAAACGGGTTTTTTTCATGTAAGGCTAGACAGAAGAATTCCCAGTAACTTCCTTGTGTTGCGTGCATTCAACTCACAGAGTTGAACGTTCCCTTAGACAGAGCAGATTTGAAACACTCTATTTGTGCAATTTGCAAGTGTAGATTTCAAGCGCTTTAAGGTCAACGGCAGAAAAGGAAATATCTTCGTTTCAAAACTAGACAGAATCATTCCCACAAACTGCGTTGTGATGTGTTCGTTCAACTCACAGAGTTTAACCTTTCTTTTCATAGTGCAGTTAGGAAACAGTCTGTTTGTAAATTCTGTAAGTGGATATTCTGACATCTTGTGGCCTTCGTTGGAAACGGGATTTCTTCATATTCTGCTAGACAGAAGAGTTCTCAGTAACTTCCTTGTGTTGTGTGTATTCAACTCACAGAGTTGAACGATCCTTTACACAGAGCAGACTTGTAACACTCTTTTTGTGGAATTTGCAAGTGGAGATTTCAGCCGCTTTGAAGTCAAAGGTAGAAAAGGAAATATCTTCCTATAAAAACTAGACAGAATGATTCTCAGAAACTCCTTTGTGATGTGTGCGTTCAACTCACAGAGTTTAACCTTTCTTTTCATAGAGCAGTTAGGAAACACTCTGTTTGTAAAGTCTGCAAGTGGATATTCAGACCTCTTTGAGGCCTCCGTTGGAAACGGGTTTTTTTCATATAAGGCTAGACAGAAGAATTCCCCAGTAACTTCCCTTGTGTTGTGTGTGTTCAACTCACAGAGTTGAACTTTCATTTACACAGAGCAGATTTGAAACACTCTTTTTGTGGAATTTGCAGGTGGAGATTTCAAGCGCTTTGAGGCCAAAGGCAGAAAAGGAAATATCTTCGTATAAAAACTAGACAGAATCATTCTCAGAAACTGCTCTGCGATGTGTGCGTTCAACTCTCAGAGTTTAACTTTTCTTTTCATTCAACAGTTTGAAAACACTCTCTTTGTAAAGTCTGCACGTGGATATTTTGACCACTTAGAGGCCTTCGTTGGAAACGGGTTTTTTTCTTGTAAGGCTAGACAGAAGAATTCCCAGTAACTTCCTTGTGTTGTGTGCATTCAACTCACAGAGTTGAACCTTCCCTTAGACAGAGCAGATTTGAAACACTCTATTTGTGCAATTTGCAAGTGTAGATTTCAAGCGCTTTAAGGTCAATGGCAGAAAAGGAAATATCTTAGTTTCAAAACTAGACAGAATGATTCTCAGAAACTCTTTTGTGATGTGTGCGTTCAACTCACAGAGTTTAACCTTTCTGTTCATAGAGCTGGTAGGAAACACTCTGTTTGTAAAGTTTGCAAGTGGATATTCAGACCTCCTTGAGGCCTTCGTTGGAAACGGGATTTCTTCATATTCTGCTAGACAGAAGAATTCTCAGTAACTTCCTTGTGTTGTGTGTTTTCAACTCACAGAGTTGAACGATCCTTTACACAGAGCAGACTTGAAACACTCTTTTTGTGGAATTTGCAAGTGGAGATTTCAGCCGCTTTGAGGTCAATGGTAGAATAGGAAATATCTTCCTGTAGAAACTAGACAGAATGATTCTCAGAAACTCCTTTGAGATGTGTGCGTTCAACTCACAGAGTTTAACCTTTCTTTTCATAGAGCAGTTAGGAAACACTCTGTTTGTAAAGTCTCCAAGTGGATATTCAGACCTCTTTGAGGCCTTCGTTGGAAACGGGTTTTTTTCATATAAGGCTAGACAGAAGAATTCTCAGTAACTTCCTTCTGTTGTATGTATTCAACTGACAGAGTTGAACTTTCATTTAGAGAGAGCAGATTTGAAACACTGTTTTTGTGGAATTTGCAAGTGGAGATTTCAAGCGCTTCGGGGCCAAAGGCAGAAAAGGAAATATCTTCGTATAAAAACTAGACAGAATCATTCTCAGAAACTGCTGCGTGATGTGTGGGATTACCTCTCAGAGTTTTACTTTTCTTTTCATTCAGCGGTTTGGAAACACTCTGTTTGTAAAGTCTGCACGTGGATATTTTGACCACTTAGAGGCCTTCGTTGGAAACGGGTTTTTTTCATGTAAGGCTAAACAGAAGAATTCCCAGTAACTTCCTTGTGTTGTGTACATTCACCTCACAGAGTTGAACGTTCCCTTAGACAGAGCAGATTTGAAACACTCTTTTTGTGCAATTGGCAAATGGAGATTTCAAGCGCTTTAAGGTCAATGGCAGAAAAGGAAATATCTTCGTTTCAAAACTAGACAGAATCATTCCCACAAACTGCGTTGTGATGTGTTCGTTCAACTCACAGAGTTTAACCTTTCTTTTCATAGAGCAGTTAGGAAACAGTCTGTTTGTCAATTCTGTAAGTGGATATTCTGACATCTTGTGGCCTTCGTTGGAAACGGGATTTCCTCATATTCTGCTAGACAGAAGAATTCCCAGTAACTTCCTTGTGTTGTGTACATTCAACTCACAGAGTTGAACGTTCCCTTAGACAGAGCAGACTTGTAACACTCTTTTTGTGGAATTTGCAAGTGGAGATTTCAGCCGCTTTGAAGTCAAATGTAGAAAAGGAAATATCTTCCTATAAAAACTAGACAGAATGATTCTCAGAAACTCCTTTGTGATGTGTGTGTTCAACTCACAGAGTTTAACGTTTCTTTTCATAGAGCAGTTAGTAAACACTCAGTTTATAAAGTCTGCAAGTGGATATTCAGACCCCTTTGAGGCCTTCGTTGGAAACGGGATTTCTTCATATTATGCTACACAGAAGAATTCCCAGTAACTTCCTTGTGATGTGTGTGTTCAACTCACAGAGTTGAACTTTCATTTACACAGAGCAGATTGGAAACACTCTTTTTGTGGAATTTGCAAGTGGAGATTTCAAGCGCTTTGAGGCCAAAGGCAGAAAAGGATATATCTTCGTATAAAAACTACACAGAATCATTCTCAGAAACTGCTCTGCGATGTGTGCGTACAACTCTCAGAGCTTAACTTTTCTTTTCATTCAGCAGTTTGGAAACACTCTGTTTGTAAAGTCTGCACGTGGATAATTTGACCACTTAGAGACCTTCGTTGGAAACGGGTTTTTTTCATGTAAGGCTAGACAGAAGAATTCCCAGTAACTTCCTTGTGTTGTGTACATTCAACTCACAGAGTTGAAGGTTCCCTTAGACAGAGCAGATTTGAAACACTCTTTTTGTGCAATTGGCAAGTGGAGATTTCAAGCGCTTTAAGGTCAATGGCAGAAAAGGAAATATCTTCGTTTCAAAACTAGACAGAATAATTCTCAGAAACTCCTTTGTGATGTGTGCGTTCAACTCACAGAGTTTAACCTTTCTTTTCATAGAGCAGTTCGGAAACACTCTGTTTGTAAAGTCTGCAAGTGGATATTCAGACCTCCCTGAGGCCTTCTTTGGAAACGGGATTTCTTCATATTATGCTAGACAGAAGAATTCTCAGTAACTTCCTTGTGTTGTGTGTATTCAACTCACAGAGTTGAACAATCCTTTACACAGAGCAGACTTGAAACACTCTTTTTGTGGAATTTGCAAGTGGAGATTTCAGCCGCTTTGAGGTCAATGTTAGAATAGGAAATATCTTCCTATAGAAACTAGACAGAACGATTCTCAGAAACTCCTTTGTGATGTGTGCGTTCAACTCACAGAGTTTAACCTTTCTTTTCATAGAGCAGTTAGGAAACACTCTGTTTGTAACGTCTGCAAGTGGATATTCAGACCTCCTTGAGGCCTTCGTTGGAAACGGGATTTCTTCATATTCTGCTAGACAGAAGAATTCCCAGTAACTTCCTTGTGTTGTGTGTGTTCAACTCACAGAGTTGAACTTTCATTTACACAGAGCAGATTTGAAACACTCTTTTTGTGGAATTTGCAAATGGAGATTTCAAGCGCTTTGAGGCCAAAGGCAGGAAAGGAAATATCTTCGTATAAAAACTAGACAGAATCATTCTCAGAAACTGCTCTGCGA
This sequence comes from Homo sapiens, assembly GCF_000001405.40. Classification (NCBI taxonomy): domain Eukaryota; kingdom Metazoa; phylum Chordata; class Mammalia; order Primates; family Hominidae; genus Homo; species Homo sapiens. The sequence continues at coordinate 48,893,860 of NC_000005.10, forward strand.
TGTGTGCGTTCAACTCTCAGAGTTTAACTTTGCTTTTCATTCAGCAGTTTGGAAACACTCTGTTTGTAAAGTCTGCACCTGGATAATTTGACCACTTAGAGGCCTTCGTTGGAAACGGGTTTTTTTCATGTAAGGCTAGACAGAAGAATTCCCAGTAACTTCCTTGTTTTGCGTGTGTTCAACTCACAGAGTTGAACTTTCATTTACACAGAGCAGATTTGAAACACTCTTTTTGTGGAATTTGCAAGTGGAGATTTCAAGCGCTTTGAGGGCAAAGGCAGAAAAGGAAATATCTTCGTTTCAAAACTAGACAGAATCATTCCCACAAACTGCGTTGTGATGTGTTCGTTCAACTCACAGAGTTTAACCTTTCTTTTCATAGAGCAGTTAGGAAACACTCTGTTGGTAAATTCTGTAAGTGGATATTCTGACATCTTGTGGCCTTCGTTGGAAACGGGATTTCTTCATCTTCTGCTAGACAGAACAATTCTCAGTAACTTCCTTGTGTTGTGTGTATTCAACTCACAGAGTTGAATGATCCTTTACACAGAACAGTCTTGAAACACTCTTTTTGTGGAATTTGCAAGTGGAGATTTCAGCCGCTTTGAGGTCCATGGTAGAATAGGAAATATCTTCCTATAGAAACTAGACAGAATGATTCTCAGAAACTCCTTTGTGATGTGTGCGTTCAACTCAGAGAGTTTAACTTTTCTTTTCATAGAGCAGTTAGGAAACACTCTGTTTGTAAAGTCTGCAAGTGGATATTCCGACCTCTTTGAGGCCTTCGTTGGAAACGGGATTTCTTCATATTATGCTAGACAGAAGAATTCCCAGTAACTTCCTTGTGTTGTGTGTGTTCAACTCACAGAGTTGAACTCTCATTTACACAGAGCAGATTTGAAACACTCTTTTTGTGGAATTTGCAAGTGGAGATTTCAAGCGCTTTGAGGTCAAAGGCAGAAAAGGAAATATCTTCGTATAAAAACTAGACAGAATCATTCTCAGCAACTGCTGCGTGATGTGTGCGTTCAACTCTCAGAGTTTACCTTTTCTTTTCATTCAGCGGTTTGGAAACACTATGTTTGTAAAGTCTGCACGTGGATATTTTGACCACTTAGAGGCCTTCGTTGGAAACGGGATTTTTTCATGTAAGGCTAGACAGAAGAATTCCCAGTAACTTCCTTGCGTTGTGTACATTCAACTCACAGAGTTGAACGTTCCCTTAGACAGAGCAGATTTGAAACACTCTTTTTGTGCAATTGGCAAGTGGAGATTTCAAGCGCTTTAAGGTCAATGGCAGAAAAGGAAATATCTTCGTTTCAAAACTAGACAGAATCATTCCCACAAACTGCGTTGTGATGTGTTCGTTCAACTCACAGAGTTTAACCTTTCTTTTCATAGAGCAGTTAGGAACCAGTCTGTTTGTAAATTCTGTAAGTGGATATTCTGACATCTTGTGACCTTCGTTGGAAACGGGATTTCTTCATATTCTGCTAGACAGAAGAATTCTCAGTAACTTCCTTGTGTTGTGTGTATTGAACTCACAGAGTTGAACGATCCTTTACACAGAGCAGACTTGAAACATTCTTTTTGTGGAATTTGCAAGTGGAGATTTCAGCCGCTTTGAGGTCAATGGTAGAATAGGAAATATCTTTCTATAGAAACTAGACAGAATGATTCTGAGAAACTCCTTTGTGATGTGTGCGTTCAACTCACAGAGTTTAACCTTTCTTTTCATAGAGCAGTTAGGAAACACTCTGTTTGTAAAGTCTGCAAGTGGATATTCAGACCTCTTTGAGGCCTTCGTTGGAAACGGGATTTCTTCATATTCTGCTAGACAGAAGAATTCTCAGTAACTTCCTTGTGTTGTGTGTATTCAACTGACAGAGTTGAACTTTCATTTAGAGAGAGCAGATTTGAAACACTGTTTTTGTGGAATTTGCAAGTGTATATTTCAAGCGCTTTGGGGCCAAAGGCAGAAAAGGAAATATCTTCGTATAAAAACTAGACAGAATCATTCTCAGAAACTGCTCTGCGATGTGTGCGTTCAACTCTCAGAGTTTAACTTTTCTTTTCATTCAGCAGTTTGGAAACACTCTGTTTGTAAAGTCTGCACCTGGATAACTTGACCACTTAGAGGCCTCCGTTGGAAACGGGTTTTTTTCCTGTAAGGCTAGACAGAAGAATTCCCAGTAACTTCCTTGTGTTGTGTACATTCAACTCACAGAGTTGAACGTTCCCTTATACAGAGCAGATTTGAAAAACTCTTTTTATGCAATTGGCAAGTGGTGATTTCAGCCGCTTTGAGGTCAATGGTAGAAAAGGAAATAACTTCGTATAAAAATTAGACAGAATCATTCCCAAAAACTGCGTTGTGATGTGTTCGTTCATCTCACAGAGTTTAACCTTTCTTTTCATAGAGCAGTTAGGAAACAGTCTGTTTGTAAATTCTGTAAGTGGATATTCTGACATCTTGTGGCCTTCGTTGGAAACGGGATTTCTTCATATTCTGCTAGACAGAAGAATTCTCAGGAACTTCCTTGTGTTGTGTGAATTCAACTCACAGAGTTCAACGATCCTTTACACAGAGCAGACTTGAAACACTCTTTTTGTGGAATTTGCAAGTGGAGATTTCAGCCGCTTTTAGGTCAATGGTAGAATAGGAAATATCTTCCTATAGAAACTAGACAGATGATTCTCAGAAACTCCTTTGTGATGTGTGCGTTCAACTCACAGAGTTTAACCTTTCTTTTCTTAGAGCAGTTAGGAAACACTCTGTTTATAATGTCTGCAAGTGGATATTCAGACCCCTTTGAGGCCTTCGTTGGAAACGGGATTTCTTCATATTATGCTAGACAGAAGAATTCTCAGTAACTTCCTTGTGTTGTGTGTATTCAACTGACAGAGTTGAACTTTCATTTAGAGAGAGCAGATTTGAAACACTGTTGTTGTGGAATTTGCAAGTGGAGATTTCAAGCGCTTTGGGACCAAAGGCAGAAAAGGAAATATCTTCGTATAAAAACTAGACAGAATCATTCTCAGAAACTGCTGCGTGATGTTTGCGTTCAACTCTCAGAGTTTAACTTTTCTTTTCATTCAGCGGTTTGGAAACACTCTGTTTGTAAAGTCTGCACGTGGAAATTTTGACCACTTAGAGGCCTTCGTTGGAAAAGGGTTTTTTTCATGTAAGGCTAGACAGAAGAATTCCCAGTAACTTCCTTGTGTTGTGTACATTCAACTCACAGAGTTGAACGTTCCCTTAGACAGAGCAGATTTGAAACACTCTTTTTGTGCAATTGGCAAATGGAGATTTCAAGCGCTTTAAGTTCAATGGCAGAAAAGGAAATATCTTCGTTTCAAAACTAGACAGAATCATTCCCACAAACTGCGTTGTGATGTGTTCGTTCAACTCACAGAGTTTAAACTTTCTGTTCATAGAGCAGTTAGGAAACACTCTGTTTGTAAAGTCTGTAAGTGGATATTCCGACATCTTTTGGCCTTCGTTGGAAACGGGATTTCTTCATATTCTACTAGACAGAAGAATTCTCAGTAACTCCTTTGTGTTGTGTGTATTCAACTCACAGAGTTGAACGATCCTTTACACAGAGCAGACTTGAAACACTCTTTTTGTGGAATTTGCAAGTGGAGATTTCAGCCGCTTTGAGGTCAATGGTAGAATAGGAAATATCTTCCTATAGAAACTAGACAGAATGATTCTCAGAAACTTCTTTGTGATGTGTGCGCTCAACTCACAGAGTTTAACCTTTCTTTTCATAGAGCAGTTAGGAAACACTCTGTTTGTAAACTCTGCAAGTGGATATTCAGACCTCTTTGAGGCCTTCGTTGGAAACGGGATTTCTTCATATTATGCCTGAGAGAAGAATTCTCAGTAACTTCCTTGTGTTGTGTGTATTCAACTCACAGAGTTGAACGATCCTTTACACAGAGCAGACTTGGAACACTCTTTTTGTGGAATTTGCAAGTGGAGATTTCAGCCGCGTTGAGATCAATGGTAGAAAAGGAAATATCTTCGTATAAAAACTAGACAGAATGATTCTCAGAAACTCCTTTGAGATGTGTGTGTTCAACTCACAGAGTTTAACCTTTCTTTTCATAGAGCAGTTAGGAATCACTCTGTTTGTAAAGTCTGCAAGTGGATATTCAGACCTCTTTGAGGCCTTCGTTGGAAACGGGTTTTTTTCATATAAGGCTAGACAGAAGAATTCTCAGTAACTTCCTTGTGTTGTGTGTATTCAACTGACAGAGTTGAACTTTCATTTAGAGAGAGCAGATTTGAAACACTGTTTTTGTGGAATTTGCAAGTGGAGATTTCAAGCGCTTTGTGGCCAAAGGCAGAAAACGAAATATCTTCGTATAAAAACTAGACAGAATCATTCTCAGAAACTGCTGCGTGATGTGTGCGTTCAACTCTCAGAGTTTAACTTTTCTTTTCATTCAGCGGTTTGGAAACACTCTGTTTGTAAAGTCTGCACGTGGACATTTTGACCACTTAGAGGCCTTAGTTGGAAACGGGTTTTTTTCATGTAAGGCTAGACAGAAGAATTCCCAGTAACTTCCTTGTGTTGTGTACATTCAACTCACAGAGTTGAACGTTCCCTTAGACAGAGCAGATTTGAAACACTCTTTTTGTGCAATTGGCAAGTGGAGATTTCAAGCGCTTTGAGGTCAATGGCAGAAAAGGAAATATCTTCGTTTCAAAACTAGACAGATTCATTCCCACAAACTGCGTTGTGATGTGTTCGTTCAACTCACAGAGTTTAACCTTTCTGTTCATAGAGCAGTTAGGAAACACTCTGTTTGTAAAGTCTGCCAGTGGATATTCAGACCTCCTTGAGGCCTTCGTTGGAAACGGGATTTCTTCATATTCTGCTAGACAGAAGAATTCTCAGTAACTTCCTTGTGTTGTGTGTATTCAACTCACAGAGTTGAACGATCCTTTACAGAGAGCAGACTTGAAACACTCTTTTTGTGGAAATTGCAAGTGGAGATTTCAGCTGCTTTGAGGTCAATGGTAGAATAGGAAATATCTTCCTATAGAAACTAGACAGAATGATTCTCAGAAACTCCTTTGTGATGTGTGCGTTCAACTCACAGAGTTTAACCTTTCTTTTCATAGAGCAGTTAGGAAACACTCTGTTTGTAAAGTCTGCAAGTGGATATTCAGACCTCCTTGAGGGTTCGTTGGAAACGGGATTTCTTCATATTATGCTAGACAGAAGAATTCCCAGTAACTTCCTTGTGTTGTGTGTGTTCAACTCACAGAGTTGAACTTTCATTTACACAGAGCAGATTTGAAACACTCTTTTTGTGGAATATGCAAGTGGAGATTTCAAGCGCTTTGAGGCCAAAGGCAGAAAAGGAAATATCTTCGTTTGAAAACTAGACAGATATCATTCTCAGAAACTGCTGCGTGATGTGTGCGTTCAACTCTCAGAGTTTAACTTTTCTTTTCATTCAGCGGTTTGGAAACACTCTGTTTGTAAAGTCTGCACGTGGATATTTTGACCACTTAGAGGCCTTCGTTGGATACGGGTTTTTTTTCATGTAAGGCTAGACAGAAGAATTCCCAGTAACTTCCTTGTGTTGTGTGCATTCAACTCACAGAGTTGAACGTTCCCTTAGACAGAGCAGATTTGAAACACTCTATTTGTGCAATTTGCAAGTGTAGATTTCAAGCGCTTTAAGGTCAACGGCAGAAAAGGAAATATCTTCGTTTCAAAACTAGACAGAATCATACCCACAAACTGCGTTGTGATGTGTTCGTTCAACTCACAGAGTTTAACCTTTCTGTTCATAGAGCAGTTAGGAAACACTCTGTTTGTAAAGTCTGTAAGTGGATATTCTGACATCTTGTGGCCTTCGTTGGAAACGGGATTTCTTCATATTCTGCTAGACAGAAGAATTCTCAGAATCTTCCTTGTGTTGTGTGTATTCAACTCACAGAGTTGAACGATCCTTTACACAGAGCAGACTTGAAACACTCTTTTTGTGGAATTTGCAAGTGGAGATTTCAGCCGCTTTGAGGTCCATGGTAGAAAAGGAAATATCTTCGGTATAAAAACTAGACAGAATGATTCTCAGAAACTCCTTTGAGATGTGTGTGTTCAACTCACAGAGTTTAACCTTTCTTTTCATAGAGCAGTTAGGAATCACTCTGTTTGTAAAGTCTGCAAGTGGATATTCAGACCTCTTTGAGGCCTTCGTTGGAAACGGGTTTTTTTCATATAAGGCTAGAGAGAAGAATTCCCAGTAACTTCCTTGTGTTGTGTGTGTTCAACCCACAGAGTTGAACTTCCATTTACACAGAGCAGATTTGAAACACTCTTTTTGTGGAATTTGCAAGTGGAGATTTCAAGCGCTTTGAGGCCAAAGGCAGAAAAGGAAATATCTTCGTTTCAAAACTAGACAGAATCATTCTCAGAAACTGCTCTGCGATGTGTGCGTTCAACTCTCAGAGTTTAACTTTTCTTTTCATTCAGCAGTTTGGAAACACTCTGTTTGTAAAGTCTGCACGTGGATAATTTGACCACTTAGAGGCCTTCTTTGGAAACGGGTTTTTTTCATATAAGGCTAGACAGAAGAATTCCCAGTAACTTCCTTGTGTTGTGTACATTCAACTCACAGAGTTGAACGTTCCCTTAGACAGAGCAGATTTGAAACACTCTTTTTGTGCAATTAGCAAGTGGAGATTTCAAGCGCTTTAAGGTCAATGGCAGAAAAGGAAATATCTTACTTTCAAAACTAGACAGAATGATTCTCAGAAACTTCTTTGTGATGTGTGCGTTCAACTCACAGAGTTTAACCTTTCTTTTCATAGAGCAGTTAGGAAACACTCTGTTTATAAACTCTGCAAGTGGATATTCAGACCTCTTTGAGGCCTTCGTTGGAAACGGGATTTCTTCATACTGTGCTAGACAGAAGAATTCTCAGTAACTTCCTTGTGTTGCGTGTATTCAACTCACAGAGTTGAACGATCCTTTACACAGAGCGGGCTTGAAACACTCTTTTTGTGGAATTTGCAAGTGGAGATTTCAGCCGCGTTGAGGTCAATGGTAGAAAAGGAAATATCTTCGTATAAAAACTAGACAGAATGATTCTCATAAACTCCTTTGTGATGTGTGAATTCAACTCACAGAGTTTCACCTTTCTTTTCATAGAGCAGTTAGGAAACACTCTGTTTGTAAAGTCTGCAAGTGGATATTCAGACCTCCTTGAGGCCTTCGTTGGAAACGGGATTTCTTCATATTCTGCTAGACAGAAGCAATTCCCACTAACTTCCTTGTGTTGTGTGTGTTCAACTCACAGGAGTTGAACTTTCATTTACACAGAGCAGATTTGAAACACTCTTTTTGTGGAATTTGAAAGTGGAGATTTCAAGCGCTTTGAGGCCAAAGGCAGAAAAGGAAATATCTTCGTTTCAAAACTAGACAGAATCATTCTCTGAAACTGCTGCGTGATGTGTGCGTTCAACTCTCAAAGTTTAACTTTTCTTTTCATTCAGCTGTTTGGAAACACTCTGTTTGTAAAGTCTGTACGTGGAAATTTTGACCACTTAGAGGCCTTCGTTGGAAACGGGTTTTTTTCATGTAAGGCTAGACAGAAGAATTCCCAGTAACTTCCTTGTGTTGTGTACATTCAACTCACAGAGTTGAACGTTCCCTTAGACAGAGCAGATTTGAAACACTCTTTTTGTGCAATTGGCAAGTGGAGATTTCAAGCGCTTTAAGGTCAATGGCAGAAAAGGAAATATCTTCGTTTCAAAACTACACAGAATGATTCTCAGAAACTCCTTTGTGATGTGTGCATTCAACTCACAGAGTTTAACCTTTCTTTTCATAGAGCAGTTAGGAAACACTCTGTTTGTAAAGTCTGCAAGTGGATATTCAGACATCTTTGAGGCTTTCGTTGGAAACGGGATTTCTTCATATTCTGCTAGAAAGAAGAATTCTCAGTAACTTCCTTGTGTTGTGTGTATTCAACTCACAGACTTGAATGATCCTTTACACAGAACAGTCTTGAAAGACTCTTTTTGTGGAATTTGCAAGTGGAGATTTCAGCCGCTTTGAGGTCAATGGTAGAATAGGAAATATCTTCCAATAGAAACTAGACAGAATGACTCTCAGAAACTCCTTTGTGATGTGTGTGTTCAACTCACAGAGTTTAACCTTTCTTTTCATAGAGCAGTTAGTAAACACTCTGTTTATAAAGTCTGCAAGTGGATATTCAGACCCCTTTGAGGCCTTCGTTGGAAACGGGATTTCTTCATATTCTGCTAGACAGAAGAATTCCCAGTAACTTCCTTGTGTTGTGTGTGTTCAACTCACAGAGTTGAACTTTCATTTACACAGAGCAGATTTGAAACAGTCTTTTTGTGGAATTTGCAAGTGGAGATTTCAAGCGCTTTGAGGCCAAAGGCAGAAAAGGAAATATCTTCGTATAAAAACTAGACAGAATCATTCTCAGAAACTGCTGCGTGATGTGTGCGTTCAACTCTCAGAGTTTAACTTTTCTTTTCATTCAGCGGTTTGGAAACACTCTGTTTGTAAAGTCTGCACGTGGATATTTTGACCACTCAGAGGCCTTCGTTGGAAACGGGTTTTTTTCATGTAAGGCTAGACAGAAGAATTCCCAGTAACTTCCTTGTGTTGTGTACATTCAACTCACAGAGTTGAACGTTCCCTTAGACAGAACAGATTTGAAACACTCTTTTTGTGCAATTGGCAAGTGGTGATTTCAGCCGCTTTGGGGTCAATGGTAGAAAAGGAAATATCTTCGTATAAAAACTAGACAGAATGATTCTCAGAAACTCCTTTGTGATGTGTGCGTTCAACTCACAGAGTTTAACCTTTCTTTTCATAGAGCAGTTAGGAAACACTCTGTTTGTAAAGTCTGCAAGTGGATATTCAGACCTCTTTGAGGCCTTCTTTGGAAACGGCATTTCTTCATATTATGCTAGACAGAAGAATTCTCAGTAACTTCCTTGTGTTGTGTGTATGCAACTCACAGAGTTGAACGATCCTTTACACAGAGCAGACTTGAAACACTCTTTTTGTGGAATTTGCAAGTGGAGATTTCAGCCGCTTTGAGGTCAATGGTAGAATAGGAAATATCTTCCTATAGAAACTAGACAGAATGATTCTCATAAACTCCTTTGTGATGTGTGCGTTCAACTCACAGAGTTTAACCTTTCTTTTCATAGAGCAGTTAGGAAACACTCTGTTTGTAAAGTCTGCAAGTGGATATTCAGACCTCCTTGAGACCTTCGTTGGAAACGGGATTTCTTCATATTATGCTAGACAGAGGAATTCTCAGTAACTTCCTTGTGTTGTGTGTATTCAACTGACAGAGTTGAACTTTCATTTAGAGAGAGCAGATTTGAAACACTGTTTTTGTGGAATTTGCAAGTGGAGATTTCAAGCGCTTTGGGGCCAAAGGCAGAAAAGGAAATATCTTCGTATAAAAACTAGACAGAATGATTCTCAGAAACTGCTCTGCGATGTGTGCGTTCAACTCTCAGAGTTTAACTTTTCTTTTCATTCAGCAGTTTGGAAACACTCTGTTTGTAAAGTCTGCACGTGGATATTTTGACCACTTGGAGGCCTTCGTTGGAAACGGGTTTTTTTCCTGTAAGGCTAGACAGAATAATTCCCAGTAACTTCCTTGTGTTGAGTACATTCAACTCACAGAGTTGAACGTTCCCTTAGACAGAGCAGATTTGAAACACTCTTTTTGTGCAATTGACAAGTGGAGATTTCAAGCGCTTTAAGGTCACTGGCAGAAAAGGAAATATCTTCGTTTCAAAAGTAGACAGAATGATTCCCACAAACTGCGTTGTGATGTGTTCGTTCAACTCACAGAGTTTAACCTTTCTTTTCATAGAGCAGTTAGGAAACACTCTGTTTGTAAATTCTGTAAGTGGATATTCTGAAATCTTGTGGCCTTCGTTGGAAACGGGATTTCTTCATATTCTGCTAGACAGAAGAATTCCCAGTAACTTCCTTGTGTTGTGTACATTCAACTCACAGAGTTGAACGTTCCCTTAGACAGAGCAGACTTGTAACACTCTTTTTGTGCAATTTGCAAGTGGAGATTTCAGCCGCTTTGAAGTCAAAGGTAGAAAAGGAAATATCTTCCTATAAAAACTAGACAGAATGATTCTCATAAACTCATTTGTGATGTGTGCATTCAACTCACAGAGTTTCACCTTTCTTTTCATAGAGCAGTTAGGAAACACTCTGTTTGTAAAGTCTGCAAGTGGATATTCAGACCTCCTTGAGGCCTTCGTTGGAAACGGGATTTCTTCATATTCTGCTAGACAGAAGAATTCTCAGTAACTTCCTTGTGTTGTGTGTATTCAACTGACAGAGTTGAACTTTCATTTAGAGAGAGCAGATTTGAAACACTGTTTTTTTGGAATTTGCAAGTGGAGATTTCAAGCGCTTTTGGGCCAAAGGCAGAAAAGGAAATATCTTCGTATAAAAACTAGACAGAATGATTCTCAGAAACTCCTTTGTGATGTGTGCATTCAACTCACAGAGTTTAACCATTCCTTTCATAGAGCAGTTAGGAAACACTCTGTTTGTAAAGTCTGCAAGTGGATATTCAGACCTCTTTGAGGCCTTCGTTGGAAACGGGATTTCTTCATATTCTGCTAGACAGAAGAATTCTCAGTAACTTCCTTGTGTTGTGTGTATTCAACTCACAGAGTTGAACGATCCTTTACACAGAGCAGACTTGAAACACTCTTTTTGTGGAATTTGAAAGTGGAGATTTCAGCCGCTTTGAGGTCAATGGTAGAAAAGGAAATATCTTCGTATAAAAACTAGACAGAATGATTCTCAGAAACTCCTTTGTGATGTGTGCGTTCAACTCACAGAGTTTAACCTTTCTTTTCATAGAGCAGTTAGGAAACACTCTGTTTGTAAAGTCTGCAAGTGGATATTCAGACCTCCTTGAGGCTTTCGTTGGAAACGGGATTTCTTCATATTCTGCTATACAGAAGAATTCTCAGAAACTTCCTTGTGTTGTGTGTTTTCAACTCACAGAGTTGAACGATGCTTTACACAGAGTAGACTTGAAACACTCTTGTTGTGGAATTTGCAAGTGGAGATTTCAGCCGCTTTGAGGTCAATGGTAGAATAGGAAATATCTTCCTATAGAAACTAGACAGAATGATTCTCAGAAACTCCTTTGTGATGTGTGTGTTCAACTCACAGAGTTTAACCTTTCTTTTCATAGAGCAGTTAGTAAACACTCTGTTTATAAAGTCTGAAAGTGGATATTCAGACCCCTTTGAGGCCTTCGTTGGAAAAGGGATTTCTTCATATTATGCTAGACAGAAGAATTCCCAGTAACTTCCTTGTGTTGTGTGTGTTCAACTCACAGAGTTGAACTTTCATTTACACAGAGCAGATTTGAAACACTCTTTTTGTGGAATTTGCAAGAGGAGATTTCAAGCGCTTTGAGGCCAAAGGCAGAAAAGGAAATATCTTCGTATAAAAACTAGACAGAATCATTCTCAGAAACTGCTCTGCGATGTGTGCGTTCAACTCTCAGAGTTTAACTTTTCTTTTCATTCAGAAGTTTGGAAACACTCTGTTTGTAAAGTCTGCACGTGGATAACTTGACCACTTAGAGGCCTTCGTTGGAAACGGTTTTTTTTCATGTAAGGCTAGACAGAAGAATTCCCAGTAACTTCCTTGTGTTGTGTACATTCAACACACAGAGTTGAACGTTTCCTTAGAGAGAGCAGATTTGAAACACTCTTTTTGTGCAATTGGCAAGTGGTGATTTCAGCCGCTTTGAGGTCAATGGTAGAAAAGGAAATATCTTCGTATAAAAACTAGACAGAATCATTCCCACAAACTGCGTTGTGATGTGTTCGTTCATCTCACAGAGTTTAACCTTTCTTTTCGTAGAGCAGTTAGGAAACAGTCTGTTTGTAAATTCTGTAAGTGGATATTCTGACATCTTGTGGCCTTCGTTGGAAACGGGATTTCTTCATATTCTGCTAGACAGAGGAATTCTCAGAATCTTCCTTGTGTTGTGTGTATTCAACTCACAGAGTTGAACGATCCTTTACACAGAGCAGACTTGAAACACTCTTTTTGTGGAATTTGCAAGTGGAGATTTCAGCCGCTTTGAGGTCCATGGTAGAAAAGGAAATATCTTCGTATAAAAACTAGACAGAATGATTCTCAGAAACTCCTTTGTGATGTGTGCGTTCAACTCACAGAGTTTAACCTTTCTTTTCATAGAGCAGTTAGGAAACACTCTGTTTGTAAAGTCTGCAAGTGGATATTCAGACCTCTTTGAGGCCTTCGTTGGAAACGGGTTTTTTTCCTGTAAGGCTAGACAGAAGAATTCCCAGTAACTTCCTTGTGTTGTGTACATTCAACTCACAGATTTGAACGTTCCCTTAGACAGAGCAGATTTGAAACACTCTTTTTGTGCAATTGGCAAGTGGAGATTTCAAGCGCTTTAAGGTCAATGGCAGAAAAGGAAATATCTTCGTTTCAAAACTAGACAGAATCATTCCCACAAACTGCGTTGTGCTGTGTTCGTTCAACTCACAGAGTTTAACCTTTGTTTTCATAGAGCAGTTAGGAAACAGTCTGTTTGTAAATTCTGTAAGTGGATATTCTGACATCTTGTGGCCTTCGTTGGAAACGGGTTTTCTTCATATTCTGCTAGACAGAAGAATTCCCAGTAACTTCCTTGTGTTGTGTACATTCAACTCACAGAGTTGAACGTTCCCTTAGACAGAGCAGATTTGAAACACTCTTTTTGTGCAATTGGCAAATGGAGATTTCAAGCGCTTTAAGTTCAATGGCAGAAAAGGAAATATCTTCGTTTCAAAACTAGACAGAATCATTCCCACAAACTGCGTTGTGATGTGTTCGTTCAACTCACAGAGTTTAACCTTTCCGTTCATAGAGCAGTTAGGAAACACACTGTTTGTAAAGTCTGTAAGTGGATATTCTGACATCTTGTGGCCTTCGTTGGAAACGGGATTTCTTCATATTCTGCTAGACGGAAGGAATTCTCAGTAACTTCCTTGTGTTGTGTGTATTCAACTTACAGAGTTGAACGATTTCTTACACAGAGCAGAGTTGAAACACTCTTTTTCTGGAATTTGCAAGTGGAGATTACAGCCGCTTTGAGGTCAATGGTAGAATAGGAAATATGTTCCTATAGAAACTAGACAGAACGATTCTCAGAAACTCCTTTGTGATGTGTGCGTTCAACTCACAGAGTTTAACCTTTCTTTTCATAGAGCAGTTAGGAAACACTCTGTTTGTAAAGTCTGCAAGTGGATATTCTGACCTCTTTGAGGCCTTCGTTGGAAACGGGATTTCTTCATATTCTGCTAGACAGAAGAATTCCCAGTAACTTCCTTGTGTTGTGTGTGTTCAACTCACAGAGTTGAACTTTCATTTACACAGAGCAGATTTGAAACACTCTTTTTGTGGAATTTGCAAGTGGAGATTTCAAGCGCTTTGAGACCAAAGGCAGAAAAGGAAATATCTTCGTTTCAAAACTAGACAGAATCATTCTCAGAAACTGCTCTGTGATGTGTGCGTTCAACTCTCAGAGTTTAACTTTTCTTTTCATTCAGCAGTTTGGAAACACTCAGTTTGTAAAGTCTGCACGTGGATATTTTGACCACTTAGAGGTCTTCGTTGGAAACGGGTTTTTTTCATGTAAGGCTAGACAGAAGAATTCACAGTAACTTCCTTGTGTTGTGTACATTCAACTCACAGAGTTGAACGTTCCCTTAGACAGAGCAGATTTGAAACACTCTTTTTGTGCAATTGGCAAGTGGAGATTTCAAGCGCTTTAAGGTCAATGGCAGAAAAGGAAATATCTTCCTTTCAAAACTAGACAGAATGATTCTCAGAAACTCCTTTGTGATGTGTGCGTTCAACTCACAGAGTTTAACCTTTCTTTTCATAGAGCAGTTAGGAAACACTCTGTTTGTAAAGTCTGCAAGTGGATATGCAGACATCCTTGAGGCTTTCGTTGGAAACGGGATTTCTTCATATTCTGCTAGAAAGAAGAATTCTCAGTAACTTCCTCGTGTTGTGTGTATTCAACTCACAGAGTTGAACGATCCTTTACACAGAGCAGACTTGAAACACTCTTTTTGTGGAATTTGCAAGTGGAGATTTCAGCCGCTTTGAGGTCAATGGTAGAATAGGAAATATCTTCCTATAGAAACTAGACAGAATGATTCTCAGAAACTCCTTTGTGATGTGTGCGTTCAACTCACAGAGTTTAACCTTTCTGTTCATAGAGCAGTTAGGAAACACTCTGTTTGTAAAGTCTGCAAGTGGATATTCAGACCCCTTTGAGGCCTTCGTTGGAAACGGGATTTCTTCATATTCTGCTAGACAGAAGAATTCGCAGTAACTTCCTTGTGTTGTGTGTATTCAACTCACAGAGTTTAACGATCCTTTACACAGAGCGGACTTGAAACACTCTTTTTGTGGAATTTGCAAGTGGAGATTTCAGCCGCTTTGAGGTCAATGGTAGAAAAGGAAATATCTTCGTATAAAGACTAGACAGAATGATTCTCATAAACTCCTTTGTGATGTGTGCGTTCAACTCACAGAGTTTAACTTTTCATTTCATAGAGCAGTTAGGAAACACTCTGTTTGTAATGTCTGCAAGTGGATATTCAGACCTCTTTGAGGCCTTCATTGGAAACGGGATTTCTTCATATTATGCTAGACAGAAGAATTCTCAGTAACTTCCTTGTGTTGTGTGTATTCAACTCACAGAGTTGAACGATCCTTTACACAGAGCAGACTTGGAACACTCTTTTTGTGGAATTTGCAAGTGGAGATTTCTGCCGCGTTGAGGTCAATGGTAGAAAAGGAAATATCTTCGTATAAAAACTAGACAGAATGATTCTCAGAAACTCCTTTGAGATGTGTGTGTTCAACTCACAGTTTAACCTTTCTTTTCATAGAGCAGTTAGGAATCACTCTGTTTGTAAAGTCTGCAAGTGGATATACAGACCTCTTTGAGGCCTTCGTTGGAAACGGGTTTTTTTCATATAAGGCTAGACAGAAGAATTCCCAGTAACTTCCTTGTGTTGTGTGTGTTCAACTCACAGAGTTGAACTTTCATTTACACAGAGCAGATTTGAAACACTCTTTTTGTGGAATTTGCAAGTGGAGATTTCAGCCGCTTTGAAGTCAAATGTAGAAAAGGAAATATCTTCCTATAAAAACTAGACAGAATGATTCTCAGAAACTCCTTTGTGATGTGTGCGTTCAACTCACAGAGTTTAACCTTTCTTTTCATAGAGCAGTTAGGGAACACTCTGTTTGTAAAGTCTGCAAGTGGATATTCAGACCTCTTTGAGGCCTTCGTTGGAAACGGGATTTCTTCATATTATGCTAGACAGAAGAATTCCCAGTAACTTGCCTTGTGTTGTGTGTGTTCAACTCACAGAGTTGAACTTTCATTTACACAGAGCAGATTTGAAACACTAATTTTGTGGAATTTGCAAGTGGAGATTTCAAGCGCTTTGAGGCCAAAGGCAGAAAAGGAAATATCTTCGTATAAAAACTAGACAGAATCATTCTCAGAAACTGCTGCGTGATGTGTGCGTTCAACTCTCAGAGTTTAACTTTTCTTTTCATTCAGCGGTTTGGAAACACTCTGTTTGTAAAGTCTGCACGTGGATATTTTGACCACTTAGAGGCCTTCGTTGGAAACGGGTTTTTTTCATGTTAGGCTAGACAGAAGAATTCCCAGGAACTTCCTTGTGTTGTGTACATTCAACTCACAGAGTTGAACGTTCCCTTAGACAGAGCAGATTTGAAACACTCTTTTTGTGCAATTGGCAAGTGGTGATTTCAGCAGCTTTGAGGTCAATGGTAGAAAAGGAAATATCTTCGTATAAAAACTAGACAGAATCATTCCCACAAACTGCGTTGTGATGTGTTCGTTCAACTCACAGAGTTTAACCTTTCTTTTCATAGAGCAGTTAGGAAACAGTCTGTTTGTCAATTCTGTAAGTGGATATTCTGACATCTTGTGGCCTTAGTTGGAAACGGGATTTCTTCATATTCTGCTAGACAGAAGAATTCTCAGTAACTTCCTTGTGTTGTGTGTATTCAACTCACAGAGTTGAACGATCCTTTACACAGAGCAGACTTGAAACACTCTTTTTGTGGAATTTGCAAGTGGAGATTTCAGCCGCTTTGGGTTCAATGGTAGAATAGGAAATATCTTCCTATAGAAACTGGACAGAATGATTCTCAGAAACTCCTTTGTGAAGTGTGCGTTCAACTCACAGAGTTTAACCTTTCTTTCCATAGAGCAGTTAGGAAACACTCTGTTTGTAAAGTCTGCAAGTGGATATTCAGACCTCTTTGAGGCCTTCGTTGGAAACGGGATTTCTTCATATTCTGCTAGACAGAAGAATTCTCAGTAACTTCCTTGTGTTGTGTGTATTCAACTGACAGAGTTGAACTTTCATTTAGAGAGAGCAGATTTGAAACACTGTTTTTGTGGAATTTGTAAGTGGAGATTTCAAGCGCTTTGGGGCCAAAGGCAGAAAAGGAAATATCTTCGTATAAAAACTAGACAGAATCGTTCTCAGAAACTGCTCTGCGATGTGTGCGTTCAACTCTCAGAGTTTAACTTTTCTTTTCATTCAGCAGTTTGGAAACACTCTGTTTCTAAAGTCTGCACGTGGATAATTTGACCACTTAGAGGCCTTCGTTGGAAACGGGTTTTTTTCATGTAAGGCTAGACAGAAGAATTCTCAGTAACTTCCTTGTGTTGTGTGTATTCAACTCACAGAGTTGAACGATCCTTTACAAAGAGCAGATTTGTAACACTCTTTTTGTGGAATTTGCAAGTGGAGATTTCAAGCGCTTTAAGGTCAATGGCAGAAAAGGAAATATCTTCGTTTCAAAACTAGATAGAATCATTCCCACAAACTGCGTTGTGATGTGTTCGTTCAACTAACAGAGTTTAACCTTTCTTTTCATAGAGCAGTTAGGAAACAGTCTGTTTGTAAATTCTGTAAGTGGATAATCTGACATATTGTGGCCTTTGTTGGAAACAGGATTTCTTCTTATTCTGCTAGACAGAAGAATTCTCAGTAACTTCCTTGTGTTGTGTGTATTCAACTCACAGAGTTGAACGATCCTTTACACAGAGCAGACTTGAAACACTCTTTTTGTGGAATTTGCAAATGGAGATTTCAGCCGCTTTGAGGTCAATGGTAGAATAGGAAATATCTTCCTATAGAAACTAGACAGAATGATTCTCATAAACTCCTTTGTGATGTGTGCGTTCAACTCACAGAGTTTAACCTTTCTTTTCATAGAGCAGTTAGGAAACACTCTGTTTGTAAAGTCTGCAAGTGGATATTCAGACCCTCTTGAGGCCTTCGTTGGAAACGGGATTTCTTCATATTCTGCTAGACAGAAGAATTCTCAGTAACTTCCCTTGTGTTGTGTGTGTTCAACTCACAGAGTTGAACTTTCATTTACACAGAGCAGATTGGAAACACTCTTTTTGTGGAATTTGCAAGTGGAGATTTCAAGCGCTTTGAGGCCAAAGGCAGAAAAGGAAATATCTTCGTATAAAAACTAGACAGAATCATTCTCAGAAACTGCTCTGCGATGTGTGCGTTCAACTCTCAGAGTTTTACTTTGCTTTTCATTCAGCAGTTTGGAAACACTCTGTTTGTAAAGTCTGCACGTGGATAATTTGACCACTTAGAGGCCTTCGTTGGAAACGGGTTTTTTTCATGTAAGGCTAGACAGAAGAATTCCCAGTAACTTCCTTGTGTTGTGTACATTCAACTCACAGAGTTGAACGTTCCCTTAGACAGAGCAGATTTGAAACACTATTTTTGTGCAATTGGCAAATGGAGATTTCAAGGGCTTTAAGGTCAATGGCAGAAAAGGAAATATCTTCGTTTCAAAACTAGACAGAATGATTCTCATAAACTCCTTTGTGATGTGTGCGTTCAACTCACAGAGTTTAACCTTTCTGTTCATAGAGCAGTTAGGAAACACTCTGTTTGTAAAGTCTGCAAGTGGATATTCAGACCTCCTTGAGGCCTTCGTTGGAAAAGGGATTTCTTCATATTCTGCTAGACAGAAGAATTCTCAGTAACTTCCTTGTGTTGTGTGTATTCAACTCACAGAGTTGAACGATCCTTTACACAGAGCAGACTTCAAACACTCTTTTTGTGGAATTTGCAAGTGGAGATTTCAGCCGCTTTGAGGTCAATAGTAGAAAAGGAAATATCTTCGTAGAAAAACTAGGCAGAATGATTCCCAGAAACTCCTTTGTGATGTGTGCATTCAACTCACAGAGTTTAACTTTTCTTTTCATAGAGCAGTTAGGAAACACTCTGTTTGTAAAGTCTGCAAGTGGATATTCAGACCTCTTTGAGGCCTTCGTTGGAAACGGGATTTCTTCATATTATGCTAGACAGAAGAATTCCCAGTAACTTCCTTGTGTTGTGTGTGTTCAACTCACAGAGTTGAACTTTCATTTAGACAGAGCAGATTTGAAGCACTCTTTTTGTGGAATTTGCAAGTGGAGATTTCAAGCGCTTTGAGGCCAAAGGCAGAAAAGGTAATATCTTCGTTTCAAAACTAGCCAGAATCATTCTCAGAAACTGCTCTGCGATGTGTGCGTTCAACTCTCAGAGTTTAACTTTTCTTTTCATTCAGCAGTTTGGAAACACTCTGTTTGTAAAGTCTGCACGTGGATAATTTGACCACTTAGAGGCCTTCGTTGGAAACGGGTTTTTTTCATGCAAGGCTAGACAGAAGAATTCCCAGTAACTTCCTTGTGTTGTGTACATTCAACTCACAGAGTTGAACGTTCCCTTAGACAGAGCAGATTTGAAACACTCTTTTTGTGCAATTGGCAAGTGGAGATTTCAAGAGTTTTAAGGTCAATGGCAGAAAAGGAAATATCTTCGTTTCAAAACTAGACAGAATCATTCCCACAAACTGCGTTGTGATGTGTTCGTTCAAATCACAGAGTTTAACCTTTCTTTTCATAGAGCAGTTAGGAAACAGTCTGTTTGTAAATTCTGTAAGTGGATATTCTGACATCTTGTGGCCTTCGTTGGAAGCGGGATTTCTTCATATTCTGCTAGACAGAAGAATTCTCAGTAACTTCCTTGTGTTGTGTGTATTCAACTCACAGAGGTGAACGATCCTTTACAGAGAGCAGACTTGAAACACTCTTTTTGTGGAATTTGCAAGTGGAGATTTCAGCCGCTTTGAGGTCAATGGTAGAATAGGAAATATCTTCCTATAGAAACTAGACAGAATGATTCTCAGAAACTCCTTTGTGATGTGTGCGTTCAACTCACAGAGTTTAACCTTCCTTTTCATAGAGCAGTTAGGAAACACTCTGTTTGTAAAGTCTGCAAGTGGATATTCAGACCTCTTTGAGGCCTTCGTTGGAAACGGGTTTTTTTCATATAAGGCTAGACAGAAGAATTCCCAGTAACTTCCTTGTGTTGTGTGTGTTCAACTCACAAAGTTGAACTTTCATTTACACAGAGCAGATTTGAAACACTCTTTTTGTGGAATTTGCAAGTGGAGATTTCAAGCGCTTTGAGGCCAAAGGCAGAAAAGGAAATATCTCCGTTTCAAAACTAGACAGAATCATTCTCAGAAACTGCTCTGTGATGTGTGCGTTCATCTCACAGGGTTTAACTTTTCTTTTCTTTCAGCAGTTTGGCAACACTCTGTTTGTAAAATCTGCACGTGGATATTTTGACCACTTAGAGGCCTTCGTTGGAAACGAGTTTTTTTCATGTAAGGCAATACAGAAGAATTCCCAGTAACTTCCCTTGTGTTGTGTGCATTCAACTCACACAGATGAACGTTCCCTTAGACAGAGCAGATTTGAAACACTCTATTTGTGCAATTTGCAAGTGTAGATTTCAAGCGCTTTAAGGTCAATGGCAGAAAAGGAAATATCTTCGTTTCAAAACTAGACAGAATCATTCCCACAAACTGCGTTGTGATGTGTTCGTTCAACTCACAGAGTTTAACCTTTCTGTTCATAGACCAGTTAGGAACCACTCTGCTTGTAAAGTCTGTAAGTGGATATTCTGACGTCTTGTGGCCTTAATTGGAAATGGGATTTCTTCGTATTCTGCTAGACAGAGAATTCTCAGTAACTGCCTTGTGTTGTGTGTATTCAACTCACAGAGTTGAACGATCCTTTACACAGAGCAGACTTGAAACACTCTTTTTGTGGAATTTGCAAGTGGAGATTTCAGCCGCTTTGAGGTCAATGGTAGAATAGGAAATATCTTCCTATAGAAACTAGACAGAATGATTCTCAGTAAGTTCTTTGTGATGTGTGCGTTCAACTCACAGGGTTCAACCTTTCTTTTCATAGAGCAGTTAAGAAACACTCTGTTTGTAAAGTCTTCAAGTGGATATTCATACCTCTTTGAGGCCCTCGTTGGAAACGGGATTTCTTCATATTATGCTAGACAGAAGAATTCTCAGTAACTTCCTTGTGTTGTGTGTATTCAACTGACAGAGTTGAACTTTCATTTAGAGAGAGCAGATTTGAAACTCTGTTTTTGTGGAATTTGCAAGTGGAGATTTCAAGCGCTTTGGGGCCAAAGGCAGAAAAGGAAATATCTTCGTATAAAAACTAGACAGAATCATTCTCAGAAACTGCTCTGCGATGTGTGCGTTCAACTCTCAGAGTTTAACTTTTCTTTTCATTCAGCAGTTTGGAAACACTCTGTTTGTAAAGTCTGCACGTGGATATTTTGACCATTTAGAGGCCTTCGTTGGAAACGGGTTTTTTTCTTGTAAGGCTAGACAGAAGAATTCCCAGTAACTTTCCTTGTGTTGTGTACATTCAACTCACAGAGTTGAACGTTCCCTTAGACAGAGCAGATTTGAAACACTCTTTTTGTGCAATTGGCAAATGGAGATTTCAAGCGCTTTAAGTTCAATGGCAGAAAAGGAAATATCTTCGTTTCAAAACTAGACAGAATGATTCTCAGAAACTCCTTTGAGATGTGTGCGTTCAACTCACAGAGTTTAACCTTTCTTTTCATAGAGCAGTTAGGAAACACTCTGTTTGTAAACTCTGCAAGTGGATATTCAGACCTCTTTGAGGCTTTCGTTGGAAACGGGATTTCTTCATACTATGCTAGACAGAAGAATTCTCAGTAACTTCCGCGTGTACAGAGCAGACTTGAAACACTCTTTTTGTGGAATTTGCAAGTGGAGATTTCAGCCGCTTTGAGGTCAATGGTAGAAAAGGAAATATCTTCCTATAAAAACTAGACAGAATGATTCTCAGAAACTCCTTTGTGATGTGTGCGTTCAACTCACAGAGTTCAACCTTTCTTTTCATAGAGCAGTTGGGAAACACTCTGTTTGTAAAGTCTGCAAGTGGATATTCAGACTTCTTTGAGGCCTCCGTTGGAAGAGGGATTTCTTCATATTCTGCTAGACAGAAGAATTCCCAGTAACTTCCTTGTGTTGTGTGTGTTCAACTCACAGAGTTGAACTTTCATTTACCCAGAGCAGATTTGAAACCCTCTTTTTGTGGAATTTGCAAGTGGAGATTTCAAGCACTTTGAGGCCAAAGGCAGAAAAGGAAATATCTTCGTTTCAAAACTAGACAGAATCATTCTCAGAAACTGCTCTGCGATGTGTGCGTTCAACTCTCAGAGTTTAACTTTTCTTTTCATTCAGCAGTTTGGAAACACTCTGTTTGTAAAGTCTGCACGTGGATATTTTGACCACTTATAGGCCTTCGTTGGAAACGGGTTTTTTTCCTGTAAGGCTAGACAGAAGAATTCTCAGTAACTTCCTTGTGTTGTGTACATTCAACTCACAGAGTTGAACGTTCCCTTAGACAGAGCATATTTGAAACACTCTTTTTGTGCAATTGGCAAGTGGAGATTTCAAGCGCTTTAAGGTCAATGGCAGAAAAGGAAATATCTTCGTTTCAAAACTAGACAGAATCATTCCCACAAACTGCGTTGTGATGTGTTCGTTCAACTCACAGAGTTTAACTTTTCTGTTCATAGAGCAGTTAGGAAACACTCTGTTTGTAAAGTCTGTAAGTGGATATTCTGACATCTTGTGGCCTTCGTTGGAAACGGGATTTCTTCCTATTCTGCTAGACAGAAGAACTCTCAGTAACTTCCTTGTGTTGTGTGTATTCAACTCACAGAGTTGAACGATCCTTTACACAGAGCAGACTTGAAACATTCTTTTCGTGGAATTTGCAACTGGTGATTTCAGCCGCTTTGAGGTCAATGGTAGAATAGGAAATATCTTCCTATAGAAACTAGACAGAATGATTCTCAGAAACTCCTTTGTGATGTGTGCGTTCAACTCACAGAGTTTAACCTTTTTTTTCATAGAGCAGTTAGGAAACACTCTGTTTGTAAAGTCTGCAAGTGGATATTCAGACGTCTTTGAGGCCTTCGTTGGAAACGGGATTTCTTCATACTATGCTAGACAGAAGAATTCCCAGTAACTTCCTTGTGTTGTGTGTGTTCGACTCACAGAGTTGAACTTTCATTTACACAGAGCAGATTTGAAACACTCTTTTTGTGGAATTTGCAAGTGGAGATTTCAAGCGCTTTGAGGCCAAAGGCAGAAAAAGAAATATCTTCGTTTCAAAACTAGACAGAATCATTCTCAGAAACTGTTCTGCGATGTGTGCGTTCAACTCTCAGAGTTTAACTTTTCTTTTCATTCAGCAGTTTGGAAACACTCTGTAAACTCTGCATGTGGATATTTTGACCACTTAGAGGCCTTCGTTGGAAACGGGTTTTTTTCCTGTAAGGCTAGACAGAAGAATTCCCAGTAACTTCCTTGTGTTGTGTACATTCAACTCACAGAGTTGAACGTTCCCTTAGACAGAGCAGATTTGAAACACTCTTTTTGTGCAATTGGCAAGTGGTGATTTCAGCCGCTTTGAGGTCAATGGTAGAAAAGGACATATCTTCGTATAAAAACTAGACAGAATCATTCCCACAAACTGCGTTGTGATGTGTTCGTTCAACTCACAGAGTTTAACCTTTCTTTTCATAGAGCAGTTAGGAAACAAGTCTGTTTGTCAATTCTGTAAGTGGATATTCTGACATCTTGTGGCCTTCGTTGGAAACGGGATTTCTTCATATTCTGCTAGACAGAAGAATTCTCAGAATCTTCCTTGTGTTGTGTGTATTCAACTCACACAGTTGAACGATGGTTTACACAGAGCAGATTTGAAACACTCTTTTTGTGGAGTTTGGAAGTGGAGATTTCAGCCGCTTTGAGGTCAATGGTAGAAAAGGAAATATCTTCGTATAAAAACTAGACAGAATGATTCTCACAAACTCCTTTGTGATGTGTGCGTTCAACTCACAGAGTTTAAGCTTTCTTTTCATAGAGCAGTTGGGAAACACTCTGTAAAGTCTGCAAGTGGATATTCAGACCTCTTTGAGGCTTTCGTTGGAAACGGGATTTCTTCATATTCTGCTAGACAGAAGAATTCTCAGTAACTTCCTTGTGTTGTGTGTATTCAACTCACAGAGTTGACCGATCCTTTACACAGAGTAGACTTGTAACACTCTTTTTGTGGAATTTGCAAGTGGAGATTTCAGCCGCTTTGAAGTCAAAGGTAGAAAAGGGAATATCTTCCTATAAAAACTAGACAGAATCATTCTCATAAACTGCTGCGTGATGTGTGCGTTCAACTCTCAGAGTTTAACTTTTCTTTTCATTCAGCGGTTTGGAAACACTCTGTTTGTAAAGTCTGCACGTGGATATTTTGACCACTTAGACGCCTTCGTTGGAAACGGGTTTTTTTCATGTAAGGCTAGACAGAAGAATTCCCAGTAACTTCCTTGTGTTGTGTACATTCAACTCACAGAGTTGAACGTTCCCTTAGACAGAGCAGATTTGAAACACTCTTTTTGTGCAATTGGCAAGTGGAGATTTCAAGCGCTTTGAGGTCAATGGCAGAAAAGGAAATATCTTCGTTTCAAAACTAGACAGAATCATTGCCACAAACTGCGTTGTGATGTGTTCGTTCAACTCACAGAGTTTAACCTTTCTTTTCATAGAGCAGTTAGGAAACAGTCTGTTTGTAAATTCTGTAAGTGGATATTCTGACAGCTTGTGGCCTTCGTTGGAAACGGGATTTCTTCATACTATGCTAGACAGAAGAATTCTCAGAATCTTCCTTGTGTTGTGTGTATTCAACTCACCGAGTTGAACGATCCTTTACACAGAGCAGACTTGAAACACTCTTTTTGTGGAATTTGCAAGTGGAGATTTCAGCCGCTTTGAGGTCCATGTTAGAAAAGGAAATATCTTCGTACAAAAACTAGACAGAATGATTCTCAGAAACTTCTTTGTGATGTGTGCCTTCAACTCACAGAGTTTAACCTTTCTTTTCATAGAGCAGTTAGGAAACACTCTGCTTGTAAACTCTGCAAGTGGATATTCAGACCTCTTTGAGGCCTTCGTTGGAAACGGGATTTCTCCATACTATGCTAGACAGAAGAATTCCCAGTAACTTCCTTGTGTTGTGTGTGTTCAACTCACAGAGTTGAACTTTCATTTACACAGAGCAGATTTGAAACACTCTTTTTGTGGAATTTGCAAATGGAGATTTCAAGCGCTTTGAGGCCGAAGGCAGAAAAGGAAATATCTTCGTATAAAAACTAGACAGAATCATTCTCAGAAACTGCTCTGCGATGTGTGCGTTCAACTCTCTGAGTTTAACTTTTCTTTTCATTCAGCAGTTTGGAAACACTCTGTTTGTAAAGTCTGCACGTGGATAACTTGACCACTTAGAGGCCTTCATTGGAAACGGGTTTTTTTCATGTAAGGCTAGACAGAAGAATTCCCAGTAACTTCCTTGTGTTGTGTGCATTCAACTCACAGAGTTGAACGTTCCTTAGACAGAGCAGATTTGAAACACTCTATTTGTGCAATTTGCAAGTGTAGGTTTCAAGCGCTTTAAGGTCAATGGCAGAAAAGGAAATATCTTCGTTTCAAAACTAGACAGAATCATTCCCACAAACTGCGTTGTGATGTGTTCGTTCAACTCACAGACTTTAACCTTTCTTTTCATAGAGCAGTTAGGAAACACTCTGTTTGTAAAGTCTGTAAGTGGATATTCTGACATCTTGTGGCCTTCGTTGGAAACGGGATTTCTTCATATTCTGCTAGACAGAAGAATTCTCAGTAACTTCCTTGTGTTGTGTGTATTCAACTCACAGAGTTGAACGATCCTTTACACAGAGCAGACTTGAAACACTCTTTTTGTGGAATTTGCAAGTGGAGATTTCAGCCGCTTTGAGGTCAATGATAGAAAAGGAAATATCTTCGTATAAAGACTAGACAGAATGATTCTCAGAAACTCCTTTGTGATGTGTGCGTTGAATTCACAAAATTTAACATTTCTTTTCATAGAGCAGTTAGGAAACACCCTGTTTGTAAAGTCTGCAAGTGGATATTCAGACCTCTTTGAGGCCTTCGTTGGAAACGGGATTTCTTCATATTCTGCTAGACAGAAGAATTCCCAGTAACTTCCTTGTGTTGTGTGTGTTCAACTCACAGAGTTGAACTTTCATTTACACAGAGCAGATTTGAAACACTCTTTTTGTGGAATTTGCAAGTGGAGATTTCAAGCGCTTTGGGGCCAAAGGCAGAAAAGGAAATATCTTCGTATAAAAACTAGACAGAATCATTCTCAGAAACTGCTCTGCGATGTGTGCGTTCAACTCTCAGAGTTTAACTTTTCTTTTCATTCAGCAGTTTGGAAACACTCTGTTTGTTAAGTCTGCACGTGGATATTTTGACCACTTAGAGGCCTTCGTTGGAAACGGGTTTTTTTCCTGTAAGGCTTGACAGAAGAATTCCCAGTAACTTCCTTGTGTTGTGTACATTCAACTCACAGAGTTGAACGTTCCCTTAGACAGAGCAGATTTGAAACACTCTTTTTGTGCAATTGGCAAGTGGTGATTTCAGCCGCTTTGAGGTCAATGGTAGAAAAGGAAATATCTTCGTATAAAAACTAGACAGAATGATTCTCAGAAACTTCATTGTGATGTGTGCGTTCAACTCACAGAGTTTAACCTTTCTTTTCATAGAGCAGTTAGGAAACACTCTGTTTGTGAACTCTGCAAGTGGATATTCAGACGTCTTTGAGGCCTTCGTTGGAAATGGGATTTCTTCATACTGTGCTAGACAGAAGAATTCTCAGTAACTTCCTTGTGTTGTGTGTATTGAACTCGCAGAGTTGAACGATCCTTTACACAGAGCAGACTTGAAACACTCTTTTTGTGGAATTTGCAAGTGGAGATTTCAGCCGCTTTGAGGTCAATAGTAGAAAATGAAATATCTTCGTAGAAAAACTAGACAGAATGATTCTCATAAACTCCTTTGTGATGTGTGCGTTCAACTCACAGAGTTTAACTTTTCTTTTCATAGCAGCAGTTAGGAAACACTCTGTTTGTAAAGTCTGCAAGTGGATATTCAGACCTCTTTGAGGCCTTCGTTGGAAACGGGATTTCTTCATATTCTGCTAGACAGAAGAATTCTCAGTAACTTCCTTGTGTTGTGTGTATTCAACTCACAGACTTGAACGATCCTTTACACAGAGCAGACTTGAAACACTCTTTTTGTGGAATTTGCAAATGGAGATTTCAGCCGCTTTGAGGTCAATAGTAGAAAAGGAAATATCTTCGTAGAAAAACTAGACAGAATGATTCTCAGAAAATCTTTTGTGATCTGTGCGTTCAACTCACAGAGTTTAACTTTTCTTCTCATAGAGCAGTTAGGAAACACTCTGTTTGTAAAGTCTGCAAGTGGATATTCAGACCTCTTTGAGGCCTTCGTTGGAAACGGGATTTCTTCATATTCTGCTAGACAGAAGAATTCCCAGTAACTTCCTTGTGTTGTGTGCATTCAACTCACAGAGTTGAACGTTCACTTAGACAGAGCAGATTTGAAACACTCTATTTGTGCAATTTGCAAGTGTAGATTTCAAGCGCTTTAAGGTCAACGGCAGAAAAGGAAATATCTTCGTTTCAAAACTAGACAGAATCATTCCCACAAACTGCGTTGTGATGTGTTCGTTCAACTCACAGAGTTTAACCTTTCTTTTCATAGAGCAGTTAGGAAACAGTCTGTTTGTCAATTCTGTAAGTGGATATTCTGACATCTTGTGTCCTTAGTTGGAAACGGGATTTCTTCATATTCTGCTAGACAGAAGAATTCTCAGTAACTTCCTTGTGTTTTGTGTATTCAACTCACAGAGTTGAACGATCCTTTTCACAGAGCAGACTTGAAACACTCTTTTTGTGGAATTTGCAAGTGGAGATTTCAGCCGCTTTGAGGTCAATAGTAGAAAAGGAAATATCTTCGTAGAAAAACTAGACAGAATGATTCTCAGAAACTCCTTTGTGATGTGTGCGTTCAACTCACAGAGTTTAACCTTTCTTTTCATAGAGCAGTTAGGAAACACTCTGTTTGTAAAGTCTGCAAGTGGATATTCAGACCTCTTTGAGGCCTTCGTTGGAAACGGGATTTTTTCATATAAGGCTAGACAGAAGAATTCTCAGTAACTTCCTTGTGTTGTGTGTATTCAACTGACAGAGTTGAACTTTCATTTAGAGAGAGCAGATTTGTAAGACTGTTTTTGTGGAATTTGCAAGTGGAGATTTCAAGCGCTTTGCGGCCAAAGGCAGAAATGGAAATATCTTCGTATAAAAACTAGACAGAATCATTCTCAGAAAATCCTCTATGATGTGTGCGTTCAACTCTCAGAGTTTAACTTTTCTTTTCATTCAGCAGTTTGAAAACACTCTGTTTGTAAAGTCTGCACGTGGATATTTTGACCACTTAGAGGCCTTCGTTGGAAACGGGTTTTTTTCATGTAAGGGTAGACAGAAGAATTCCCAGTAACTTCCTTGTGTTGTGTGCATTCAACTCACAGAGTTGAAAGTTCCCTTAGACAGAGCAGATTTGAAACACTCTATTTGTGCAATTTGCAAGTGTAGACTTCAAGCGCTTTAAGGTCAACGGCAGAAAAGGAAATATCTTCGTTTCAAAACTAGACAGAATGATTCTCAGAAACTCCTTTGTGATGTGTGCGTTCAACTCACAGAGTTTAACCTTTCTTTTCATAGAGCAGTTAGGAAACACTCTGTTTGTAAAGTCTGCAAGTGGATATTCAGACCTCTTTGAGGCCTTCGTTGGAAACGGGTTTTCTTCATATTCTGCTAGACAGAAGAATTCTCAGTAACTTCCTTGTGTTGTGTGTATTCAACTCACAGAGTTGAACGATCCTTTACACAGAGCAGTCTTGAAACACTCTTTTTGTGGAATTTGCAAGTGGAGATTTCAGCCGCTTTGAGGTCAATAGAAGAAAAGGAAATATCTTCGTAGAAAAACTAGGCAGAATGATTCTCAGAAACTCCTTTGTGATGTGTGCGTTCAACTCACAGAGTTTAACCTTTCTTTTCATAGAGCAGTTAGGAAACACTCTGTTTGTAAAGTCTGCAAGTGGATATTCAGACATCCTTGAGGCTTTCGTTGGAAACGGGATTTCTTCATATTCTGCTAGAAAAAAGAATTCTCAGTAACTTCCTTGTGTTGTGTGTATTCAACTCATAGAGTTGAACGATCCTTTACACAGAGCAGACTTGTAACACTCTTTTTGTGGAATTTGCAAGTGGAGATTTCAAGCGCTTTGAGGCCAAAGGCAGAAAAGGAAATATCTTCGTTTCAAAACTAGACAGAATCATTCTCAGAAACTGCTCTGCGATGTGTGCGTTCAACTCTCAGAGTTTAACTTTTCTTTAGCATTCAGCAGTTTGGAAACACTCTGTTTGTAAAGTCTGCACGTGGATATTTTGACCACTTAGAGGCCTTCGTTGGAAACGGGTTTTTTTCCTGTAAGGCTAGACAGAAGAATTCCCAGTAACTTCCTTGTGTTGTGTGCATTCAACTCACAGAGTTGAACGTTCCCTTGGACAGAGCAGATTTGAAACACTCTATTTGTGCAATTTGCAAGTGTAGATTTCAAGCGCTTTAAGGTCAACGGCAGAAAAGGAAATATCTTCGTTTCAAAACTAGACAGAATCATTCCCACAAACTCGCGTTGTGATGTGTTCGTTCAACTCACAGAGTTTAACCTTTCTGTTCATAGAGCAGTTAGGAAACACTCAGTTTGTAAAGTCTGTAAGTGGATATTCTGACATCTTGTGGCCTTCGTTGGAAACGGGATTTCTTCATATTCTGCTAGACAGAAGAATTCTCAGAATCTTCCTTGTGTTGTGTGTATTCAACTCACACAGTTGAACGATGGTTTACACAGAGCAGATTTGAAACACTCTTTTTGTGGAATTTGCAAGTGGAGATTTCAGCCGCTTTGAGGTCAATGGTAGAAAATGAAATATCTTCGTATAAAAACTAGACAGAATGATTCTCATAACTCCTTTGTGATGTGTGCGTTCAACTCACAGAGTTCAACCTTTCTTTTCATAGAGCAGTTGGGAAACACTCTGTTTGTAAAGTCTGCAAGTGGATATTCAGACTTCTTTGAGGCCTTCGTTGGAAGCGGGATTTCTTCATATTCTGCTAGACAGAAGAATTCTCAGTAACTGCCTTGTGTTGTGTGTATTCAACTCACAGAGTTGAACGATCCTTTACACAGAGAAGACTTGAAACACTCTTTTTGTGGAATTTGCAAGTGGAGATTTCAGCCGCTGTGAGGTCAATGGTAGAATAGGAAATATCTTCCTATAGAAACTAGACAGAATCATTCTCAGAAACTGCTGCGTGATGTGTGCGTTCAACTCTCAGAGTTTAACTTTTCTTTTCATTCAGCGGTTTGGAAACACTCTGTTTGTAAAGTCTGCACGTGGATATTTTGACCACTTAGAGGCCTTCGTTGGAAACGGGTTTTTTTCATGTAAGGCTAGACAGAAGAATTCCCAGTAACTTTCCTTGTGTTGTGTGCATTCAACTCACAGAGCTGAACGTTCCCTTAGACAGAGCAGATTTGAAACACTCTATTTGTGCAATTTGCAAGTGTAGATTTCAAGCGCTTTAAGGTCAATGGCAGAAAAGGAAATATCTTCGTTTCAAAACTAGACAGAATCATTCCCAGAAACTGCGTTGTGATGTGTTCGTTCAACTCACAGAGTTTAACCTTTCTGTTCATAGAGCAGTTAGGAAACACTCTGTTTGTAAAGTCTGTAAGTGGATATTCTGACATCTTGTGGCCTTCGTTGGAAACGGGATTTCATAATATTCTCCTAGACAGAAGAATTCTCAGAATCTTCCTTGTGTTGTGTGTATTCAACTCACAGAGTTGAACGATGGTTTACACAGAGCAGATTTGAAACACTCTTTTGGTGGAATTTGCAAGTGGAGATTTCAGCCGCTTTGAGGTCAATGGTAGAAAAGGAAATATCTTCGTATAAAAACTAGACAGAATGATTCTCAGAAACTCCTTTGTGATGTGTGCGTTCAACTCACAAAGTTTAACCTTTCTTTTCATAGAGCAGTTAGGAAACACTCTGTTTGTAAAGTCTGCAAGTGGATATTCAGACCTCTTTGAGGCCTTCGTTGGAAACGGGATTTCTTCATATTCTGCTAGACAGAAGAATTCTCAGTAACTTCCTTGTGTTGTGTGTATTCAACTGACAGAGTTGAACTTTCATTTAGAGAGAGCAGATTTGAAACACTGTTTTTGTGGAATTTGCAAGTGGAGATTTCAAGCGCTTTGGGGCCAAAGGCAGAAAAGGAAATATCTTCGTATAAAAACTAGACGGAATCATTCTCAGAAACTGCTGCGTGATGTGTGCGTTCAACTCTCAGAGTTTAACTTTTCTTTTAATTCAGCGGTTTGGAAACACTCTGTTTGTAAAGTCTGCACGTGGATATTTTGACCACTTAGAGGCCTTCGTTGGAAACTGGTTTTTTGCATGTAAGGCTAGACAGAATAATTCCCAGTAACTTCCTTGTGTTGTGTGCATTCAACTCACAGAGTTGAACGTTCCCTTAGACAGAGCAGATTTGAAACACTCTATTTGTGCAATTTGCAAGTGTAGATTTCAAGCGCTTTAAGGTCAATGGCAGAAAAGGAAATATCTTCGTTTCAAAAGTAGACAGAATGATTCTGAGAAACTCCTTTGTGATGTGTGCGTTCAACACACAGAGTTTAACCTTTCTTTTCATAGAGCAGTTAGGAAACACTCTGTTTGTAAAGTCTGCAAGTGGATATTCAGACCTCCTTGAGGCCTTCGTTGGAAACGGGATTTCTTCATATTCTGCTAGACAGAAGAATTCTCAGTAACTTCCTTGTGTTTTGTGTATTCAACTCACAGAGTTGAATGATCCTTTACACAGAACAGACTTGAAACACTCTTGTTGTGGAATTTTCAAGTGGAGATTTCAGCCGCTTTGAGGTCAACGGTAGAATAGGAAATATCTTCCTATAGAAACTAGACAGAATGATTCTCAGAAACTCCTTTGTGATGTGTGCGTTCAACTCACAGAGTTTAACTTTTCTTTTCATAGAGCAGTTAGGAAACACTCTGTTTGTAAAGTCTGCAAGTGGATATTCAGACCTCTTTGTGGCCTTCGTTGGAAACGGGATTTCTTCATATTATGCTAGACAGAATAATTCTCAGTAACTTCCTTGTGTTGTGTGTATTCAACTCTCAGAGTTGAACGATCCTTTACAGAGAGCAGACTTGAAACACTCTTTTTCTGGAATTTGCAAGTGGAGATTTCAGCCGCTTTGAGGTCAATGGTAGAATAGGAAATATCTTCCTATAGAAACTAGACAGAATCATTCTCAGAAACTGCTCTGCGATGTGTGCGTTCATCTCTCAGAGTTTAACTTTTCTTTTCATTCAGCAGTTTGGAAACACTCTGTTTGTAAAGTCTGCACGTGGATATTTTGACCACTTAGAGGCCTTCGTTGGAAACGGGTTTTTTTCCTGTAAGGCTAGACAGAAGAATTCCCAGTAACTTCCCTTGTGTTGTGTACATTCAACTCACAGAGTTGAACGTTCCCTTAGACAGAGCAGAGTTGAAACACTCTTTTTGTGCAATTGGCAAGTGGAGATTTCAAGCGCTTTAAGGTCAATGGCAGAAAAGGAAATATCTTCGTTTCAAAACTAGAGAGAATCATTCCCACAAACTGTGTTGTGATGTGTTCGTTCAACTCACAGAGTTTAACCTTTCTTTTCATAGAGCAGTTAGGAAACAGTCTGTTTGTAAATTCTGTAAGTGGATATTCTGACATCTTGTGGCCTTCGTTGGAAACGGGATTTCTTCATATTCTGCTAGACAGAAGAATTCTCAGTAACTGCCTTGTGTTGTGTGTATTCAACTCACAGAGTTGAACGATCCTTTACACAGAGCAGACTTGAAACACTCCTTTTGTGGAATTTGCAAGTGGAGATTTCAGCCGCTTTGAGGTCAATGGTAGAATAGGAAATATCTTCCTATAGAAACTAGACAGAATGATTCTCAGAAACTTCTTTGTGCGTTCAACTCACAGAGTTTAACCTTTCTTTTCATAGAGCAGTTAGGAAACACTCTGTTTGTAAAGTCTGCAAGTGGATATTCAGACCTGTTTGAGGCCTTCGTTGGAAACGGGATTTCTTCATACTATGCTAGACAGAAGAATTCCCAGTAACTTCCTTGTGTTGTGTGTGTTCAACTCACAGAGTTGAACTTTCATTTAAACAGAGCAGATTTGAAACACTCTTTTTGTGGAATTTGCAAGTGGAGATTTCAAGCGCTTTGAGGCCAAAGGCAGAAAAGGAAATATCTTCGTAAAAAAATAGACAGAATCATTCTCAGAAACTGCTCTGCGATGTGTGCGTTCAACT
Organism: Homo sapiens; assembly: GCF_000001405.40. Lineage (NCBI taxonomy): Eukaryota > Metazoa > Chordata > Mammalia > Primates > Hominidae > Homo > Homo sapiens. Next base: position 48,926,789 of record NC_000005.10, read on the forward strand.
CTCAGAGTTTAACTTTTCTTTTCATTCAGCAGTTTGAAAACCCTCTGTTTGTAAAGTCTGCACGTTGATAATTTGACCACATAGAGGCCTTCGTTGGAAACGGGTTTTTCTCATGTAAGGCTAGACAGAAGAATTCCCAGTAACTTCCTTGTGTTGTGTGCATTCAACTCACAGAGTTGAACGTTCCCTTTGACAGAGCAGATTTGAAACACTGTATTTGTGCAATTTGCAAGTGTAGATTTCAAGCGCTTTAAGGTCAATGGCAGAAAAGGAAATTTCTTCGTTTCAAAACTAGACAGAATCATTCCCACAAACTGCGTTGTGATGTGTTCGTTCAACTCACAGAGTTTAACCTTTCTGTTCATAGAGCAGTTAGGAAACACTCTGTTTGTAAAGTCTGTAAGTGGATATTCTGACATCTTGTGGCCTTCGTTGGAAACGGGATTTCTTCGTATTCTGCTAGACAGAAGAATTCTCAGTAACTTCCTTGTGTTGTGTGTATTCAACTCACAGAGTTGAACGATCCTTTACACAGAGCAGACTTGAAACACTCTTTTTGTGGAATTTGCAAGTGTAGATTTCAGCCGCTTTGAGGTCAATGGTAGAATAGGAAATATCTTCCTATAGAAACTAGACAGAATGATTCTCATAAACTCCTTTGTGATGTGTGCGTTCAAATCACAGAGTTTAACTTTTCTTTTCATAGAGCAGTTAGGAAACACTCTGTTTGTAAAGTCTGCAAGTGGATATTCAGACCTCTTTGAGGCCTTCGTTGGAAACGGGATTTCTTCATATTATGCTAGACAGAAGAATTCCCAGTAACTTCCTTGTGTTGTGTGTGTTCAACTCACAGAGTTGAACTTTCATTTACACAGAGCAGATTTCAAACACTCTTTTTGTGGAATTTGCAAGTGGAGATTTCAAGCGCTTTGAGGCCAAAGGCAGAAAAGGAAATATCTTCGTATAAAAACTAGACAGAATCATTCTCAGAAACTGCTCTGCGATGTGTGCATTCAACTCTCAGAGTTTAACTTTTCTTTTCATTCAGCAGTTTGGAAACACTCTGTTTGTAAAGTCTGCACGTGGATATTTTGACCACTTAGAGGCCTTCGTTGGAAACGGGTTTTTTTCCTGTAAGGCTAGACAGAAGAATTCCCAGTAACTTCCTTGTGTTGTGTATATTCAACTCACAGAGTTGAACGTTCCCTTAGACAGAGCAGATTTGAAACACTCTTTTTGTGCAATTGGCAAGTGGACATTTCAAGCGCTTTGAGGTCAATGGCAGAAAAGGAAATATCTTCGTTTCAAAACTAGACAGAATCATTCCCACAAACTGCGTTGTGATGTGTTCGTTCAACTCACAGAGTTTAACCTTTCTGTTCATAGAGCAGTTAGGAAACACTCTGTTTGTAAAGTCTGTAAGTGGATATTCTGACATCTTGTGGCCTACGTTGGAAACGGGATTTCTCCATATTCTGCTAGACAGAAGAATTCTCAGTAACTTCCTTGTGTTGTGTGTATTCAACTCACAGAAGTTGAGCGATCCTTTACACAGAGCAGACTTGAAACACTCTTTTTGTGGAATTTGCAAGTGGAGATTTCAGCCGCTTTGAGGTCAATGGTAGAATAGGAAATATCTTCGTATAGAAACTAGACAGAATGATTCTCAGAAAATCCTTTGTGATGTGTGCGTTCAACTCACAGAGTTTAACTTTTCTTTTCATATAGCAGTTAGGAAACACTTTGTTTGTAAAGTCTGCAAGTGGATATTCAGACCTCTTTGAGGCATTCGTTGGAAACGGGATTTCTCCATATTATGCTAGAGTGAAGAATTCTCAGTAACTTCCTTGTGTTGTGTGTATTCAACTGACAGAGTTGAACTTTCATTTAGAGAGAGCAGATTTGAAACACTGTTTTTGTGGAATTTGCAATTGGAGATTTCAAGCGCTTTGGGGCCAAAGGCAGAAAAGGAAATATCTTCGTATAAAAACTAGACGGAATCATTCTCAGAAACTGCTCTGCGATGTGTGCGTTCAACTCTCAGAGTTTAACTTTTCTTTTCATTCAGCAGTTTGGAAACACTCTGTTTGTAAAGTCTGCACGTGGATATTTTGACCACTTAGAGGCCTTCGTTGGAAACGGGTTTTTTTCCCGTAAGGCTAGACAGAAGAATTCTCAGTAACTTCCTTGTGTTGTGTGTATTCAACTCACAGAGTTGAACGTTCCCTTAGACAGAGCAGATTTGAAACACTCTATTTGTGCAATTTGCAAGTGTAGTTTTCAAGCTCTTTAAGGTCAACGGCAGAAAAGGAAATATCTTCGTTTCAAAACTAGACAGAATCATTCCCACAAACTGCGTTGTGATGTGTTCGTTCAACTCACAGAGTTTAACCTTTCTGTTCATAGAGCAGTTAGGAAACACTCTGTTTGAAAAGTCTGCACGTGGATATTCAGACCTCTTTGAGGCCTTCGTTGGAAACGGGATTTCTTCCTATTCTGCTAGACAGAAGAATTCTCAGTAACTTCCCTTGTGTTGTGTGTATTCAACTCACAGAGTTGAACGATCCTTTACACAGAGCAGACTTGAAACACTCCTTTTGTGGAATTTGCAAGTGGAGATTTCAGCCGCTTTGAGGTCAATGGTAGAATAGGAAATATCTTCCTATAGAAACTAGACAGAATGATTCTCAGAAACTCCTTTGTGATGTGTGCGTTCAACTCACAGAGTTCAACCTTTCTTTTCATAGAGCAGTTAGGAAACACTCTGTTTGTAAAGTCTGCAAGTGGATATTCAGACTTCTTTGAGGCTTTCGTTGGAAACGGGATTTCTTCATATTCTGCTAGACAGAAGAATTCTCAGTAACTTCCTTGTGTTGTGTGTATTCAACTGACAGAGTTGAACTTTCATTTAGAGAGAGCAGATTTGAAACACTGTTCTTGTGGAATTTGCAAGTGGAGATTTCAAGCGCTTTGGGGCCAAAGGCAGAAAAGGAAATATCTTCGTATAAAAACTAGACAGAATCATTCTCCGAAACTGCTCTGCGATGTGTGCGTTCAACTCTCAGAGTTTAACTTTTCTTTTCATTCAGCAGTTTGGAAACACTCTGTTTGTAAAGTCTGCACGTGGATAACTTGACCACTTAGAGGCCTTCGTTGGAAACGGGTTTTTTTCCTGTAAGGCTAGACAGAAGAATTCCCAGTAACTTCCTTGTGTTGTGTACATTCAACTCACAGAGTTGAACGTTCCCTTAGACAGAGCAGATTTGAAACACTCTTTTTGTGCAATTGGCAAATGGAGATTTCAAGCGCTTTAAGTTCAATGGCAGAAAAGGAAATATCTTCGTTTCAAAACTAGACAGAATGATTCTCAGAAACTCCGTTGTGATGTGTGCGTTCAACTCACAGAGTTTAACCTTTCTTTTCATAGAGCAGTTAGGAAACACTCTGTTTGTAAAGTCTGCAAGTGGATATTCAGACCTCTTTGAGGCCTTCGTTGGAAACGGGATTTCTTCATATTCTGCTACAGAGAAGAATTCTCAGTAACTTCCTTGTGTTGTGTGTATTCAACTCACAGAGTTCAACGATCCTTTACACAGAGCAGACTTGAAACACTGTTTTTGTGGAATTTGCAAGTGGAGATTTCAGCCGCTTTGAGGTCAATGGTAGAAAAGGAAATATCTTCCTATAAAAACTAGACCGAATGATTCTCAGAAACTCCTTTGTGATGTGTGTGTGTTCAACTCACAGAGTTTAACATTTCTTTTCATAGAGCAGTTAGGAAACACTCTGTTTCTAAAGTCTGCAAGTGGATATTCAGACCTCTTTGAGGCCTTCGTTGGAAACGGGTTTTTTTCATATAAGGCTAGACAGAAGAATTCCCAGTAACTTTCCTTGTGTTGTGTGTGTTCAACTCACAGAGTTGAACTTTCATTTACACAGAGCAGATTTGAAACACTCTTTTTGTGGAATTTGCAAATGGAGATTTCAAGCGCTTTGAGGCCAAAGGCAGAAAAGGAAGTATCTTCGTATAAAAACTAGACAGAATCATTCTCAGAAACTGCTCTGCGATGTGTGCGTTCAACTCTCAGAGTTTAACTTTTCTTTTCATTCAGCAGTTTGGAAACACTCTGTTTGTAAAGTCTGCACGTGGATAACTTGACCACTTAGAGGCCTTCGTTGGAAACGGGTTTTTTTCATGTAAGGCTAGACAGAAGTATTCTCAGTAACTTCCTTGTGTTGTGTGTATTCAACTCACAGAGTTGAACGATCCTTTACACAGAGCAGACTTGTAACACTCTTTTTGTGGAATTTGCAAGTGGAGATTTCAGCCGCTTTGAAGTCAAAGGTAGAAAAGGAAATAACTTCCTATAAAAACTAGACAGAGTGATTCTCAGAAACTCCTTTGTGATGTCTGCGTTCAACTCACAGAGTTTAACCTTTCTTTTCATAGAGCAGTTAGGACACACTCTGTTTGTAAAGTCTGCAAGTGGATATTCAGACATCTTTGAGGCCTTCGTTGGAAACGGGATTTCTTCATGTTCTGCTAGACAGAATTCTCAGTAACTTCCTTGTGTTGTGTGTATTCAACTCACAGAGTTGAACGATCCTTTACACAGAGCATACTTGGAACACTCTTTTTGTGGAATTTGCAAGTGGAGATTTCAGCCGCTTTGAAGTCAAAGGTAGAAAAGGAAATATCTTCCTATAAAAACTAGACAGAATGATTCTCAGAAACTCCTTTGTGATGTGTGCATTCAACTCACAGAGTTTAACCTTTCTTTTCATAGAGCAGTTAGGAAACACTCTGTTTGTAAAGTCTGCAAGTGGATATTCAGACCTCTTTGAGGCCTTCGTTGGAAACGGGTTTTTTTCATATAAGGCTAGACAGAAGAATTCTCAGTAACTTCCTTCTGTTGTGTGTATTCAACTGACAGAGTTGAACTTTCATTTAGAGAGAGCAGATTTGAAACACTGTTTTTGTGGAATTTGCAAGTGGAGATTTCAAGCGCTTTGGGGCCAAAGGCAGAAAAGGAAATATCTTCGTATAAAAACTAGACAGAATCATTCTCAGAAACTGCTGCGTGATGTGTGCGTCCAACTCTCAGAGTTTAACTTTTCTTTTCATTCAGCGGTTTGGAAACACTCTGTTTGTAAAGTCTGCACGTGGATATTTTGACCACTTAGAGGTCTTCATTGGAAACGGGTTTTTTTCATGTAAGGCTAGACAGAAGAATTCCCAGTAACTTCCTTGTGTTGTGTACATTCAACTCACAGAGTTGAACGTTCCCTTAGACAGAGCAGATTTGAAACACTCTTTTTGTGCAATTGGCAAGTGGTGATTTCAGCCTCTTTGAGGTCAATGGTAGAAAAGGAAATATCTTCGTATAAAAACTAGACAGAATCATTCCCACAAACTACGTTGTGATGTGTTCGTTCAACTCACAGAGTTTAACCTTTCTGTTCATAGAGCAGTTAGGAAACACTCTGTTTGTAAAGTCTGTAAGTGGATATTCTGACATCTTGTGGCCTTCGTTGGAAACGGGATTTCTTCATATTCTGCTAGACAGAAGAATTCTCAGAATCTTCCTTGTGTTGTGTGTATTCAACTCACAGAGTTGAACGATCCTTTACACAGAGCAGACTTGAAACACTCTTTTTGTGGAATTTGCAAGTGGAGATTTCAGCCGCTTTGAGGTCCATGGGAGAAAAGGAAATATCTTCGTATAAAAACTAGACAGAATGATTCTCAGAAACTCCTTTGTGATGTGTGCGTTCAACTCACAGAGTTTAACCTTTCTTTTCATAGAGCAGTTAGGAAACACTCTGTTTGTAAAGTCTGCAAGTGGATATTCAGACCTCTTTGAGGCCTTCGTTGGAAACGGGTTTTTTTCATACTATGCTAGACAGAAGAATTCCCAGTAACTTCCTTGTGTTGTGTGTGTTCAACTCACAGAGTTGAACTTTCATTTACACAGAGCAGATTTGAAACACTCTTTTTTTGGAATTTGCAAGTGGAGATTTCAAGCGATTTGAGGCCAAAGGCAGAAAAGGAAATATCTTCGTTTCAAAACTAGACAGAATCATTCTCAGAACTGCTCTGCGATGTGTGCGTTCAACTCTCAGAGTTTAACTTTTCTTTTCATTCAGCAGTTTGGAAACACTCTGTTTGTAAAGTCTGCACGTGGATATTTTGACCATTTAGAGGCTTTCGTTGGAAACGGGTTTTTTTCTTGTAAGGCTAGACAGAAGAATTCCCAGTAACTTCCTTGTGTTGTGTGCATTCAACTCACAGAGTTGAACGTTCCCTTAGACAGAGCAGATTTGAAACACTCTATTTGTGCAATTTGCAAGTGTAGATTTCAAGCGCTTTAAGGTCAACGGCAGAAAAGGAAATATCTTCGTTTCAAAACTAGACAGAATCATTCCCACAAACTGCGTTGTGATGGTTCGTTCAACTCACAGAGTTTAACCTTTCTTTTCATAGAGCAGTTAGGAAACAGTCTGTTTGTCAATTCTGTAAGTGGATATTCTGACATCTTGTGGCCTTCGTTGGAAACGGGATTTCTTCATATTCTCCTAGACAGAAGAGTTCTCAGAAACTTCCTTGTGTTGTGTGTATTCAACTCACAGAGTTGAACGATCCTTTACGCAGAGCAGACTTGAAACACTCTTTTTGTGGAATTTGCAAGTGGAGATTTCAGCCGCTTTGAGGTCAATGGTAGAATAGGAAATATCTTCCTATAGAAACTAGACAGAATGATTCTCAGAAACTCCTTTGTGATGTGTGCGTTCAACTCACAGAGTATAACCTTTCTTTTCATAGAGCAGTTAGGAAACACTCTGTTTGTAAAGTGTGCAAGTGGATATTCAGACCTCTTTGAGGCCTTCGTTGGAAACGGCATTTCTTCATAATATGCTAGACAGAAGAATTCTCAGTAACTTCCTTGTGTTGTGTGTATTCAACTCACAGAGTTGAACGATCCTTTACACAGAGCAGACTTGAAACACTCTTTTTGTGGAATTTGCAAGTGTAGATTTCAGCCGCTTTGAGTTCAATGGTAGAATAGGAAATATCTTCCTATAGAAACTAGAGAGAATCATTCTCCGAAGCTGCTGCGTGATGTGTGCGTTCAACTCTCAGAGTTTAACTTTTCTTTTCATTCAGCGGTTTGGAAACACTCTGTTTGTGAAGTCTGCACGTGGATATTTTGACCACTTAGAGGCCTTCGTTGGAAACGGGTTTTTTTCATGTAAGGCTAGACAGAAGATTTCCCAGTAACTTCCTTGTGTTGTGTGCATTCAACTCACAGAGTTGAACGTTCCCTTAGACAGAGCAGATTTGAAACACTCTATTTGTGCAATTTGCAAGTGTAGATTTCAAGCGCTTTAAGGTCAATGGCAGAAAAGGAAATATCTTCGTCTTCAAAACTAGACAGAATGATTCTGTGAAACTCCTTTGTGATGTGTGCGTTCAACTCACACAGTTTAACCTTTCTTTTCATAGAGCAGTTAGGAAACACTCTGTTTGTAAAGTCTGCAAGTGGATATTCAGACCTCCTTGAGGCCTTCGTTGGAAACGGGATTTCTTCATATTATGCTAGAAAGAAGAATTCCCAGTAACTTCCTTGTGTTGTGTGTATACAACTCACAGAGTTGAACGATCCTTTACACAGAGCAGACTTGAAACACTCTTTTTGTGGAATTTGCAAGTGGAGATTTCAGCCGCTTTGAGTTCAATGGTAGAATAGGAAATATCTTCCTATAGAAACTAGACAGAAATGATTCTCAGGAAACTCCTTTGTGATGTGTGCGTTCAACTCACAGAGTTTAACCTTTCTTTTCATAGAGCAGTTAGGAAACACTCTGTTTGTAAAGTCTGCAAGTGGATATTCAGACCTCTTTGAGGCCTTCGTTGGAAACGGGTTTTTTTCATATAAGGCTAGACAGAAGAATTCCCTGTAACTTCCTTGTGTTGTGTGTGTTCAACTCACAGAGTTGAACTTTCATTTACACAGAGCAGATTTGAAACTCTCCTTTTGTGGAATTTGCAAGTGGAGATTTCAAGCGCTTTGAGGCCAAAGGCAGAAAAGGAAATATCTTCGTTTCAAAACTAGACAGAATCATTCTCAGAAACTGCTCTGCGATGTGTGCGTTCAACTCTCAGAGTTTAACTTTTCTTTTCATTCAGCAGTTTGGAAACACTCTGTTTGTAAAGTCTGCACGTGGATATTTTGACCATTTAGAGGCCTTCGTTGGAAACGGGTTTTTTTCTTGTAAGGCTAGACAGAAGAATTCCCAGTAACTTCCATGTGTTGTGTGCATTCAACTCACAGAGTTGAACGTTCCCTTGAACAGAGCAGATTTGAAACTCTCTATTTGTGCAATTTGCAAGTGTAGATTTCAAGCGCTTTAAGGTCAATGGCAGAAAAGGAAATATCTTCGTTTCAAAACTAGACAGAATGATTCTGAGAAACTCCTTTGTGATGTGTGCGTTCAACTCACAGAGTTTAACCTTTCTTTTCATAGAGCAGTTAGGAAACACTCTGTTTGTAAAGTCTGCAAGTGGATATTCAGACATCTTTGAGGCTTTCTTTGGAAACGGGATTTCTTCATATTCTGCTAGACAGAAGAATTCTCAGAAACTTCGTTGTGTTGTGTGTTTTCAACTCACAGAGTTCAACGATCCTTTACACAGAGTAGACTTGAAACACTCTTTTTGTGGAATTGGCAGGGTGGAGATTTCAGCCGCTTTGAGGTCAATGGTAGAAAAGTAAATATCTTCGTATAAAAACTAGACAGAATGATTGTCAGAAACTCCTTTGTGATGTGTGTGTTCAACTCACAGAGTTTAACCTTTCTTTTCATAGAGCAGTTAGTAAACACTCTGTTTATAAAGTCTGCAAGTGGATATTCAGACCCCTTTGAGGCCTTCGTTGGAAACGGGATTTCTTCATATTATGCTAGACAGAAGAATTCCCAGTAACTTCCTTGTGTTGTGTGTGTTCAACTCACAGAGTTGAACTTTCATTTACCCAGAGCAGATTTGAAACACTGTTTTTGTGGAATTTGCAAGTGGAGATTTCAAGCGCTTTGAGGCCAAAGGCAGAAAAGGAAATATCTTCGTTTCAAAACTAGACAGAATCATTCTTTGAAACTGCTGCGTGATGTGTGCGTTCAACTCTCAGAGTTTAACTTTTCTTTTCATTCAGCGGTTTGGAAACACTCTGTTTGTAAAGTCTGCACGTGGAAATTTTGACCACTTAGAGGCCTTCGTTGGAAACGGGTTTTTTTCATGTAAGGCTAGACAGAAGAATTCCCAGTAACTTCCTTGTGTTGTGTGCATTCAACTCACAGAGTTGAACGTTCCCTTAGACAGAGCAGATTTGAAACACTCTATTTGTGCAATTTGCAAGTGTAGTTTTCAAGCTCTTTAAGGTCAACGGCAGAAAAGGAAATATCTTCGTTTCAAAACTAGACAGAATCATTCCCACAAACTGCGTTGTGATGTGTTCGTTCAACTCACAGAGTTTAACCTTTCTGTTCATAGAGCAGTTAGGAAACACTCTGTTTGTAAAGTCTGCAAGTGGATATTCAGACCTCTTTGAGGCCTTCGTTGGAAACGGGATTTCTTCATATTATGCTACACAGAAGAATTCTCAGTAACTTCCTTGTGTTGTTTGTATTCAACTCACAGAGTTGAACGATCCTTTACACAGAGCAGACTTGAAACACTCTTTTTGTGGAATTTGCAAGTGGAGATTTCAGCCGCTTTGAGGTCAATGGTAGAAAAGGAAACTATCTTCATATAAAGACTAGACAGAATGATTCTGAGAAATCCTTTGTGATGTGTGCGTACAACTCACAGAGTTTAACCTTTCTTTTCATAGAGCAGTTAGGAAACACTCTGTTTGTAAAGTCTGCAAGTGGATATTCAGACCTCCTTGAGGCCTTCGTTGGAAACGGGATTTCTTCATATTATGCTAGACAGAAGAATTCCCAGTAACTTCCTTGTGTTGTGTGTGTTCAACTCACAGAGTTGAACTTTCATTTACACAGAGCAGATTTGAAACACTCTTTTTGTGGAATTTGCAAATGGAGATTTCAAGCGCTTTGAGGCCAAAGGCAGAAAAGGAAATATCTTCATATAAAAACTAGACAGAATCATTCTCAGAAACTGCTCTGTGATGTGTACGTTCAACTCTCAGAGTTTAACTTTTCTTTTCATTCAGCAGTTTGGAAACACTCTGTTCGTAAAGTCTGCACGTGGATAATTTGACCACTTAGAGGCCTTCGTTGGAAACGGGTTTTTTTCATGTAAGGCTAGACAGAAGAATTCCCAGTAACTTCCTTGTGTTGTGTGCTTTCAACTCACAGAGTTGAACGTTCCCTTAGACAGAGCAGATTTGAAACACTCTATTTGTGCAATTTGCAAGTGTAGATTTCAAGCGCTTTAAGGTCAATGGCAGAAAAGGAAATATCTTCGTTTCAAAACTAGACAGAATCATTCCCACAAACTGCGTTGTGATGTGTTCGTTCAACTCACAGAGTTTTACCTTTCTGTTCATAGAGCAGTTAGGAAACACTCTGTTTGTAAAGTCTGCAAGTGGATATTCAGACCTCCTTGAGGCCTTCGTTGGAAACGGGATTTCTTCATATTCTGCTAGACAGAAGAATTCTGAGTAACTTCCTTGTGTTGTGTGTATTCAACTCACAGAGTTGAACGATCCTTTACAGAGAGCAGACTTTAAACACTCTTTTTGTGGAATTTGCAAGTGGAGATTTCAGCCGCTTTGAGGTCAATGGTAGAAAAGGAAATATCTTCGTATAAAGACTAGACAGAATGATTCTCAGAAACTCCTTTGTGATGTGTGCGTTCAACTCACAGAGTTTAACTTTTCTTTTCATAGAGCAGTTAGGAAACACTCTGTTTGTAAAGTCTGCAAGTGGATATTCAGACCTCTTTGAGGCCTTCGTTGGAAACGGCATTTCTTCATATTATGCTAGACAGAAGAATTCTCAGTAACTTCCTCGTGTTGTGTGTATTCAACTGACAGAGTTGAACTTTCATTTAGAGAGAGCAGATTTGAAACACTCTTTTTGTGGAATTTGCAAGTGGAGATTTCAAGCGCTTTGGGGCCAAAGGCAGAAAAGGAAATATCTTCGTATAAAAACTAGACAGAATCATTCTCAGAAACTGCTGTGTGATGTGTGCGTTCAACTCTCAGAGTTTAACTTTTCTTTTCATTCAGCGGTTTGGAAACACTCTGTTTGTAAAGTCTGCACGTGGATATTTTGACCACTTAGAGGCCTTCGTTGGAAACGGGTTTTTTTCATGTAAGGCTAGACAGAAGAATTCCCAGTAACTTCCTTGTGTTGTGTACATTCAACTCACAGAGTTGAACGTTCCCTTAGACAGAGCAGATTTGAAACACTCTTTTTGTGCAATTGGCAAATGGAGATTTCAAGCGCTTTAAGGTCAATGGCAGGAAAGGAAATATCTTCGTTTCAAAACTAGACAGAATCATTCCCACAAACTGCGTTGTGATGTGTTCGTTCATCTCACAGAGTTTAACCTTTCTTTTCATAGAGCAGTTAGGAAACACTCTGTTTGTAAATTCTGTAAGTGGATATTCTGACATCTTGTGGCCTTCGTTGGAAACGGGATTTCTTCATATTCTGCTAGACAGAAGAATTCTCAGCAACTTCCTTGTGTTGTGTGTATTCAACTCACAAAGTTGAACGATCCTTTGAGCAGACTTGAAACACTCTTTTTGTGGAATTTGCAAGTGGAGATTTCAGCCGCTTTGAGGTCAATGGTAGAAAAGGAAATATCTTCGAATAAAAACTAGACAGAATGATTCTAAGAAACTCCTTTGAGATGTGTGCGTTCAACTCACAGAGTTTAACCTTTCTTTTCATAGAGCAGTTAGGAAACACTCTGTTTGTAAAGTCTGCAAGTGGATATTCAGACCTCTTTGAGGCCTTCGTTGGAAACGGGATTTCTTCATATTCTGCTAGAAAGAAGAATTCTCATTAACTTCATTGTGTTGTGTGTATTCAACTCACAGAGTTCAACGATCCTTTACACAGAGCAGACTTGAAACACTCTTTTTCTGGAATTTGCAAGTGGAGATTTCAGCCGCTTTGAGGTCAATGGTAGAAAAAGAAATATCTTCCTATAAAAACTAGACAGAATCATTCTCAGAAACTGCTCTGCGAGGTGTGCGTTCAACTCTCAGAGTTTAACTTTTCTTTTCATTCAGCAGTTTGGAAACACTCTGTTTGTAAAGTCTGCACGTGGATATTTTGACCACTTAGAGGCCTTCGTTGGAAACGGGTTTTTTTCCTGTAAGGCTAGACAGAAGAATTCCCAGTAACTTCCTTGTGTTGTGTACATTCAACTCACAGAGTTGAACGTTCCCTTAGACAGAGCAGATTTGAAACACTCTTTTTGTGCAATTGGCAAGTGGAGATTTCAAGCGCTTTAAGGTCAATGGCAGAAAAGGAAATATCTTCGTTTCAAAACTA